>NC_000011.10:112930000-113233030 GCF_000001405.40 Homo sapiens
TGATAAACAGTTTGTTGTTTGATCATATAGCCTCCAGTGGAATGTTGAGTTGGTCACATCCCATGGACCTTTGGCTCCCTGCACAGAAGCACGGGGGTGTGTGCCTATAGATATGTCCAAATGCTCACCTCCATGCATGTGGCTACCTTGGCCCAAGTTACCACCAACACCTCATCAATAGTGTCTCTGGTTTTATTCCTGCACCCTCCTGTTTATGGTTTGTATCACAAACGAGATGATCTATTAAAAATGTCAAGTAAGTCATGTCACCCCTTTGCTTAAAATATTTTAGCAGCCTCCCATTGCATTTTTTTTTTTTTTTTTTTTGAGACAGAGTCTTGCTCTGTTGCCCAGGCTGGAGTGCAGTGGCACCATCTCAGCTCACTGCAACCTCTGCCTCCCAGGTTCAAGCAATTCTCCTGTCTCAGCCTCCCAAGTAGCTGGGATTACAGGCGCCCACCATAACACCAACTAACTTTTTGTATTTTTAGTAGAGATGGGGTTTCGCCATGTTTGCCACGCTGGTCTCGAACTTCTGACTGCAGATGATCCACCTGCCTCAGCCTCCCAAAGTGTTGGGATTACAGTCATGAGCCACCACACCCGGCTCTCACCGCACTTTGAATAACATCTAAACGTCTTTGCCATGGCCTACAAAGGCCTTGCATAGTCAAGCTCCTACCCGCCTCTCCAACTTCATGTCTTGTGCCTTGCTGTTGAAAGGACAATCACACTGGCTGTCCTTCAGTCAGGGCTGTGGCCTACTGTGAGGCCCTCCAGAGGCTGCATTTCTCCCATTGCTCTTGACCTGGCCAGCTTCTCTTTCCTCTTCAGTTTTGTTTTCATCTCAGGGGCAGATCTGAGTCCATCATACTCTTAAGTTCATATCACACCATCGGGACTGGATTTTCAAGACCCTTGCTTGGTTCCTTTCATTAAAAGTTGCTTTCCCCTTTTTCCCTAATCCTTGTTCTCATGCCCCCATCCCCACAGAGGGCATTGAGACTGGCTCTGACTCATCTTTGTTACGTGCGTTGTGATGTTTCTAGTGTGTACTTTCAGTGCACATAAAGGCATTGCTCGTTGAGTCTTATTCTGTGCCCTGCCTGTTTTCACTTCACGTTATGATTTTTGGAGCTGCTACCCATGTTCCTGCACCTCCTGTGCACTGCATCTTCATGTTCTGTGGTAATCCACAGCAATCATTCGCCCTTGTGAAAGACCCCTCTACCTCCCTCCTATCACAACATTGTCCTAAGAAACATTCTTATAGATCTAAGCAAGACCATCTCTGGCACATGTATCTACGAGTGATACCGTGGGATTCCAGGGACACATATATTCAATTTTGGTAAATACTGCAAGTTTGCTTTCCAGAATGGCAACACCATTTTATAGTCCTTCCCTGGGCCTCAGAGAATCTTTTCCTAGACTTCAAACATAATTCTATCTTCCCTTATTCTATATTTCAGTTCCTTCCTGCCTTTATAAAATGTGTCGCACTTTGTATCTGCTCTATTTGCCTGTTTGCTTGTATTTTGATGGTCTCTTCCTCTACAATGTAAGCTTCTTAATGTCAGGGACTTTGCTTGTTTTATTCTCTACCATAATGTCAGAATCTAGCATAGCAGCTGTCACATAATACGGACTCGATAAAAATACGTCAAATGAATGAATAAACAAAAAGTGCGGTATGGTGGGTAAATAATGGTTAAAATGCGCATGGAAAGTCCCATTATCAGGAGTACTACAGCCTTGTTTTAATGGCATGACACTACTGGGGTCATATCCCTCTGTGTTGTATCCTGGAAAGAAGTCAGCACCGTCCCCTCCCCCTGCTTCCAATGCTTTGTTTTATTAGTTAGTTCAAAGTCTTCGTCTCAGCTCCAAAGTGCCATCTGGGAACCTCTGCTGCTGCAGCTGCCCTGTGCAAAGTCACCATGTGGGTCTGGGATGCCGTGTCCACACCCTCCACTTGATTTCTTCAGCAGAACAACTAAGCTGACATGAAACAAGGAGGCTTTTTCTGATTTCTGAGACAGCTGCCTCACTTTGATTGAATTATATTTAAATAACTTAGGTTTTAGGAGGATCAAATGAAGAATGTTTTCTGAATGGGTTCAAAATCAACTTCCTTGAATTCCTGCTCTCAAAACTGTTTGCTTAAAGATTTATTGGGTGGCTCATCAGTCAGCCAAGAAGTTCTGGCCCAGATTTGGGTCTCCTTTTGAAAATATTTTGCAAACCCACAGCCCCTCACTGGATGATGCAGGAAAGGCCCATTTGTTCTTCACCACACATGTGTAGCCCGAGTTTTTCTGTTCCTGTTCATCGTTTTATTCCCCACGGGAAGCCTAAACTTCTTTACCAAACCCTAAGGTGTCAATTAGGTTGCCATAAAAAAAAAATGGTGCTGCCTGGAAATGATTTCACTTCTGATCTCTTTCATATGTTTTTAAAGAGGTGCCTGGGTCTGGGACTTAGATTCCTGAAAACCTAACACCTGGCCCAAGGACCTACCTTGGCGAACTCATCACAGCTGCACTCAGATATTGCTGTCTTCAAGAAAAGAAGTAGAAGTCACTGCTTTGTTCCATTTCCAGAATGTCAGTGAATGAAAACAAAGATAATGATGATTAAAGAGCTAAAGTGAACTTACTATGTGCCAGGTTCTGTATTGAGTTCGTATTATCTCATTTCATAGTCTAAACATCCCTGGCGTGGCTCAGCCGAAGCTTGGAGACCTTACATAACACACCCAAGTTCCCACAGCTGGTAAGTACTGGTAGCTGACTGTGGAATGAGGCCTGATTCCAAAGCCAGTTCTCTTAAGCACTACACAGCTCTCTTCCCTGAAGTACCTCTGGAAGGCCCTCAGCATCCTTGACAAGCCCTTGCTAATTAAGACAAGCTTTCTTCCTATCTGCCATTGTTCTTAAGCTTCTAAGAAACAACTCGTTGTTGTTCTTGGGAATTGGGAATGTTGGGCACAGCTTATGAAAAACAAACAAACAAAAAAAACCCAGCAAATAAATACATAACCAGATGACCGTTGTTCTTTGCTTTAAGTGCATTTTAAAAATCTTTAAGCTCCTAGAGGACACTGCAGTGGCCATAATAAAATGCGTAAAGAGCTGGAATATTGAATCATGCAGAAGTAATCATTTTTATATGGTATGGTACCCAGGGATGAATTTAGTAGGGAAAATAACCTCCCATGTATAAAGGCAGATTTAAAGAAATAATTATTTACAAATTGGTAAGCAAATGGAAAATTGTAAAAATGTCTAGTTCCGCAGTTACTATGTTCCACGAACATGGCTAATTTGTCTTCACTTTCACTATGTGAGGAAGACAGAAGCATAGACAGCCAGAAAATAGGGGGATTTTGGGTCAGCAAACTTCACCAGAGTTGAGACATTTTCTTTCATTCATTCGAAATATTGATTGACCATCTACTCTGTGCCGAGTATTAGCTGGCAAACAACACAGAAATTGCTGCAACTTTAAAAAGTTTAGGATCACGCCTGGTTTAATTTCACCATCATGAAACACAGGGGTGCAAATCTGAAACTTTATTCTTTTATAACAATTGATTTCAAACCTTATATCTTTTGGTGGCAGAAAACAATCTTGCCTATTCAAGGTAAAACTCATCTTCTGGATTAAAATACAGTCTCTTTGGGGCAAAAAAGCCAGCTCATGTTTTTCTCTTTTCCTTTTCACCTTTCCATGGGAGTAATTTAAGTTTTGGGCATTCTAGGGAAAAAATGGGGCTGCATTTGAAGTAGTCTGTTGTCCACACTGGCCTTCACTGGGTTGAATCTCACCTTATTTTCCCCTTATCTTTAGGTCCTGGGCTTCCCTCCTGAGGGCCAGTCTTTCACGCTGGTCTTTGGACTCCAGGCATAACTGCTCAGAGTCATCCTTGTCCCAAATCCAGACCACTTTGAGTCAGCCCATATTCTCTCAGCATTCTTCTACCCGTGGTGGGTCTGAGAACTTGTTTGCTTTCTCTATTTTCCCTAAGAGTAACAGTACTTCCCAAGGCTTCCCCCAAGCCCATACCCCTGTATCCCTTATCCACCATTGCTCCCCTCCGTGAGGTTCTTCTATAAGCCTCTCAGTGTCTCTGGGTTTTTCCTGGGGAAGCCAGGCATAAGTCTTCTCTGCTCTGGGATCTGCATACACTGACCAAGGCGTTGGTCACTTGCCCCAAGGCAAGGGGCAGGATTCCATTTTTTTCCCTTGATTTTCCTCTCCCAATTCCCAAACTCCTTTTCTCCAGGCCAGAAAGAGGTTTTAATCTTGAGTAGTAAAGAAAACTGGCTCTTAAATCATCATGAATTCTTTCAAAGGTATTGTTTGTGGAATAAACTGTATTGTTAGTTTCTTTGGGACTTAACTTTTTGATTCTCAAAACTCTTTTTGTAAATTGTTAAACTGAACTTTGTTGAAATTAAAAGCCTCTTCTTCTCAAAAGACAGTTAAGAAAATGAAAACACGAATCACAGAGGCGGAGAAGATATTCACAATACGTATATCTACCTAAGGACTTATCTCCAGAATGTATTTAAAACTTCTACAACTCAACAATGCAAAGACAAACAATCTAATTTTTAAAATAGCCCAGAAGACTTGCATAGCACTTCATAAAAGAAGTTATATAAATGGCCAAAGAGCATATGAAAAGATACTGAACATCACCACTCAACATGGAAATGTAAACTAAAGTCGTCGTTAGATATCACTTGTCCATTACAACGGCTAACATTTAAAAGACTGATGACTAAGTCAAGCAAAGATATGGAGCACAAGAACTCACTTATACTGCTGGTGAGACTGTGGAATGATACAACTACTTTGGAAAAGTTTGCCATTTTCTTACAAAATTAAACATACACCAATCCTATGACATCATCCTAAGAGAAATGAAAACATATGTCCACAAAAATCTTTGTATAAGAATGTTCATGGCAGCGTCAGACACAATAACTCAAACCTGAAAATTTCAAGTATCCATCCTCAGAAGAATGGGTAAATTGTGGTGTATCCATACAGTGGAATACTGCTTAGCAATAAAAAAGAACAAACCACTCATACATGCAACAACATGGGCAAAGCTCAAAGACAATATATTGAATGAAATTAGCCAGACACAAAATTACAATTCCATATATATCAAGTCCTAGAACAGATAAACCAGGCTATTATGGTAGAATGAAATGAGAGTAGTGGTTGCCTCTGGTTGTAGAGTCTAAAATGAGCTTTGACTATAATGACACAAGGGTACTTAACAGAATGAAGAAATGTTCTCTATCTTCAACATGTTGGGGGTTACTCAGGTGTAAATGTTTTTCAGAACTTAAAATTTGTACATCTTGCTGCATGTAAGTCCTGCGCAACTTAAAAAGAATAGGGGACATATTTTTTTTCTCTCAAAATTTCAACTCTTGCAAATCAAAACTTTGGCTTTTGAAGCAGTTGTTCCTTGCTTTGATTTTTAAAATAAAGTATTCAGAAAATCTATTGATTTTTGTTGTTATTCCAGGCTGCATGTGCCCTCTCCTGAAGGTGGTTGGTAGCATTGTCTGTTGCTGGAGGGGGAACAGGAATAACAATTGCTCCACATTCTTAGTAAAACTTCATATACTAATTCTTTGTAATTTCAGACATTGTAATAAGTACATAGTCGTATCTTATTGTGGTTTTATGAGGTCGATCATCTTTTCATATGTTTGTTATCTGTATATTCCTTGGCAAAGTATCTGTTCAAATCTTTGTTATTTGGTTGTCTTGTTATTGCATTATGAGAGTTCTTTATATATTCTGGATCCAAGCTGTTTATCAGGTATGTGAATTGCAATTCTTTTTAGTTTGTTTTTATTCTCTTAATGCTATTTTGGAAGAGTAAGTGTTCTTAATTTGATGAAGTTCAATTTGTTCTTTCATGGGTCATACTTTTGGTGTCAAAGAAGTCTGCATAACACTAAGTCGCATAGACTTACTTCTATGCTTTATTCTTGAAATTTTATAGATTTAAGTTTTAGCTTTAGGTTTATAATCTATTTAGAGTTAATTTTTTTATAAGGTGTCACCTTTTCTATTGCTTACGAGCAATTATTCCAGTAGCATTTTTAAAAAGACTAATCTTTCTCTACTGAATTGCCTTTGCATTAAAAAATTGGTAGATTGGCCGGGAGTGGTGGCTCATGCCTTTAATCCTAGCACTTTGGGAGGCTGAGGTGGGTTGATCACCTGAGGTAGGGAGTTCGAGACCAGCCTGACCAACATAGAGAAACTTGTCTCTACTAAAAATACAAAATTAGCTGGGCATTGTGGTGCATGTCTATAATCCCAGCTACTCGGGAGGCTGAGGCAGGAGGTTCGATTGAACCCGGGAGGCAGAGGTTGCAGTGAGCCAAGATCATGCCATCGCACTCCAGCCTGGGCAGCAACAAGAGCGAAACTCAGTCTCAAAAAAAAAAGAAAAAAAAATCAGTAGATCCCATATGTGTAGCCCTATTTCTGAATAGACCTCTATTCTCCATAACTCTCTATTCTGTTTCCTTGATCTGTTTGTCTAGCTTTGCACCAGTGCTGCACTGTCTTAGTTAGCATAGCTTTATAGTAAGACTTAAAATCAGGTAGTGTAAATCCTCTGTTATTTAACTTTTAACCGATTTGTGTTTTTATATTTAAAGTGTGTTTCTTGTTGGCTAAGTACAGTTCTTGCTTTTGTATGTAATCTGCTAATCTCTGCCTTCTAATTGGAATACTTAGGCTATTTACACTTAATGTGTTTTTAAAAAGGTGTTTGAGTTTAAACTACCATCTTGATATGTGATGTCTAATTTGTCTTATCTGTTTTTCTCACTTTTTTCTCTTCTCCTTCCTTTTAAGAAATTGAGTGTTTTTATGATTATATTTTATCTCCTTTGTTAGTTTATTAGCTATAACTCTTGTTGTATTACTGTAACGGTTGCTTTAGAGTTTATAGTACATGTTTACCTTATCAATATCTACCCACAAGTGATATTAGACCACTTCATGTATAGTATAAGATCTTTACATTTGTATACTTGTCATTCTCTCCTCTTTTTTATGTGCTATTTTTGTCACACATTTCATGTTATGTGTTATAATCTGCATGATGTATTTTTATTATTTTTGTTTTAAATGACCAATTATTTTTAAGAGATTTAAGCAACAAGAAAAAGTATTTTTTGTTTACCTGAGTTGTCATTTCTGGTCATCAACATTCCTTTGCATTGATTCAGATTTCCTTTAGTCTCACTTCTTCCTGAAGGACATCCTTTAACATTTTTTGTAGTATAGATCTACTGGTGATAAATTCTTTTTTAAAAAATGCTTTATTTTGTCTTCCTTCCTGAAAAGCATTCTTACTGGATATATAGAATTTGGGGTTGACTTTTTTCTTTCAGAACTTTAAAGCTATTGTTTTACTGTATTTTGCCTTGCATTGTTCTGACTGGAAGTTTGCTTTTATTCTTATCTTGACCCTCTCTAAGTAATGTGTCTTTTATTCTCCATGTACTTTAACATACAGTAGTTCTCCTTTATCTGCAGGGGATATTTTCCACGACCCCCAATGGATGTCTGAAACTGTTGATAGTACTGAACCTATATATACTATGTTTATTTCTATACATACATACCTATGATAAAGTTTAATTTATAAATTAGGCACAGTAAGAATTTAACAGCAATAATTAATAATGAAATAGAATAATTATAGAATAATATAATAGTATAACAATATAGTATAAAAAAGTTATTTGAATGTGCTCTCTCTTCTTTTTTTTCTCCTCTCTCTCTCAAAATATCTTAGTGCACTGTACTCACCTATTTTCAAATTATGTTTGACCACGGGTAACTGAAACCATGGAAAGGGAAACCACAGATAAGTGGTGATTACACTGTATTCTCTATATCACTGATTTTAAGCAATTTGATTATGCTGTGCCTTGGTGATGTTTTCTTCATGCTTTTGTGATTGGAGTTCATTGAAAATCTTTGATCTGTGGGTTTATAGTTTTCATCAACTTTGAAAAATATTATATTTGACCATTATTTTCTCAAATATTTTTCTGCTCCTCCCATTTTGAAGACTCTAATTACATGTGTATTAGGCCATTTGAAGATGTCCTACTGTTCACTACTGCTAATTATTTTTAGTCTTTTTCTGTTTGTTTAACTTTGGATAGTTTTTGTTGTTTTATGAATCTTTCTCCTGCAATATCTAATCTGCTGTTAATCTGCCCCACACCAGTGTATTTTACTTACTCTGAGACATTATAGATTTTACCTTTAGAAATTAAATTTGGGTTTTAAAATATTTTCTGTCTACTTAACTATTCAATATTTCCTGTAGCTTCTTGAGTATATGGAACATGGTATAATACATTTTAATGTCCTTATTTATGAATTCTATCATGTGTGTTATTTCTGGGCCAGTTTAATTAATCGCCTTTTCTCCTTATGAGTTCATATTGTCTTCCTTTTTTTGCTGGCTTATTAATTTTTGATTGGATAATAGGCATGAATTTTACTTTTTTGGCTGCCGGATATTTTTGTATCCCATACCTATTCTTAAGTTTTGTTCTGAGACACAGTAGAGTTACTTGGAAACAGCTTGAACCTTTTATTTCTTGCTTTTATTTTTTTTAGGTGAGGGCAGAATAGCAGTTTGTCTCGGATGAATTTTACTCTACTTCTGAGGCATAATGTTTTTGAGTATATTACTCAATGCCCCATTAATTATGAGGTTTTTCCAATCTGGCTGATGGGAAAGGTAACTATTCCTGATCCTGTATGATCTCCAGTGATTGCTCCCTGTACATCTTCCGCAGTGCTTTTCCCAGCCTCGGGCAATTTCTTCACATGTATAATCTGATCAGTTCTTGGTTGAAGACTTAATGAGACCCTTTGTAGATCACCAGAGCTTCCTGCAGTAGAGTTTACTCTTCTCCCGTAATTTGTTCTAAGAACTCTAGCCACCTTGGTTTCTCTAAATTCCTGGCTCTGTCTCTTCAACTCAGAGGAGTCCTTGTGCCATGACATAGAAATTAGTAGGGTAATAAGACGAAATGATTGTAGAGCTCATCTCTGTTGTTTCCTATTTCTAAGAGATCACTGTCCTTAATTGCCTGGTATCTAATGTCTTAAAAATCATTGTCTCTATTTTGTCCAGTTTTTAATTGCTTCAGGTGGGAAGTTAAATTCAGTCAAGTGATTACGTCTTGGCTGAAAACATTTCAATGTATGTTTGTAAAGATGACTTTGCTCTGTGGATAATAAATGGGAAGGCAAGTAAGTTTTGCTGGACATCAGGTTTAAAAAAAAATCAGTAAAATATAGCCAATATAGGTAAAGCCTACCCCATATTGTTATTATGAAAATTAAGTGAGATAATACATACAGTATACAAAGAAGATCAGCTCCACTCTTTTCTTCATGGTATAAAGATGATAAATAATTTAAAGAATATTCATTTCATATCCCCAGGTAAAAACACTTAATATATGTTTGTTGTTGGAAATTCAATTCCCTTGTAAGATGGCAAAATAATCTAGCCAACAGTGACATCAAGATGTCAAGGTAAATAAAAATGGTTAAAAAAAACAATAGCAGCATGGCCAGGCACGGTGGCTCATGCCTGTAATCCCAGCACTTTGGGGGGCCAAGGCAGGTGGAATACTTGAAGTCAGGAGTTTGAGACCAGCCTGGCCAACATGGTGAAATGCTGTCTCTACTAAAAATACAAAAATTAGCCAGGCATGGTGGCGCTCACCTGTAATCCTAGCTACTCAGGAGGCTGAGGCACGAGAATCACTAGAACCCAGGAGGAGAAGATTGCAATGAGCCGAGATTGCCCCACTGCATTTCAGCCTGGGCGACAGAGTGAGACTCTGTCTCAAAACAAAAACAAAACACAATAACAGCATACGTATACCTATTACCCTGGTAAGTTCTTACAGGAGGGTCCCACCATGGATGGAGGAGCCCCAGATAATTGTGAAGGGACTCAAGAGATAAAACTGACAGAGATCTTTTACAAACAGTTCGCTTGTAGACTTGAAAGAAATCTGTAGGACAATAATGCCACCTTGGAACACCTGCGATGAACACGTTAGCAGAAATAATGCAAGCTTATTATTTCAGAGTACACAATGCCTCTAAAAGAAAACTTCCTCAAGAGGAACACATTTAAAGACATAGCTGTTTATTGTCAAAACAGAGGGAAAAGATAGAAATTGTCTGAATTTTAAAATTAGAGTCTTAATATTTATAGTTCCTGAGTATTTGAGCACACAAGAAACCTCTTCTTTATTGCACATGAGAATTGATTCTCACTCCCCTGTTCCTTCTAAACAAATGGCTACAACAAAACCATCTTCATGTCCAGCTACACTGAAGAAAATTCTTGTTTTGTTCTTAGGCTCTTTCATTTCCAACATGCACTGTCTTGAGCCAACTCTAAGATAAGCAGTTACTATTTGAAAAGTTTATCAAATAATTTCCAAGAGGCTTCCCTTTGCTGTTTATGTTAGAAAGTTGTTTCTGCCTGATATTATATTGATTCTAAGCAGTGTATGTGGTGAGAGTCCATGCTGATCCAATGCAGCTTACTCCAAGCTTTCACGTATATGAGAGCTCATTTTGGGTACATCTATATTTTTTAAACAAAAATACCTGATTAGCAAATCCCACAGCGAGGTAAGTCCCTAGCTCAGCCCTCCAAATGTTTACTACTACTTTTTGGCTGCTGGAATATTTACCATAATAAGCAAAACTTTAATCAAATCAGCAAAGGTTTTTCAATTGCAGTATTCAAGTTCCCTCATTCTGAATTCATGCTGACTGTCTCCATTAGCACTGATAACCGGATGCAAAGAACAAGGGATGGGATAAAACCCTTTTTTCACTGAAAAGGGAAGTTACAAATAATGATAAGTTTTCCTAGCTTTTGAATTTAACAGCTCAGCTAACAAAAATGAGCATATTGTTGTCTCGCTAACCAAAGTGATCTAATTCCCTGAAAATAGTTGATCATATCTGCTGAACTGGTGCTACTCTCTGCCATATTTTCTATTTTGATCCTCATTTTGTTCATGAAACAGCAACAATGATTTAGAGTGACATGTTGTTGCTATGGAATCTTATTTCTCTTTGCTTTTAGTCTATTGAGGACTTGTGAGCTCTTAAATGTCTTTGCATGAGTTACTGCTCAAACGCACTGATGCACTGATGGGCTGGGCAGCTGTTCAAACCCAAACTCAAACCAGGGATGGTTACAGAGTGAAAGATTGGGTTTTGAGCTGTGTAGCACATAAAATAAAAACAAGTCAAATGTTTAAGTCATGGCCTGTAACTTTATCTTGAAGGATTTTGATGATTCGAGCATTACTGCTGTGGTTTGGGACTGTTTTAGCCCCAGCATTTACAGTTATTCTTTTTTATTCCATGTATGGCACTCTGAGTTACTTCTCTTGCCTGATTTTCCTAAGGCAAAGTGGTGCAGATTGACAAAGGCTCTTCCTCTCATGGCCTGGCAACAGATATCTTTACATCTAAAGGAAAAATTCAGCTCAGTTGCTCTGATATCAAACATTGGATGTTTGTTACCCTGCTGAGAGGTTCCATAGGAAATTCACTGGTGTGCAGTCTCCACAAGGATCGGGACATTGTTTTATTTACTGCCGTCTAGCTAGCAGTTTGAACTGGAACTTAATCCAGAATAGGCAATCAATTAATATTTGCTTAAATGGTTGAATGTAATCAAGGAAGCTTATTATTGAAAGGGACCTGAGCCCTGCTGATTCTATTTCCCAGTCACTTTAAGTGTCTCTTCTACAGAATGATGACTGCTGACCTATATCTTCTGGAACCCCTACAGCCACAAGACCCTTCACTACCTAGAAAGTAATCCATTCCATTTGTGGAGGTCTTCCACTGTTCAAAAGCTTCATCTTACATGAGATCACAATCTATCTCTCTCAATTTCTTCTTTAATTCTTATTTTTCCCTCTAGAAGGACACCTTCTTTCTCCTAACAATGCTTCAAATAGCAGGGGATAGGCCCCACAATCCCTGTAGAGCCCAAATGGCATAGAGTATAAATGGCTAAATGGTGTAACCCATAAAACCAGGAAGGCGCTCTCTTCTTTTACAGAACAGCTGATTTTTAGGACAGTTTTCAGACCTACCAATTTTAAAGATTGCATGATACTAATAGGGTAATCAGGATTCATTACAGTATAAGAAATTACTGGACCTTAGTGGGGAAATCTCCATTTTAATTTTGCCTGACATAAAGCTTTAGGGAACTGAGATGATCAAGGAGTTATATGTAAATTTTTGATTGGTAAAGATCTTGGAAATGAAATCTTAATTAATTAATCATCCAACTCTTTCTTAATTGAGCACCTACTCTGTGCCATCACTTAATTTTCCTATATTGAATTAAGGCTTTATTACTAAACCTTAAGATTTATTGAGTGCTATTGCTCTGCAAATGTTATCATACTGAATTCTCATAAAAACCTCTGATGATGATTCTGTTATTATCCTCATTCTCATAAAAGGAAACTTAAGTTCAGCCAGGATGAGGAACTAATCCAAGGTCAGTAACAAGAATGTCAAGGATTGAGGCTTCAAACTCAGATGTGTCTTGGCACCAAAGCGCTCTTAATCTCTAGGCCATATATTTCTAAAGAGAAATAAATTATTGCAGGGAAAAATCTGGGTTCAATTAGTTTTTGTATTTCTCATAGTGCCTTTCATAGTCAATGCTCAATAAATATACATTGAATAAATAAACACATTTGGTGAATGTGGACCTTGGGACAAAGCATGAGCCACAACTTAACACTTTATGCCTCAAATTTCACCTCCGTGAAATGAGAGAATTGGGCTGAATCATTGACGTTTTCCCCCCGTCTTAAGCGTGTCTGCTGCTAGTCTAAAAATGAGGATGAAGTGGAGTTTAACAGCCACAGACAAGAGTGAAGAGCATTTCTAGAGGAGCAATATGACCTAATAGAACATTCCTTCGAACAGAATGTCCCTCTGCCCAAAATACCCTTTCTCCACTTGTTCATTTGGCAAATGTCCAATGACCAGCTCAGCTGGCCTCTCCTCTGAAGCTGTCCTTGACCTCTCCCTCAATACACATCTCCCCCTACCACACACACACAATTATCTCCTTTTGAGGGGCCCCAAGTACACTGTGCACGATTAGTGCTTACTTCACGTGCCTGTCTCTGTACTCTCATACCCTAGACCGTGAGTTCCTTAAAGACAAAACTGCATCGTATTTCTCTCCAGGCCCATCACAGAGCCTGGCACATAAAGCAAGGCTTCAGTAAGTGTTTTTTGAGTGCCCATATGAATCAGCAGGGCATATGTTTGGGAACTGGAGGGGAACAATTTGACCTTAATAGAGGATTCATGCCAGGAAACAGGGAGAAATCAACTTAGTAGGATAGGGTGAGGCTTGAAGTCCAGAAAAGGGAACTTGGGCTTGGTGCCCCAGGCATTACAAAGCCACTGTACCGTTCTTAGGGGAGAAGTGATGACAAAAAGAAAATCTTATTGGGAAGATTAGTGTAAATATGGTTTCTCATTTTTTAAAAAAAATGAGTAAAGGTTATGAACTTGCTTTCTTCCTTTACATATTGTTAATAAATCCACATCTCATTTACTGTATCTAACACTTGCATACATAGAAAACACAGACTAGTCTGGTTTGAAGGTGTTTTTCTTTTTTTATTTTAAGTAAATGAATCTTTAATGAATTACTAACACAGTAAACAAACATCTGAACTAGGATGAACCAAATGTGAATAAGTCTAAACTGTGTTTATCACGTATGTAGCACCTAGCTCGGTGCCTTACACATATTAAGTGTTCAATGAGTATTTGTGGGATGTCAAGTTGATATTGCATTGTGGTTACCTTCACTCTGGTTACTCACACAGATAGAGAAAAACAGCAGTCCCCAGATCTAAATCACAGTGATTATTTTAGAAGATTAAAAGATTAAAAAAATAAATTAGGCTAGTCGCGGTGGCTCATGCCTATAATCCAAGCACTTTGGGAGGCTGAGGTGAGCAGATCTCTTGAGCTTAGGGGTTCAAGACCAGCTTGGGCAACATGGTGAAACCCCATCTCTACAAAAAATACAAAAATTAGCCAGGCGTGGTGGCACATGTCTATAGTCCCAGCTACTTGGCTGAGGTGGGAGAATCACATGAGCCCAAGAGGTTGATGCTGCGGTGAGTCATGAATACACCACTGCACTCCAGCCTGGGTGACAGAGCAAGACCCTGTCTCAACAGACAAATAAATAATAAAATAATTCATTAATTAAAGATGGAAAGACTTTAGCCTTTGTGTTTAGAATACGAACAAATCTTTTTATTCATATCAATGCTTGCCTTTTAATTCTCTAAAATGTAAAGTAATATTAAAATATGTTCATTGTTAGGGCACATGTCAAATGACTACAGCAGATCGTAGCTGAAAAATGCATTCCATCACAGCAAGACACCCACCCCAGTGTAAGCAACCAAGTGGATCAAATTTCTCTAAAATCCAAACAGACCCCTTTATCCTCTGGTGTCTTGAAGAAGCTGGCCCTGGAAAAGAGTCCTCTCAGTTCAAGTGCATTGACAGAGGTGCTTTAGCCATCTTCCCCCAGGTGGTAATCCACATTACCATGCAGTTGTATCATTTTGCTGTCTTGGGATTTAAACTCATAAGTGGTTTCAGAATGTACAACTTTCTTCCTAACTTGAAGAGCAGAAAGGGGCGTGTGTGTGTGTGTGTGTGTGTGTGTGTGTGTGTGTGTGTGTGTGTTTTAAAGTAGGGAGGGCCTAAGGGGACTCCTCTGTGATATTTGGTGTCTGATTTTGAGTAATTGAGCTTCTCAGTGACTAAGCACGGTGCTATTAGATGAACAATATGTGACGTTGCCTGATGTAGTGCATAATGATCTCATTTGGACCACCTATGAATCAACATTTATGCCTAGGAAAGGGTGAGGCTTTATCTTTATTCCTAGATTATGATAAGGATTTCCATAATTTTGCTTCTCTATGGATGGCTTATCTCTATCTGTGTGGAGCTATGCAGCTCTTCCAAGCTTGGCTCTCATGCATATTTATCACTTTTAAATTTACAGCTAATTACTAGGATATTATGTCAGAAATAAATGAGAACAACCCCAGTCTCCAGTAGTTTCATCTATAGCAAAAGGGCAACAGAAAGAACTGAGGAAAGGTGGCAGGCTCTTTCCTTATACTTGGAAACCTCGTCATAACATAAATTTTAGCCAGAAATTGGCTATTGTATAACAGGTCTTTGAACCACGTCCTAGTTATTAAAATCCTAAAAGATCTCATGATAGCAAGGTCTCACTTCTTGTGTGTATTATTATTGGTGCTTGTAAATTTGGAGGGTAAATCTGAATCGTGTCAAAAAGGATCCCATTCCTCACTGATGTTCATGTATATTTCAAAGATAACTTATCTTCATTCCTGATTTTGATCTTTCTTTGGTATTGGCTCCTAGCTCTCTGGATTTATGTATCTCTGCCCCTGTCCCTTTTGAAAGTAGTTAATCTTCCCCAGTAGTTGTGAATATAATGTACTGGAAAAGAATGTAGGCTTTGGAGCCTGTAGTAGTTATTAGGCTGTTTATTAAATATTTCTGATTCTCCCTCTGGGCATAACAGATTTTTACCTCCCTGCCTCCTTAAAGGTAGGAATATTCATATGGCTTGTATTGGTCAAGAAACTGGAAGTGTAAAGGATGTGGCCACTTCCAGATGGAAAGTTTAAGGGCCTATGTGTGATTCAACTCACCACTCTCCTTTTTAACTTCTGCTTCCATAATCATGGAATCATGGAGATGGAGCCTTCCTCAGATTGAGTCTCCGACCAAGGACAACATAGAACAGAACCCTCAACAAATAACGTTAGTTGTTTTTAAGTCACTAAGACTTAGAGGTTGGCTGTTATCCCTGCAGAACCCAGCTTCTACAGTGCCAAAGACAGTCCTAGACTCAGATCCTTGAACAAAGTATGGAATTTCTTTGACTCCCTCAGGGAGTCATATGAAGAGTAAATAAATGTATGTAAGTAGAATGGTTTGCCCCCAAAAATGTACATACCAATGTTGATTTCCTCTGTCCTCCTTCTTCCTCTTTATCCATGAGGAGAGAAAGGGTGTCTTGTTTATCACTAGATTGTGCCTAGCATAAGCCCTGAAATATAGAGGTGCTTAAACAAATAAGTAAGAGCATAGAACTATCTGAATGAACTTAGATAGTAACTTTTTTACTGATCCTTTAGCAATCATTGTGCAACATAAATATTCTTTTCTTTCTATCAATTTTCTCATATCAGGTTTTCCAAGGCACATTCGGACAATGAGACAGGTTGGATAGGAAGAGAGGTCTGTACTGGGATTTTAATTCCTGCATAACTAGTTGCAAATCAGAGTGACTCTGGACTGAATGGGACAATTCGTAGCATTCTGAGCTGAAGTGGCAATGGCTCCACTGGCCTCCACATTGACCGGACCTCTTTTGGAGAAATAAGCTCTGCTCTGAGCAACACATTGAGAATGATCTTAACAAATTAGAAAACACACAAGTAGCAGGTAAGGGGGCAGACATTGTAGGCAGAGCAAGATGCTGAGAAGTTGGAAAGGTATTGTTTATTGCTCCAAACTCCCTCATGCTGCTGGGAGGTTAATTGAACACAGAAACTATTTGTATTCTCACTACTTTAGCAGACAAAGTGAGTAAAAATGTTGCCAGTGGATAAATTAGTCTGTACTGTGACCCAGGGACACAGAGTTTTTAAGAAGAGAAATAATGTCCCCATCCACTTGTTTAGAAATCATAGAGGAAGAAAAGAAACCTAAAATTATCCAGCAAACAGAAAGATGGAAAATCATTAACACAGAGTTTTGCTGCCCTATTTCATCATGAACTGCATTTGCAAAGCAAAAAGGGGCCCAGCATTAGACAGGAGGAAAAGAGGACAATGCGAAGAAGAGAGGAGGAAATACGAGCTGTGAGCCATCAACCAGGACAGATCTCTTTGCAGGGATCTTTTTGCAGAGATCTGGGGGCTGCTAATCCAGGGTTTCAAGGAGGCACTAAGATACCAGAGGAAACTACTGTCGAGATAGGCATGGTGCCAGGGCACCTGAGCTTCATCAGGAGAAAAAGGATGACATTAGTGAGAAAATAGAATCTTCTTGATTAATCTGGGATAGGAGAATCAGAACCATAAGAGATTAGTTTCAGAGACTGGCCTGAGATTCTCTAAGATTTTCTAAGACATCTTAAGGTGAAATTTGACTTTACGTGCTAAACCTATAATTGTTGTCACCATTGTATGCATTTTTCCCTTAGCAACTCCTACCTAGTTTTATTAGTTCATTCTCCTGCTGCTAATGAAGACATACCTGAGACCGGGATAATTTATAAAGAAAAGAGGTTTAATTGACTCACAGTACTGCATTGCTAGGGAGGCCTCAGGAAATGTACAATCATGGCAGAAGGCACCTTTTCACAGGGCAGCAGGAAAGAGAATGAGTGCTGGGCAAAGGGGGAAGCACTTTATAAAACCAACAGATCTCATGGGAACTCACTCACTATCATGAGAACAGCATGGGGGAAACCACCCCCATGATTCAATTATCTCCACCTTCTCCTGCCATTGACATGTCGGGATTATTACAATTCAAGGTGAGATTTGGGTGCGGACACAGAGCCAAACCATATAATTCCACCCCTGGACCCTCTCAAATCTCATGTCCTCACATTTCAAAACACAATCATGCCCTTCCAACAGTCACCCAAAGTCTTAACTCATTTCAGTGTTAACTCAAAACTCCACAGTCCACAGTCTCATCTGAGACAAGGCAAATCCCTTCCACCTATGAGCCTATAAAATCAAAAACAGGTTAGTTACTTCCTAGATACAAGGGTGTACAGGCATTGGGTAAATACACTCATTCCAAATGGGATAAATTGGCCAAAAACTACATTGGCTACAGGTTCCATGCAAGTCTTAAATCCAACAGGGCAGTCATTAAACCTTAAAGTTCCAAAATGATCTCCTTTGACTCTGTGGCTCACATCCAGGTCATGATGATCAAGAGGTGGGTTCCCATGGTCTTAGGCAGCTCCATCCCTGTGGCTTTGCTTCCCCCTCTCCACTGCTTTCATGGCTGGCATTGAGTGCTTGCAGCTTTTCCAAGGGCACAGCGCAAGCTGTAGGTGGATCTATCATTCTGGGGGAAGGAGGATGTCATAGCTCCATTAGTCAGTGCCCCAGTGGGGACTCTGTGTGGGGGCTCTGACCCCACATTTCCCTTCTGCACTGTCCTAACAGAGGTTCTCCATGAGGGCTCTACCTCTGCAGCAAACTTCTGCCTGGAAATCCAGGCATTTCCATACATCTTCTGAAATCTAAGTGGAGGTTTCCAAACCTCAATTCTTGTCTTCTGTGTACTGACAGGACCAACACCACATGGAAGCTGCCAAGGCTGGGGACTTACACCTTCTGAAGCAATGGCCTGAGCTGTACTTTGGCCCCTTTTAGCCATGGCTACAGCAGCTGGGATGCAGAGCTTGAATTTTTCCCCAGAAAATGGGCTTTTCTTTTCTACTGCATGTTCAGGCTGCAAATTTTCTAAACGTTTATGCTCGGGCACCTCTTGAATGATTGCTGCTTAGAAATTTATTCCACCAGATACCCTAAATCATCTCTCTCAAGTTCAAAGTTCCACAGATCTCTAGGGCAGGGGCAAAAAGCCACCAGTCTCTTTGCTAAGCATAACAAGAGTGTCTTTTACTCCATTTCCCAAAAAGTTCCTCATTGTACCTGAGACCACCTCAGCCTGGACTTCATTTTCCATATCACTATCAGCATTTTGGCCAAAGCCATTCAATAAGTCTCTAGGAAGTTGCAAACTTTCCCACATCTTCCTGTCTTCTAAGTCCTCCAAGTTTCTATGTAAAGTTCCAAACTTTCCCACATTTTTCTGTCTTCTGAGCCCTCCAAACTGTTCCAATCTCTGCCTGTTACCCAGTTCCAAAGTTGCTTCCATATTTTGGGGTATCCTTATAGCAGTGCCCCACACCCTTGGTACCAATTTACTGTATTAGTTTGTTCTCACACTGCTAATAAGGACATACCTGGGACTGGGTAATTTATACAGGAATGAGGTTTAATTGACTCAGTTCTGCATTGCTGAGGAGATCTCAGGAAAATTACAAGCATGCAGAAGGCATCTCTTCACAGGGTGGCAGGAGAGAGAATGAGTGCTGAGCAAAGGGGGAAGCCCCTTATAAAACCATCAGATCTCACAAGACCTCACTCACTATCGTGAGAACAGCATGGGGGAAACCACCCTTATGAGTTCAGTTATCTCCACCTGGTCCTGCCCTTGACATGTGGGGACTATTATAATTCAAAGTGAGATTTGGGTGGGGACAGAGAGCCAAACTATATCAATAGTATAAAGGTAGCTTTTACCACATCCAAGGCAAGTGGTCTAGGAAGAATTTATTGATGACGTTATTTATTCATTCCATCATAAGCACTGAACACCTACTATGTGCCAGCCAACATGCTAGGTACTAGTGATACATAAAATTAAAGTCTTTGTCCTATAGAATTTCACTGGCTAGTGGAGGAAAAAGAGCCAGAAACAGGCAATTAGATTGCAATGTGGGATCTGGGTGCTGTGATAGGGGTGAGTACAAGAGATCCTGGAAGCTTCTGGGAAGAGCACCCAACCCAAGGGACGAGGGTAAGGAGCAAGAGGTGGGAAGGGAAGGGTCAGGGAAGAGATTATTCCATAAAAGCTTGGAGGATGAGCTGGAGTCTGCCTACACAGGATGGTGCTGGTGTGTGCTATTACTCAGGTCCACCATGTGACATAAGAAGAGGTAAGAGGTGAGACTGAGAGAGCAGGGGCCTGGTCCCTCAGAAGGCCTTCATGGGGCTTGGACTTCATTCCAGGGGGAAATGGGGAGCCATGACAGGGTTTTAGGTAGGTACGTGACACGTTCAGCTTCTCATAATTATTCTTTGAAGGAGATGGCTCTGGGGGTTGGGGGAGATGGATTTGAAAAGGGGAGAGTGGAGGTGGGGAGATTAGTCAGGAGGCTTGGCAGCCAACTCTGTGAGATATGACAAGTGCCTGAACAGCAGCCATGGGAGCTGGGGAAGGAATCCTGGGCCGAAGCCCCAGAGCAAACGAACCTTGAGCTATTTGTGGGTTTGCTTGTTGATTCCATTCTTTCAACAAACATTCTGAGTGATATTTATGGTGGAACACTGGGTGGGGCAGTGACAGGCAATGGGAGGAGAGGTCTGGTGTTTGTCACAGTTCTCTCCTGCTCAGACTCACTGAGTAGAATCTTTCTTCTTGATTTCTTCTTTGTTTGTGCAAGGATAGATGGTGGTTGGCGTGGGAGCCTCCCATGCTGGAACATGCCTGGCTCACTCCACACTCCACAGTTCTTGCAGAGGTATCAAGGAATTTCTTTTGCAGAGTGTATGACTGGAATGAATGCTGTGTCTCCTTGGAGCCCCTGGAAGCTATGGAAATCTTGGCACCCAAGGAGCAAAGGAGCAAGGATAAAAATGTCTGCCAGCCTTTGGAAGGCATAGGTGGGGATTCATTTATATCCATGTTGACTTCCAATTCTGAGCTCTTTAGGATTCTGTAACTATTGTAGAGCTAACAACATCATCTAGGCACTCTGTTTCTTCAGGATGGTGCCAGAGTATTGAGATGTTGTGCCATGGCTGTGTCAAGGTTGGGGAAACAGTTCAGTTCTTTTAGCAAAGAAGAGGGGGGAAGATGAGATGAATGACTTTGTCAACCATAGTGAATAGCAGCCTTCTTGCTTCCTCCTCTTCCTATCTCTTTCCTCACTCTCTAGGGTGCTTGTGCTTAGGAGAAAAGGTGGCGTGGGATCCCTGGATAGGCATCTCTCTGGACCCAAAGATATATATGAACCTAGAGAGACCTACATTTAGCCTTGGCTCTGCCTACAAGGCCCCTCTCTTTGGTGCTGGGGCTGATGCCGAATGGTATTCTGATGTGTGACAAAGGGAAGCAGTACAACCACAGAAAGCACAGAGGAAGAGTGGTGAAGATGATGGGCAGGATTAAATTGGAGAAATAAAGATAGCAGGGGAGAAACAAAAATATTTTTTCCTTTTCCTGCAAGTACTGATGTAATCAAATCTTCTAAAACATCAGTTGCCCACAACTGCTATGATAATTATTCATAAAAAGCAATGGAGTCCTAGCTACTCCTTAAAATAAAACCAACCTCTACTTGTGAATAGCTAATTGTCCAGTGCTGCACTCCCGTCCCTTGATGAGGCCCCACATGTCTTTCTATCATCACACAAGGTCAAATAAGGAAAAAGCAGGGACCTTATTATTATTACTGTTATAGTTAACATCTGTTAGGCACTCACTTTGATCCCAGAGAGTGTGAATTCATTCTTGTGAAGGTTCCTAACGACTCTCATGTTCCCACACCCAGTGGATTTTCTTCTCTGTCCTCCTTTTACTTGGCCTCTTAGCAGCATTCACCAGAGTGACACCTCCTTCCTTTACAAAACTCTCACTTTTCTTGGTGCTGAGACACTGCTCTCCTCTGGTTGGCCTCCTACTTCAATTTCATCTCATCTCAGTCTTTTTGCTTGTTGTTCTTTCTCTATCTGAACTCATGATATGGATGTTTCTCAGAGTCAAAGCCTGGGTCTTCTGCTCTTCTCTTTCCATATTTTTGCCTAAGTGGTCTCATTTTTTCCCATGGTTTAGGTACTGTGGATGCTGATGACTCTGAAAGTCATATCTCCTGCTAAGACTTTTCCTCTGACTTTGAGGCTCTCATATCTGACCATCATCTTTATGTCTCCATTTGGATGTCTCAAAGGTAGACCTAACTTGTCCCAAACTGAACTCTTGATTTCCCCTCCCCTTCAAGCAAACATATCCTGCATCTTCTACATGTTGATTTCTCCTCACTGTTCTTCACATCCATCTGCAAGTTTGGTCAATTCTGTCTCCACTTGTCTGCATCCCTTCCACCGCCTCCCCAGCCTCCATCATCTCTTTCCTGGATTTCTGCAGTGGTTTCTGATTGGCCTCTCCACACCCACTCCTGCCTCCCTACAAGATGTTCTCCACTCAGCAGTTGGAGTGCATATTAAAACATGTAAAATAATTCATGTCTCCAACTGAAATCCTATTTAAGAACTTCTGGAAGCTTAGCGATATTTATTTATTTATTTATTTTTTGAGATAGAGTCTTGCTCCATTGCCCAGGCTGGTATGCAGTGGTGCGATCTCGGCTCACTGAAACCCCTGCCTCCTGGGTTCAGGCGATTCTCCTGCCTCAGCCTCCCAAGTAGCTGGGACTACAGGCACCTGCCACCACGCCTGGCTCATTTTTGTATTTTTAGTAGAGACAAAGTTTCACCATGTTGGCCAGGCTGGTCTCGAACTCCTGACCTCAGGTGATCCACCCACCTTGGCCTCCCAAAATGCTGGGATTACAGGCGTGAGCCACCGCACCCGGCCACGATTTTTACTTATTAAATGAAAAGCCTTTACACACACACACACACACACACACACACACACACACACACACAGATGTCACTCTGCTGCTGAAAATCCTCTAGGGGCTTTCTTTGAACTTTGAATAAAATATAAACTCCTTACTTTAGCCTTCATGGTAGCTATTGTGCTTAGCTCATGCCTTATTTTGTGTCCCTCCTCCCCTTGCTTTTTCTATCGTGGCCACCCTGGCATTCTATTAGTTTCTGGAACCATCCATGCTTTTCTGCCCTCAGGATCTTTGCACACTCCTGGAATGCAACTCCACTTGCTATTTCCATGGCTGGGTATTTTTCATTATGTAGGTTGTAACTTACATGTCATCTCCTCCAGGAAGCCTTCCCTGATCTCTGCTGTCATACTTTGTCAAGGAATCCTGTTATTTCTTTCATGGATCTAGTTACAACTTAAAATTTTTTCATCTCTTTGTTTAGTTATTCATCTTCTTGACAAGTCTGTAAACATGTGTGTTTTGTTCACTTTTTGTATTCCCGACTACTAACAGTGATTTGCATGTGATAGACGTTCATTATATACTTGTTGAATAAGAGTGTCAGGCTTGCACTAAGTTCTACATATCTTATTCTAATTAATGTTCACAAGGAGTCTGAGAGTTAGATGTCGCACTAATCCCATCTTATGGACAAGAAAATTTAGGTTTACAGGCGTCAAGGTAATATACCCAAATCCAGAGAGCCTACAGGTGGAGAAGCTAGGATTTAAACTTGGATTGTCAAACTCCTGGAGCTGAACACTCATCCACGTCACTTCATTGCCACCGGGGAGTGGGAGGATACATAGAAGGGAGCCAGGAAGTTATTGTGTCTTTAACATAAGTTCAGTCATGCTTTCTGATTTTTAAGATCTTGACATGGAGACTCTAGCTCTTTCCTTGTCTATTAAGTGACCGGTTTCAGAGGGTTTTGTTTGTTTGTTTCTTCAGGGACAAAACAGGGAGTTAGGCAGCCTGGAGTTTGAATTCAGCTCAGAGCCCAGGAACCATTTATAACTATCTCTCCCTTGCTAGTTCACTTTAACTTCCTAAAGCTGTGCACACTCCATGGCCTGATTCTTGTGATTTGATTCTCCCTCATCCCTCAGTATTTACATTGAAATGAATAGATTGCTCAAATGGTTATCTGTGACAGTTCTCTGTGACTCAGTTTCCATAACTCTGGAGTAACTTGTCTAAATATACTCATCTCTGAGATGTCAGCATGATTCTAACACTTAGTCCAAGTAACAACTCTGGTAGATTAGAAAACAGGACCCCTAAATTCCTATCAAAATCTCAATGATAGTTCATGTAGAAATAGGAAAGTACATGCTAACATTCATATAGAGGCTTAAGAGACCCCATATAGCCAAAACAGTCTTGAAAAAGAAGAATGAAGTTGGAAGGCTCACACTTCCTGATTTCAAAGCTTACTACAAAGACACAGTAGTCAAAACAGTGTGGTACTGGTATAAAGACAATATGCAGACCAGTAGAATAGAATAGAGACTTTAGGAATAAACGCTTGCATATATGGTCAAACAATTTTTGACAAGGGTGCCAAAACTATTAAATGAGAAAAGAGTAGCCTTTTCTACAAATGGTGTTGGGAAAACTGGATATCCACATGCACATAAATAAATAAATAAATATGAATCCTTATCTTATACTACATACAAACATTAACTCAAAATAGATCAAAATGTAATAACTAAAACTATAAAGCCCTTGGAAGAAAACATAGGGGAAAAGCTGCAAGACATATATTTCACAATGATTTCTTGGATATGGCAATAAAAGAATAGGCAACAAAAGAAAACATAGATAAGTTGGACTTTCTTAAAATTAAAATGTTTCTATATGGGAAAAACTCTATTACACAGAGTGAAAAGGTAACCCATGGAATGGGAAAATATTTTCAAATCATATATCTGATGAGAGATTGGTATATACCATATATAAATAATTCCTACAACTTAACAACAACAGAACAAACAACCCAATTAAAAAATGGGCAATAGGCTTGAAAAGACATTTCTTTAAGGAAGATATAGAAATGGTCAATAAGCACATGGAAACATGTTTAATATCATCAGACATTAGGAAAATGCAAGTCAACACTATAATAAATTACCACTTTACACTACCACTTTACACTAAATTACCACTTTACAACATTATAATAAATCACCACTTTACACTAGGTTGACTACTATCAGAAAAAAAAAAAGGAAGAAGACAAAGAAAATACAAGCATTAGCAAGAATATATTGCAAGTGGGAATGTAAGATGGAGTGCAGTCCCTGTGGAAAATGGCATGGAAATTCCTCGAAAAATTAAGTGTAGTTACCATATGATTCAGAAATTCTACTTCTGGATATATATACCAAAAAGAAGTGAAAACAGAGACTCGCACAGATATTTGTATACTCATGTTCATAGCAACATTAGTCACAATAGCCAAAAGGTGGATGCAACCAAGTCACCATCAATAGATGAACGGATAAAGAAAATGTGGTACACACATACAATGAAATATTATTTAGCCCCAAAAAGGGAATAAATTATTACATGTTACAACATGGATGAGCCATGAAAACATTATGGTAAGTGAAAGTAACTGTTCACAAAAGGATAAATACTGTATGATTCTCCTTATTCCACGTACCTAGAGTAGTCAAGTTTATAGAGACAGGAAGTGGAATGGTGGCTGCTAGGGGCTGGGCAGGAGAAGGGAATAGAGAATTACTGTTTCATGTGTACGGAGTCTCAGCTGGGGAAGATGAAAAAGCTCTGGAGATGAATGATAGTGATGGTTGCACAACAATGTAAATATGCTTGATGTCACAGAACTGTACATATTAAATGGTAAATTTTATGTCATGCGTGTTTTATATTTTCCCACAATAAAACAAAAGAAAAGAAAAAAACCTGACGATATAATTGTCTACCTAGAAAACCCTAAAGACTACTACAAAATCTCATAGAACTGATAAAAGAATTCAGCAAAGTTTCCTGATACAAAATTAATGTACACAAATCAGTAGCTCTCCTATACACCACCAGCAACCAAGCTGAGAATCAAATCAAGATCTCAACTCCTTTTACAATAGCTGCAAAAAAAGTAATAATACTTAGGAGTATACCTAACCAAGGAGGTGAAAGACCTCTACAAGGAAAACTACAAAACACTGCTGAAAGAAATCATAGCTGACACAAACAAATGGAAACACATCCCATGCTCATGGATGGGTAGAATCAATATTGTGAAAATGGCCGTACTGCCAAAAAAAATCTACAAATTCAATGCAATTCCCATCAAAATACCACCATCATTCTTCACAGAACTAGGAAAAAACAATCCTAAAATTCATATGGAACCCAAAAGGAGCCCGCATAGTCAAAGCAAGGCTAAACCAAATTTACTATTTTGAAGTATAGCTAAAATCATGTAGTGGGGACTATGCTAAGCTGTTCAAAGCCCCCCTTCAGGGCTGGAGGGCTTACTCCAGATGCTGGGGATGCCCTCCTTCAGCTGAAAAGAATGACCTCTCACAAGGCCAGGTTGCATTCTTGGGGTGGCTTGAATCGGGTGATCAGTCAATATGAGGATATTACAACTATTTTCAGACCTCTCAAGGTGGGGCTGAGGTTTTGTGGTGCCTGCCCTGAGGCCCAATTTCCTCTTCTTTATTAGTAACCTGTTTATTTCCCTTCCCACACAGATGTTGATCCTGAAAGTAATTCCTAATAAACTTTCTGCACAATTAAAAAAAAAAAGGGAAATGAAAACAGCACCTCTTCCTTGATGCTTTACTTCCACTGATGCCAGAAAAAAATCATCATAACAACTGCATAAATATATGATGGGTGGGATTTGCAAAACACCCCTTGAAGCTGTGCAGTGCACAACCCACACAAAGGAGCACTGGTTCTATGTCAACCTCTGTCTCATTTCTCCCGCGTTTGGGAGTCCCCAGCACCATTGAGCTGGATTGACTGATGAGTGCCCGCTAGTCTTTAACCAGTGCCTGAGCCAGCCTTGAACAGGGAGGAAGCACATCAGTTGCCCCAGCCCCGCCATGGGTTAGAGTTTGTAAGTAATTTCTCACGTCAATCAGATTTGGAACATGAGAAGCTAAGAGTGAGCTGGGAGGGTCCCGAGAGACTTTCACTCTTTAGCTTTGTGGGCTCAAGTTTACCTCCTGGTCCTTACACTTTCCTGGCTCATGCTCAGTTCTTTGGATAAGCCAGAGAATAAATAGATTAAGTTGGACTTTCTCAAAATTAAAAATGTTACTATATGGAAAAAACACTATAAACAGAGTGAAAAGGCAACCCATGGAATAGGAAAATATTTTCAAATCATATATCTGATGAGAGATTGGTATCTACCACATATAAAGAATTCCTATGACTTAACAATAACAGAACAAACAACCCAGTAAAACAAACAAACAAACAAACAAACAAAAACGGGAAGAAGATTTTCAGCCTCTCTTAGCCTCAGGTCTTAAGTTGTCTTAAGACCTGTCTCTTGTGTTGGTCTTAAGATGCTGTGCTTCTCAGACTCCATTTTGCCTGTATCAATAGTGAAATAAAGTTCTTAGGGTATCTGTGAGTCCTAAGATCAAACCTGGGGTCTCCATTGTCAATAACAATAGGAAAGAAGCTCTAAATTAGGGCACTATTCCAAGTTCATTTTTCAAGTTGTGTAAGTCAAGCTAGTGCATAAGGTCTTGGTGGTGCTGAGCAAGAGTTAACACCAATTTAACTTACTTTATAACCTGATAATAAAGTCCTCACATTAAAAGAGAAGAAAAGAAAACTGTCTTTTAAGCCTCCTTCTCCCACAAGCTTGCCTCCCTGCCATTATCCCACTACTCCTTCAACATCACACTGCTGGAGAGAGTAGTCCACACCCCTGGCTTCTCTCTCCTCCCCTCCCTTTCATTTCTGGGACCATGATGTCTCCTTTTCCCTCCATTCCATGAATACTGTTCCCCCAGGGGCCACTAAGGACTTTCCAATGGTCAAATTCAGGAAATTCTTTTAAATCTTCCTCTTTTTTGACCACCTCAAAGCTTTCTTCTTTAGGTTTTGTGACATTGTCATGTTTCAATTTTCTTTCTAGCTGTCTGTTTTTCAGTATTTCATTGATAAGTCCTTCTGCCTGTACCTTAAACATTGATGTTCTCTGGGCCCTCTCTGTCTGTCTTCCACACATTTCCACTTGGATGTCTCTGAAACATCTCAGACTTAGCATGTGCAGAGCTGACATCATTGCTTCTTTGCTTATCACCTGGTCTGAATCTGCCCCTCTTCTTCTGCTCCCTGTCAATGTTACCAGCAACTATTCAATTGCCCACACTGGACCCTTAGCGGTTGTCACTTTCTCAAGATCTGTATCACATACACCCGTATAGCTCCACTAAACAAAATGGTAATCCCTCTCCGCCCCAGACTCTCTGTCCCCTTATCTCTCCTTATTGCTTTCCTTAGCACTTATCACCATCTGTACACTACTAAATGTTTAAGGATTTATTCTCTGTCTTCCCCCATAAGAAGGAAATCCCATGAGGGCAAAGGCTCTACTTTGTCCACGGCTACATCCCCAGTGTCCAGAGCAGTGCCAGGCACTTAGTTGAGAATCCATAAATATTTGTTGAATGAATGAAAGGAACTTGGATTTCTTCCTCTGCCTCATACTTCCATCTTCACAACATACCCAGGTCCACCTGTTCTTATCTTATCTTGGAATTGCAAATCTGGGCTCCTTTTTGCCTCCTTTCCCACTGTCGCTTTCTTAATTAGTCCCTGTCACCCTATCCAGAGCTATCATGGCCTCCTAGCTTGTCTCCTTGCCATGGCTGTCTTCTTGGACCATTCTCTGCTTCCTCTCTAAAGAACTTTCTCTCTAAAGCACAGTCTGGAGTCTCCTTCCTCTGCCTCAATCCCATGGATGTTCACTTTGTAGATGCTCATTAATGTGTGCCTGACAGCCTGGGCCTCTCTCTGGGGAGAGAGGTCCAGTGAGGGCCACAGTTTTGTCCATTTTAAAATGAGGATCAGGAAGGGATTGAAACGCAACAGAGCTCACAGATGTAGGCACCGACTAGCGGAGATATACAGAATTGGAGACAAGTGACATATCCTGTTAAAAGAATTTGGGAGTGATACTGGGAGTGTGGACTGGAATGACTGGGGCAGCATTCTAGAATGAATCATTACAACAGAGATCAACAACCACACGGGGTAGGGAGGGGCTGGAGAGAGAGAGGGAAAAAAAAGAAATTCAGTCATACTCAAGTGAGATTGGATTTCCACACTTGCCTACATTGAAAAGCTAAAAATAGGGACATTTGGGGAGAAAAATAGTGAGGAGTCTTTTAATTCTACTGACAGGACTATAAGGAGGGAGGTTTGCAGGGAAGAATGTGTCTCTCACTCTTAGGGGCAAAATTGGAAAAATTTTTATTTTGGGGGCCCCAACCTTCACTCTCCCCACTCTACCCCCTGCCTGTTCTCTCTATCTTTCCTCACCATCAAAACCTCTTTTTTAAGGAAAGAGTCTGATAACATTCATTTACATAAATCTGTAATATTTAATGTGGTGATTTTAGATGTTAGAAGCAGAAGTCTGAAATCAAAGACACTTAAATACAGCAACCATTAAAAAAAGACGTATATAATTCACTGCATCTAGCACAGGGCTAAACCCAGTGGTTGCTCCGCAAATATTTGTTGAAAGATGTTCAAAAAAGCCTTATTTATATTATCAAACTCCACAAACAATATAAATATGCAAAAATGGGGAAACCATTGCAAAATCATCCATATGAAGAAATATTACATAGCTATAAAAATATCTAGAAAAGCTTTTTAATGATCCAGAGGAATAAATGCTTATACTGATGTTAGGCAAAATCAGCAGGATTCAAATTGCTACTATAATATGTCAATTATAAAAATCATATGCACATACAGAAGACAAAATCTATGAGTATCTCTGGAATCTGTGGGATTTGGGGTTATTTTTAGTTCTTTCTACTTTTCTGTACTTTTGAATTGTTTATACTTGGAATGAGAGAAATAGCCCAAAGTAAACGTTGTGGAAGATTTACTTGGGGGAAGAAATACTTTTCAGGGGTCCAAGCTAATTACACTGTACTGGTGTGGCCCACTTGGTCTATTATAGAGGAGGAAAGTGGGGAAGAGATGGGGCCTGTCCAATAAGGATGGATGTCCTGACAGTAGAGGATGGACTTTTAAAAACTGCTACAGCGGCTGGGTGCGGTAGCTCACGGCTGTAATCCTAGCACTTTGGGAGGCTGAGGTGGGCAGATCACGAGGTCAGGAGTTCGAGACCGGCCTGACCAACATGGTGAAACACCGTCTCTACTAAAAATACAAAAATTAGCTGGGCGTGGTGGCGCGCGCCTGTAATCCCAGCTACTCAGGAGGCTGAGGCAGCAGAATCGCTTGAACCGGGAGCAGAGGTTGCAGTGAGCAGAGATGGCGCCACTGCACTGCAGCCTGGGCGACAGAGCGAGGCTCCATCTCAAAAAAACAAAACAGAAACAAAACAAAACAAAACAAAACAAAAAACCTGCTACAGGAGTGGGGAGGCCGACCTTTGAAGAAAAACGGAGTACCCGGTAACATTAGTGCTTTAATGCCTTTGAACTTATGCAGACTTCCTCTGTTAGAGGGTTTCAGTGTTCTAGGCTAATGGGTTAACCTGACATCTAGAACACCTTTCTCACATTAGTTCCTTACATACCCAAGCCTTCAGGTGCTGAGACATGATTCTTTTCACCCCGCTTTCTCCACCCCCTACTTTTGAAAACACGGGTGGAATTTTAATTAAAGCCTATTGTGTTGGTACCTCAGTAATATTATACATTAATATCTTTAAGAATTAAGGTCACGTCCCCATGTAAGAAAATATTATTTAATGACGCTTCTATATCATAATACCTATATAAAAGCCTGGCTATTTTAATAAAGAGACCACAGATTTCAGAATTTATAAACAGGAAAACATTTTCTTCGGGTTATTTCTGGAAATCTCTTCCAAACATCGGAGTTTTCTTCTAACTTAAGTCTCTTCCCACCTCCTTCCCAGGGGATCTGCTGAAGGGTGTTGTATGTCTCTCTGTGGGAGAGCAAACTTCACAGTTAGGATAAAACAAACAAACAAACAATATCCAAACAACACCCAGCAACGGCAACCCCCATCCCTCTCCAAAGTTCTAATTTCCCGCACTTAAAGTCCTGGGCTATCCTTGTGTTGCAAGGATCTTAGAATCGAAATGGAGGGATTTGACAACTTTACCTAACCAAATCTAAAATTTTGCTTTTATTATTTACTAGTTATCAAAATATGCAAACTGCTGATTAAGGAAGGCTGGGTAGCAGGAGCGCCTGCGAAGGCGTAGGGTAGAAGTGTGAAAAGAAATCCCAGCTCTCCCAGGGAGACTGCGTGTGAAAGAGCCCGGCTCCCCCAAAAGCTCCAGGCCGCGTTTTGCAGGCTTCCGCATCTGCCTCCCCTGTCTCTCTTACCTCCTTGATGTTCGGCACTATTTGTGGCCGGCGTGGTGGAAGGACACAGTGAGGTTCTCACCCCCGCCCCCCGCTCCTCGCTCCCATCCCAGTTCCATCAAAACGAACCCGGGCCAGCGCAAGGATCTCCGAGTTGCGAGTGTGCTGAGGCTGGGACTGTCACTCATTCTCCGATCAGCGCGTGAACGCAGCTCGGCTGCCGCTGGCAGGAAACAATTCTGCAAAAATAATCATACTCAGCCTGGCAATTGTCTGCCCCTAGGTCTGTCGCTCAGCCGCCGTCCACACTCGCTGCAGGGGGGGGGGCACAGAATTTACCGCGGCAAGAACATCCCTCCCAGCCAGCAGATTACAATGCTGCAAACTAAGGATCTCATCTGGACTTTGTTTTTCCTGGGAACTGCAGGTACATTTTTTTTTTTTTTAATTCTCAATCTGGTTTGCTAATTACCCCTTCCTCCTACTCCTAGGAGGAACGCTATTATTTTGGGTGGTTTTACGTGGACTGCTAAGGCTGGTCATTTTCGTTTAGCTGTGAAAGGAGCGCGTCGCCCTTGCTGCCCAGCCGAACCCCGCTCCCTCCAGGGCTGCGCTGCACGGGGCTGCCTCCCCGAGCCGCCAGCGCCCGGCGCCCCTCCGGCGCGTCCGCCCTTCCCACTTTGTGCGCCCGCGGCGGTGGGAGCAGAGCCGGCCGGCTCCTGGGGACTCAGCGGCCGCGCTGGTGATGGGCAGCGCTCCTTCCCCAAAGGCGGGCGGCGGGGCGGGGGAGGTCGCGGCTCGGGTGGTGCCGCCGCACGGGCTCGGATTCCGAGGGGGAAGTGGCTTGTCAGCCCCGGCTCCGGGAAGAGTGAACAATAAGGCTAGGGCAGCCGCCCCAGATCGTTATATTCCTGGGTCTAATAAAGTCAGGATCGCTGCTTTGCTTCCCCCGCCCCAGAAGAATAACGGTTTGCAAAATGGGGCAAAATGGGCAGAATCGCACGGCCGTTGTTGTTGGTGTGACCGTTGTTGCACCCCAGTCGACATGACGTTAGTTTTTCATTTGCCAAATTGCTGGTTAGTTGCAAAGCCTACCCTCGGCCGCGAGCACTGAAGGATGGGAGGGTCGAGCGCCGCGTTTTGACAGGAGGAAGTGCGGAGGGGCGGAGGGCGAGGAGGGCGTGATTGGGGCTGCCTGGTGTGTGCGCGCGCGTGTGCGCGCGTGTGTCTTTACACGCGCCGCGTGCCCAGTGTTGCACGGGGCGGGAGAAGAATGGCAGGTAGCCGCCCGAAACACCTCGCCCTGTCTCCTTTCTTTGGGCGAGGTTCCCGATCCTGGCAAAGTGTGAACAATAGGGAGCTGGGAGGAAGACAGTAGTGATGCTGCCGCGGGTGGCGGGGGTTGCGCCGCCGCCCAGAGAACCTCGGCAGTGTGCAGGGAGGTGCATTTCATTTTGGCTATTTCCATCCCGGCCTCCCTGGAAAATTCTTCTGTGCGTGCCCACCCTCCCCTCCAGCTGTCATCCCCCCACCTCCACCCAAGGATTTGCGCTTTGGCTCTGATGGACGGGAGGGAAGGAAGAAAAGCAGGGGCCGCAGAGAGCTGGGTGGGTTGGGCGGACATTCTGGGCGGGGGGCGTGTGCTGGGAAGCGATCGAGGAAAGCCGGGCGGAGGGGCTGTGTGTCGCGGTCGCAGCTCCAGGTACCGTTGTACCTGCCCTGGACGGCCGACCCCCGGTTGGGGAGCGCACGGGGCGGGCCAGGGAGCACCCAGTGCGCCCCCTCCGCGGGCGGCACAAGAGCAGCGCTCGGCCGCCGCCTCCAGCCAACTCGGGTCCCTCCCACGGCGACCAATCAGTGCGAAGCTGGCTGGGCGGGAAGCCGCGAGAGGCTTTTATTGCGGCGCGGGTGGCGGCCAGGAGCTGCCAGGACAGTCTCCCGGTGCTTCAGCCTAACGGTCTCGCTCACTCACCGCCAAGAGAAACCCCGCCCTGCGGCCGGTCCCCCGCCTGCCCGGCAGTTTCCGAGGAAATAAAATGGAGACTAGGTGGTCACCGGGAGTGCTCCTGGTCCGGCCGCCCGTGCTCGCCCACTCTCGCCTCTTTCACGCCGACTTGGAGCATCCCACCGCCCCCGCCAGCGCTCACTCTCGCGCCGCGGAATCCGGGCCTGAGCGCGTCGCCGGGGAGGGCATCCTGGCAGGCACACCTACGCGCGTGCGCTGACCGGCCGACCGCGGGCCGGGGGCTCTACTGACGGCGGGGCGGGGCCGTGGCAGGGCCCGGAGAGGAGGGGTGGGGACCAAGCCTAGTCCGCCTGGCCCTGGGTCTCCGCTGCCACCTGGGCGGGGGCCACCCCGGTTATGCCCCTTTCCGCGGTGCCCGTGGGTGCCGCGACGCGACCTGTCCACATGGGGCGGGGGAAGGGGGGTGTTTTTGAGACATCCTCGCCCCCGGGTGGGAGCGTGACAATGGAGCCCGGATATTTGGTGGGCCTTTTGGGGGATCGCCTGGCGGTCCTTTCCATCATCGTGATGGGTACAGTCATCAGTATTTGGATCCCGTGGAAGTTGCAGGCCCAGGAATTCCCACTGGGATGTTCCTGGATGCCCAGGCAGGGGAGGCATTCTAACCAGTGTTCCCTGGAATGAAAGCGACCTCTTTCCTGGCCCGGTACCTTGAGGATGGGAAGAAGGCAGAACGTGAAACACATACAAGGTTGCTTAACAAAAGAAAGAAGTTGAATGGTTTTCCAAAGAGAAATAATTTCCCATTAAAATGTCTTTTGTACCATAGTTTTTTTTTAAAAAAATCAAAGAATTCAAGTCAAAGGGTTAGAATGAAAATGAAAACATAACAACAAGTATATATACATATGTATATATATCTGAGGTTTTTTTTTTGTTTTTTTTTTTTTTGTTTTTTTTTTGGACTCAAATGTAGCATGTCCAGGGCAGTGGTAACTGAGTTTGTGTGCTCGGCTGGGTGCATATGAAAATTTACATATAAGGCAAGCTAACCTTAATACGTCAAGTGAGTCCGATGGGCTGCCCCTCTCCTCTTTCTGTGTCCTCTGCTCTTTAGAAATACAATGAAAGGTTGTGCAATTGCATAGTAAATTTGAGTTTATTCTAGTATAAATTTTGGATGTTTTGAAGAATTGTTCGCTTGAACGATCTGGAATGGTTAAGTCACATGTTTACTTGATAATTTTGCAGTCTTCTGCCAGTTAAACTTGCAAGAGTCAAGGAATGGATAGGACTGGGTTTCTAACAAGATACCATCGGTTAAGAACAAAGAGCTACTTTACAAAAGCTAACATTGAAATCAAGTAGTATATATAATATCTCTCACTAAGCAAATTAAGGTGCGCTTCCACAAAGTTGACTGTGAGCACAGTTATAGTGAGCCATATATTTTTGTTGATTTTCATTTGAAGACTGAGAATGTGTGTTTTTAAACAGAATTTCACTGAATGTAATAAAGGCTATATAAGAATGTGGAAAACCTTTCACAACTCTAACCAAACCCTAGAAAGATTATTTTCTTTCAATAAATACTAGCATATTTAGAAATATTAATAACTGATAATTTGTTTTAAATCCAACAGAGTTATTAAAAACAGGGAATATAATCCAGACATTGTAGACGTGTGGGCTATGATTTATGTAAGTTTTTGAGTTACTATTCCCTCTATAAAGGTCTTAAAGATCTGCTAACCTAGCTAAGCTTCCATTAGTCTTTAACTGTTTTCTTAAGTTAATGCTTTATGAACGCCCTCTTTCTTTCCCTAAATTGTTGAACCTGATAACTTCCTTCCAGATACCTTTATCTAGGATTTTTTTTTTAAAAATGGAATACCAGAAAATAGCAGGACATATTCTTGTTTAGTAAAGGAGTTTCCTCTAAGTCTTACAATGATAATTGATTAAACTAAGAATATGTTGATTTAACTGGTGACTGGTTTCTTGAGTTTGATAGTTCAAGAATTAAGATAGTAATTGCAAAGAAAAAAAAATCCCACATCAAAACTGAAAAAAAAATGATGTGGGTGTGCTATTTGTAAGGGATGTGGGTGTTTACTGAAGGCAGCAATAAGAAGGAGAAATTAGTCTGTAGCACCCCCAAATTCCAAGTTTTGAACAGTGCTTCTGTTTGGAATCCATTTATCATTAATTGAATTCCTCAGATAGGTAATATGTAATTTAATGGAAGTAACCTATATCTGTATTTTTCTGTCACAAGGAACAATGTCTTAATTGCCTTTCAAAGTAAACAGCACCATTTTGTCACTCAAAAGCTAATCTTTAGACATGTTTTTGTTCACTACAGAACCCAGTTTCTCAAATTATAGAGAGCATTTTGTAAAATTTACACTGCTTAAATAATGGACTCTGGAATTTCTGATGCAACCACTTAATTTTTCAAGGTGATGAAGCCTCTGTTAAGTATGAGTTTGATAAATTTCTCATAATTTTGTCTTTAGTATTAAAGAACTGTGGCTGCTCTCCAGACTGAAAGTGGCTTCAATACTACTGGCAGGCTTCCAAAGACATTTTACAGACAGTCCTTTCTGACTTAGTGTAAAATAAGTGATTGAGTACCTGTTGCTAAAGAACGGGTTGCACTTTTAGGATCTTGAGCTTGTGATGGAGAGCAGAACCAATTGGCAGGCCAGGGAGAGAAGGGATCGCACCTGCCCCCGTCAGTCTGCGGGAAGAATCATAGACTAGGAGGAGACAAAGACATCTTATAAAGGCTCTCCTGCACCAGTTCAGCATTGCTTTTTTGAGCACACACATGTTTTCTGGTGTCAAGATAAATATTTTAATGTAAATTCCATAATTGATCATTTTTCAGTTTAGCAGTTATAACATATAGACTAAGGAATGTCTGGAACTTTAAAAGAAATGGCAGCACATTACAGGGAGCATTTTACTGATCTTAAAACTGGGTTACAAATTACACAAAATTGAAAACATTAATCACGTGGCTGTATAAAATGAAGTCATTTGAGCTTTTAATAAAAGTCACTAAGGTGAAAATTCCTTTGGTTAAAAAGAAAGAATTCTAAGTAAAATTCGAAGAAGAAAATTTTTTACTTTTCATAATATACTCAGTGACTCTGAGCAATGCTGTAAGAGATGGTCTTTTAGGAAGGAGGAAATGTCCAAGGACCTCTGAATCCTAATGATTAGGTTTCTATGAGCTCCAGAGTTTTCACTATTCGAAAACATTGTAGTGAAACTATTTTTAACAATACAGGTAGATATGCTTACTACTTACTGTAGGGTAATAGAATACAGAAGTCAATCTGAAGGTCATAGTCCTGTTACCTCTAGCCTCTTTTGTTATTAACTCTTGGGGCCAAACCTTAAAACCATTTGCTGATGTAAAGGGATGTAAATTATTTGGCGTTGGCAGTGGTGCCATTATGCCTTTTCATTTCATGTTGTTGAAATACTGTCTCTCAGCTGCAGATGCTCATTAGGAGCATTGCTTTTTGATGTTGGCCTGGGTGCCAAATGGCGGCCTTTCAGGCAGTTTCAATACGTTACATTTAAAACATGCTCAGGCCATGTCTACATGCAGCCACTGAGTTAACGGATTTTCAGTTGGGTAGACACACTTTTCCTTTCCTGCAGTATTAATTTAGCTTCTAAGCAATTGGAGACTCCAAGAGGACTGCACTAAAAGGATAAGCTATTTGGTGTATCTTGTGTATGTGTGCTTTTGAAAAACAGATTGTAATAAACCCATTATGCATTCTATTTTCTTCCATATATACGTAACACTTTCTTGAATTCAAAGATTGCATGGCTGATATGATTTAAAAGGCTTCTATGTAACCTATATTCCACTTCGTACTCTGAGGACTTTTTGATTTGTAGCTGCAAACATGGGTAACAGCTGATCTTCCGTTTTCTATTTGGCGTCATTCCTGAGATAAGGTGTAAAATGCCTTTTGTTGTACATTAATCACCTCCTTTGGTATCTGATTACCTCATCATTTAAGAATATTCATAGTAATGTCACACTGTTTGAGATTGTGTTACATTAGGTATTCTCTTAAATAGTTGATCAAATATGTTTATTGAGTGCCAGCTTTTTATCATCTGCTCTGTGGGGAATTAAAAGGAGTGAGATGACATAATTTCTGCTGTCAGGGAACCTTGGGAGTAGTAGAGACTAGAGATTAAGAGAGGTAGATAACCCTGGGTTGAAACCCCAGACATATCCCTTACTAGCTGTCTGATCTCAGACAAATGATTTAACTCCTTCAAGTTTCAGTTTCCTCTTCCGTGAGATCGGAAAATTAGTAATGCCTACTTGTTAGAGTTATAAATATTTTAGAGATCTTAGGACTTCAGTGCATGTAGGCAGTGTTCATTAGTGAGCAAGAAGGATATATATGGATCTGGAAAAAATAATTATTTAGACATAGTGCCCTCTTTTTAGAAGGATTTTAAAAAGGGTATTATGATACACAGGACTCCTTCAGAGATTAGAACTAGGCTTAAAAAATTGGTCACTAAATATGCCTGCAATTCCATGTTGGTTGTGAATACTTCAGAGAAAAAAATGGCCTGATTATAAGGTTGAAAACCATCAGCACAAGGGTGGATCTAGGTCTTGTTGGGCCTGAAGGGTATATAATTTTGAGGGCCTTCTTTAAGGAAAATACAAAACTCTTCTTGCTTTTGCGAAGGTTAGTTGAATACATGACCATGAGAACACATTGCCAAGTCCCAGTCCCCCAGAGCCTTGGAAGGAGTCCATGCAGTTGAGGAACCCTGAAAACTTCTGGTCCTTCTTTAGCAACTATCCTTTGGTCCACTTGGACCCACTTGCTTGGGAATATAAACTAATCGTTCCAGTTTATTAAACGTGGACCTCATAGAGGTTGTATGTGTAGTGCTTTGAAGATTAGAATCATATATTGAAGTCAAAGTCATTTTTAGAAAGAAGTATTTCACTTTTATTTGACAGAAGATCTTAAATGAGATCTGAGCTGATTTGATATTTGTCACTGCCGATATTCTTGTAAATTACTAACTAGAAGAAAATAAAGCAATTGCTATTATTATTCAAATGAGTGAGATGTAAGTGCCCGATTGGCAGGGCAAGAAGTAGTTTTGCCAGCTAAAGGCATATGATATTGGAGAGGAGACTGAAGATTTTGTTTTAGCTATCTAAAAGGAGATAAACTGGATATATAATACCAATAATTATATCTTAATCATCACGTTATGGTTTACAAAACACTTTGATATGTGCTTAATCTTCACACTAATTATTTAGTAAATATTGACTGAGTACGTGCTCTGTGCTGGGTGCTGGGAATACAGCGGTGAACTAAACGTACATCGTCCCTGTTTTCATGGAGTTTCCAGTCTAGTAGTACAGAGAAATATAGACATTAAAAAGTAACACATACATTTATAATTACATATTCAGATTCAAGTCTAAGAAAAACCCAGGATGAGAGATTATCAAGGGGGATTGGGTGGTTGGGGAGGTGAAGATGTAACATTTAAACAACTGTGAAATAGGAAGAACAGATGGTATTCTCATTTTAGGGCATGGTTGATTGACTACTTAATTCAACAAACATTGAATTACAACAAACATTCCTGAATTCCTTAACTCAACAAACCTTTGTGAAGTCTGGAGAAGGTCAGATAGCTTCAGGAATCGTGTGGAGTTTCACGTTATGAAGTCCAGGAAAATAATACATCTGCCTTTAGAGCTTACCACCTGGAAGGAGGGGAGACAGACATACTATACTTATAAACAGAGGCATGAAGTAAATGCTGTTGGGCCACAAGAAAGGAAGCAATTAATTCTGCCTGGGACTCCCTCGAGCTGGGCTTGGGGAAGAATTGCTTTCATTAGATGGAGCAGGAAGAAGGGGTGATCTGGGCAGAGCAGACACCCTGAGCAGTGGTTGAGATCTGAATCTGGTTGTACATGGGGAACAGTGTGAGAGTAGTGGGGAGGAGTAGCCAGAGATAAGGAGAAAAAAAAATTCTGCAAGTCCAGATTGTAAGTCTTTAAATGGAAACTGAGACTGAGAAAGGTTAAATGACTTAGGCAGGTGGAGCTGGGACTGCAACTTACGTTCGTTGTCTGAATTTTATCCTTTTCTAAGGCAAGGATAATTTGAATATATATAGCATCTGAATACATGCCAAGCAAACAGGAATTCCTGTGGCTTCTGGACTGAGTCTGACCAAAGTGTGGGAGGAGTGATGGGGAGGAAGGGCACTATTCAGAGCTGTGGTCTGAAGGAACCGTCCTGCCATTCTGCAAGTTGCTGTCGTTCTGAGCCTGTTTCCCCATCTGTAAAATGGGGTTAATGACACTTCCCTTGTGGGTCTTGGTGAGCTGAAATAAAACCACATATGTAAAGCAGATATAAAGTATGTACTCATTATGTGCTTTAAAAAAGTTCCCTGTGGTCAGATATTTTATTTGAAATGTTTGTTTAAAAAGGTGTACAGTACTCTGAATATGATGTGCAAAGTTCTGTGCTAGAGGCTTAGAGGAAAAACAAAATAAATTTAAGGTTACTATACTGACCCTTTCAGGTGGTTGGAGAGGAAGCACTTTTGCTTAGTTCAAGCTGCGAAGAAATCATGAAAGATATTATATCAGTAAGTGCCCGAATGAAGCAGGCAGGTAAAAACTGGGAAAATTGAGAGGCAAAAATCATGTCTATTAGTTTTAATGTCTGGGGGAAAAAAGAGGTATAGAAAAGCTAGAACTGACCTGGACCTCCACAGATATGAAGGTAAATAGGGAGAGAGGGCCTGTTTTCCTATAGGATGAGGTGGATCTGGCCAAAGAATTGCTATTGAAGAGCAGTTAAAGGCTGGAACTTGGGGCAAGCCATATTTAAATCTTAAATGTCAGACAAAGGAGAGGAGTCCTGCTGGAGATGACAGAGAAATTAAAAATATATATATATGTTTAAGAGGATAGTTAACAATAGCAACTGAGCGTGTGCTGCCTCAGGCTCTATGTTTGGGACTAGCTGGGAATTAGCAGAGAGTTAAGTAGGAACAAATTCATATAGTTCATTGCAGCACTAAAAGGGAATTCTGGTTTTATATAGCATCCACTATGGTGGTCGGACAAAATGAAGGGCTAACGAAGGGATTTTTATTGCTGTATGAAACATCAACTAGATGATACTAGGAGAAGGGAGGCTAGTGAAGTCCAATGAAAGTATCTTGCTTAATCAGTAGGAACACCTGTATGCGGGGAAAGGACACCATTGGGCTTAGATTCGAAAGATCTGGGTTCAAGAAGTTGCTCTGCTACTAACTAGCCAAGTGAATTTATATCAGTTATGTAACCTCTTTGAACTGTAACTTCCGCAATCGAATATAAGAACAAAATAAGATAATATATGGGAAATGCATTGTAAATGAAATATTTCACAGCTATACATTTTATTAGTAGACATGTTGCTGAAAAATAAAAATCAAATTTTATGTACTGCTAGAGGTGCTTGTTTGATTAAAGAAACCCAACTATGATATATTTTCTAAAGCAGGAAATTTTGGAAAGATACACTTGTAATGATTTTGGATAAGGATAAAGGGGGCATAGCTGAGATGTTAGAAATAACAAAGCAACCAAGGGTAGATGATAGATCCCAAATGGTAGATGACTGAGAGGGAGAAAGATCTTTGAAGTTACAAACTCGAGGAAATTAAATAATCATGGTACTGTAAATATGATGGAGAAATTAAGAGACAGGTTAGGTTTTAGAAAAAGTTTGGGCCTCCTAATACCTTAACTTGTAGGTCAGTATTTTTCAAACTATGGATGATGAAATCTGTTTAACGGGCTTCCATATATATTAAGAAAGAAGTAAGAGAGGAAGGAAAAAGGGGAGGAAGGAGGGAGAGAAGGAGGGAAGAAGTGGAAAAAGAGAGTGTGTTTTATATAAGGGTAAGTACTGCTTTGAGTACTTCAATTTCTCTCTCTCTCTCTCTCTGTCTCTGTCTCTCTCTCTCTCTCTCTGTGTAATATGTAACTTGGTTGTAATGGAAAATACATTCTTTTGGCTCAGGTCAAAAGAGTTTGGAAGCTACTGTCATCGAAGGAAGAATGTGGGATCAAAGAGAGGGTGAAGCAGTCTGTAGTGGAGTAAGAGTACGTCAGAAGGTATAGAATAGAAACTGAATGGGTTGTGAGGGTGGGGAGGAAGAAATGACAGCAAAGTTACGTATTGAGCATCTAAGCAGTCAGTTAACGACAGGGTGTGAAAAAAACAAAACAAATCAAACTCTAAATGTTATACCTTTTTTTGAAATGGTATCTCACTGTGTTGCCCAGACTGGCCTCAAACTCCTGGGCTCCTGCCTCAGCCTCCTGAGTTGCTGGGACTGAAGGTGCACATCATTGTGCCCTAAATATGGTACCTTGACCTTACAGATCTTACTGTCTGTTTGGGAATGAAAAGATAACTGGGAATACCAGGTAGCATCTACAGCCAAAATATGAGGCACTTAATGTTTCAGAGTCAGGATAAATATTGCCTGGGAACCAGAGGGTGGTTACAGCTGTACATTCTATTAGTAGACATGTAGCTGAAAATTATATAAAAATCAAATTTTGTGTACTGCCAGAGGTCCTTGTTAGATTAAAGAAACCCAACTGTGGTATATTTTTTAAAGCAGATAATTTTGGAAAGACACACTTGTAATGACTTTGGATAAGGATAAAAGGGGCATAGCTGAGATGTTAGAAATAACAAAGCAACCAGCAAGGGTGGATGATGGATCCCAAATGGTAGACGACGGAGAGAGAGAAAGCTCTTTAAAGTTATAAGCTTGAGGGAATGAAATAAATATGCAGACACTGGAGAATTCACACAACTTTAGGTGAGAGTTGAAGGAGACTTTGAAGGAAGAATTTATCTCCGCTGAGAGGAAGGGTTGATGAGGTAAGTATGTGTGTTCCCTGTTTGGGAGGTGAATGGAGGAATCCCAGTTAAAGAGACTAGGAAGACTCAAAGATGGTAGTAATCTATATTTTTATATGTTCAGTGGAGAGAAAAACACCATGAGTTATGGTCAGTACTTTGCGGGGTTTTTATCACGCCCACAAGTATTTATGTGGCAGTGTTTATGTAGCACACAGAATGATATCTTGCCTATAATTCAGAAGGTAATAGTGAACAAATGAAGAGAACCAGAGCTTAGTGGCACAAAAGCCTAGGTTAGAAAAGTATAATAAAGTGAAGTGAAAGAAAGTTGGAAACAAATAATATATATAGGTATAATCCCAATCTTGTTAAAAAACGTCTTTCACTCACCCTGTAATCAAGACTGGAAGACGGTAAATCACTATTTATGTTGTCTGAGTTTTTGATAATGAGCACATATTGCTTTGCAAAACAAATAGTGCAGTAAAAACAAGGGCAGCAGTACTAAGGGTGGTTAAAAGTATAAAGTAGGTGAGAATTAAGTAGAAACTTGGGATTTGTGTCAGAGGAGAGTAGTGATGTCAGAGGGATTTCAGTTGAATGGTGAAATTCAAGTTCTTTATTTAGAGTCAAAGACTGAGGAAGAGCTGATGTCCAGGACACTTGGCAAAGAAAGAAGGAAAGGAGGGCTGCTAGTTTGGGTGACGGCCTCATCATGAAGCTTCCTGGGCGCATTGAACTATGCATCACCACGGAAAAGAGCCAGAGGGAGGGGAGAGGTGATGAGCAACCTTTGCAAAGGACAACAGGACAATTTTATGCCAGAGGAAATGAATAAAGTTAAGGGTTTTCCCCAGTGACTTCATTTATCATATGAGTTGATTATTTTTAGATTCAGTTTTGTCTTCTTACCTCATTGCCTGTGGTGTTCATACATTTATTTCTAGACCTTTAAAAAATGTTTCTATAGCAAAATCTTTTGAAGCTTGTTCTGCATGTCACAAATTGGATGTGCTGTTTTTATCAGATCAGCACAGGAGTGATTGATTACTTTTCTAATGTTCGTTTAGTCATTTTCAATTTGAGTGTCCATTCTGTTCACATGAGAGGCTGCCAGTCACCAGTTAAGCTGCAATTGCTATATGAGAATTGGACTTACAGTACTCCATAAAGGTGTACTTTAAGCAGCCTTAAAGGCCTGTTATCAAGGGCATAAGAAGATGGAAATCCAATGAAAGCTCTTTGGTTTGGGTACATAATTATAAATTATCTTTCTTTCTTTCTGAATTTAGTATCTCCTTTTGGTGTTGGAGGCAGTGCATACTGCACAGGGTGCCCCATGGACCTTTGGTATCAAACCCACATTTCGAACTGTGACTCTCCTGCTTTTCATGACCTTGAGCCAGTTATTTAATCTCCAACGGTCAGTTTATTTATCTGTGAATCAGGGATAATACCTAACTAATAGGGTTATTGTGAGGATGAAATGAGGTAGTTTATACAACTGTCTGGCACATAGTGAGCTCAGCAATTTTTTCCCATATCCTTTCTTTCTGCTAAAGTTCACAGTGAAGGGATATACAATTCGCGTTGGATTTAAGTATTGATTCTAATGAGAATCACATTTTCCATTTATTTTTCATGTTCTGAGAGTTCAGGATCACTGTGAATTGCAACTGAGTTGGAAATGCCATGCTTCATTGTGGAGCTGTTTTACCTCCTATGAAAGCAAAGCCTAGTAGATCTTGATTTTGACAAAAGTAATAGTTAAAAAATTAAAAGTGGTTTATCTAGATTCTCCTTTCCATTTGCATAGGGTTAATATCAAATCTGTCAATTCACTATAATGGTTGAGCCATAAAATTTAGTGTATTTAAATAATGGTTGCTGCTAAAGATCATATTGGTGACACTTCATTAATCTGGAAGTCACTTAATCTGGAAGTCACTTACCTGGCAACCCTGATTCTTTGAAACATGAAGAATGAAGAAGTAACGGAAAGAGGCCTCTGAAGAGCTAGCATAGCATCTTTTTCTTTCTTGATGCAATATCTTTCATATCGCTGAGGAGTTCATAACATTTCTCTTGCTTCTTGTCTCTTTTTGTCTGAATTCCTCTTTATTATGTTTGCTGTTGTATCTCCTTTTGTGTTTCATGTTGTTTCATTTAACTCCTCAAATTCTAATGATCCCTGGCTGCCTATTAGTAAAGAGTGAGACCCTGAAGAGCTGTGGGGCTCAGTGTGGGATGTCACACACTGAAAGACTGTGCAGAAACTTGGTTTATTGGGTGGGGGACATCCATGTATATTCATGAGTACTTACATTTTCTTTTGGACTGATTGACTTAAGAGAATCCAAAATTTTGCAGCAGGCACGGTATAAGTCCAACTACTATTTTTCTCTAAGCTGAATAAGAAATGGATTGGGGGTAATTTTTTCTTCTGTAGTCTAGACTTCATTTAATTCTCCTATTTTCAGTAGGGTGCTTCTGCCCTCAACAAAGTCTGGTATATGCAAGGACAAAGTGCATCTGGTTCAATCTCTCTATTTATAAAAATTGAGCCTTCTGCTGAGGTGAGGGGAGTATGGGAGAAGAGACATATGGCTGCCACCCTCCTGTAGCTTACAGTTTGTGTGTGTGTGTGTGTGTGTATGTATGTGTGTGTGTGTTTGAATTAGTGGTATCAGAGGCTCTATTGACTTTAATTTTGGAGCAGACTCAGAACCCACTGATGACCTATCTCCTTCAGGGTTTCTAATTGCTAAAGTCCAAAGCGGGCTTTTAAAATCTTTTTTGAAGTCTTTTATCTTGCACGTTTTAGGGTAGGATCGTTGAGACTGAAAGAAGCTTGCAGTTCTTAAAGGAAAAGGGACATGCTCTAGGGGTGCATCAAAGGCAAAAACCCGAACAGAGGAATGTTCAGACAACTTCAAGGGATTGACAATTTAAAGAGTTTTGAGGAAACTTTTCTGAACTGAAGCATTCTCAAGAGATTCCAAGGTGGCCTGAGATTCCACATTTCTTTGATAGAAAGACGTGGACTTGGCAGTGATTTTGCAAATCAGAACAAGAACAATTTTATGAACACATTGGCAAGTGGCCATGTCTCAGACTTGTTGGGTAGTTAAATGTCCACTAGAAACATTGACTTAATCCAGTATTTATGAAATAACTCCCGTATTCTATGTAGTTGGTCTAGGAATTGGAGGTGAAAGATGAATACCATTCAGCTTTGTGAAAAATTCTAGACCACGTTCAAAAAGTTTTTTGTTTATACTTGTAATATTTATGCCTGTGGAATGACACAAAAGACAATCTTGAAATGTCAGAAAATGATAAATAAGAGTTATTTGTTATTTTCTCAGCATTTTTTTCCTTTTGTGTGTGTAAGTGAAAGTTACTCATCACGTTTAAAATTTAAAATTTTCATCAAAGAAAACCATCTGTCATAATGAAGTAAAAAAGGGACATTATGTGATTTTCTTTGAAGATAAGGGATTGAAAGTGAGTCAGTTAACTGCCCTAGGTTACCATTTGAGGTCATTTTGAACTAAATTGGCTTTGGAATCAGAATTTAAATTACCAGTCAGACTCAATTAAGATAACTGGTCATGAAGGCAGTTCATTCGCCTGCCTTCCTTCTTATAAAAAGAATATTTTTATTATTTGTATTCCTTTATAGCCAAGTTAGACATATGCATTATTTTTGAGAATATAAACATTTCACACAATAATTGATTTAGGCATTTAAGGGTAGTTTTGTATCTAAATAGGAAACCAGAAAAATCATTCACTATTTTGTGTTCTAGTGATATTCACAGTAGATACTTTTGAAGTCACTGGGAGGTAAATCAATATATTACTGAGTTATATTTTTGCTGCCCTGTGCAATATTAAGAGAATAGCTTTCACAAACAAACCCCAGTTAAAGTTATTTAGTCACAATAATAAAAGTACAATTGGACATATTTTAAGAAAACATAAATTATAAATATGTGCAGTTATTTTAACAATTTATGAATGTATTTCTAAATACTAAACTTTTTGTTTGTGATAAGTGAGTATAAAAATATATATACAATTATATACTCTTAACTTGCTCAACATGAGAGATTTAAAATGATGAGTTCCACTGTGAGTTTAATCTTCACTTTCATCTTTTTATTTATTTATAGACTGGAACAAATAAATCAATTTTTTAATTATAAATTTTTAGTAATTGAAAATTATTAAATGTACAAAGGAGGAGAACTTTTAGAATTTAGAAGTACAAAGGAGGAAAACAATTTAAACCTACAGATTGATTTGGTGGGATTGGTTGTATGTCTGCGGCTGTCTGGAGAATCCAGGTGCTTAAGTGCCTTGGACTAGCTGGACACTGAAACTTCACAGGGAAACAAAAATGTCTGGAATGACTTGTTGATGTTCTTGAAATGATGCTAATATCTATTCTATAAAACCTGAAGGTATGTAGATATTATTGTCTGTTTCGAGTCATGTATCTTGGGATTTGGGACTGTTGGAGAGAAGATCGGTTTGATTTAGACCATGATAGGTATTGATCTATATATATTTTTGAAATATTTTGGCTAAAATGCAATTTGATGTGGTAAGTCTTATCCATATCTAACATTTTATCTTAAAACTATATCTGTAGAAGTTGTTTTTTAAAAAGAACAGAAAAATCGAGTTGCATTTTGGTGTTTAATGCATTGATTTTAAAAAATTATATTCAGAGCAAAATGTTTGAGTTTTCAATGATTTTTTCCTTAAAGCATTAGGTGCAAACGTCAGGTAATTCTATGATTAGAATTGTGTCGTGATACTTTGTGGGTGAAGACAGTCCAAAACCAAAAATGATGAGACAAGTGAAATCTTTATTAAGGAAGGCCTAACAGCTGTATCAGATAAGTTTGCTTTTTCTTGGAAACTTTGGTAAAAAAAAAAAATCACCTGGGAAATAATGTGATTAGAGATGCTTCTTAAATGTGCATATGTGTTTAGTCTGTTCTACAAAGATATTATTTTCTTTGTAGCATTGTTTTATTGAACAAATTTTGTTAAATTTTCTATTAAAATAGTCTTATAGTGATTTAATAACAATTTGGAAAAGTCGCAATCTTTATAAGCATATGTGTAAGTGAGATGGATTACTATTAAAATGCAATTTCTAGTATTATAGCTCTTTTATAATTTGTCTAGCAGATTTTCTGGTTTTCACCACGAAAGAAATGTCATTTCTTAGTCTTCATTTGGAATTTATAAAAAATTTTAAAAATCACCACATTTTCCAAAAGTTTATGCCAGAAAATCATTCACTATTTAAAAATGAAGTGCAATTTCTTAATAGAAAAGTATAGATTGAGTCTTGTCCCATATAAATGAGTTTCCTAGATTTGGAAAAAAATTAATACATTGGAATCAATAGTTGACCACAGATTTAAATATGATACAAAAGGTTTAAAAATCTAAATTGTCATTGTTTACAAAATACTGGCAAATTAGAGCTACAGCGCTTGGTGTTATTGTGTAATCTTCTGTTTAAAAATAAACAGTGGAAATAATTGTAGAAACCTCTGGGCTTAGAAAGGCTTGTTGGTGGTTCTTCACATCCTACTAAAAAAGCAGGCTGTCTTTGCATATTAATCACTCTGTGAAAGGAAGCTTGCCTTATTTGCATTGTGCATGCACTAAGAAGTCCAATAGTGTGCCTGAGAAAAAAATGGGGGGATTGTAATTGTTGTTCTCAAAAGGGTTTTTATTCCATTCAAGTGGAAAAGCTGAATACTGGAGAATTAGTGCAGTGTTTTGTGGAAGAAGAGTCCCTTTTGGCCACTGCATTGCATGTGGTGCAATCCCAGTGTGTAAGGATCCTGAACGTTGGGGTGAAGAGGAAAGTGACTCATCTTTCTATGATGCAATAGTCTATGTTCTTGTACATCTCTATAATTTTGTAAGCATTTTCTCCTTGTTATGTATCCGAAAAGAGGTAGAATGAAATTCTGAGAATATATGCCATATTGGAAATCTCAGGAGAGTTAAACATGAACCAAAAAATCTAAATTGGTGTTTAGGTTTTGGGAGTGGGGTGAGATGAGGACACACAACATAAAATTAAGCAAATTGTATTTAAGTGTTATTGTTTTTAGAAAATACGTGATTCGGTTAATGCCTGGAAGATATTTGTCCACCAAATTGATTTTAAATGATATTTTTGACATTATTTTAGTAATAATGGCATGTTTTTTTCTTCATTGTATTTTAAGACTCAGTGGTTGAATGTAAACATTGAGAATAAAGAGAAGAAATGTTCTTAATATTAGTGAGGCTTTCTTTTAATAAGACTGTGTAAGATGAGCTACTTATAATGTTTCTCTTCTATGGTAAAACACTCTTCATGAAAGCTTTTCCTGATCTCCTAGTTCTAGCTGGCAACAGCCACATTAGCCAGTACAGTTTCCAAAACCTCAAAATGTACATTAATTATTTTGGAGGTCTGTTACTTTGGACTGGTTTAATATACTTTACATATTTTTAGCATCTTTTGAAAAATTCTGCACAGATTATGGCATTTCCAAGTAGATTTGAATTTCACAAGGGGGAAAATACGCCATTGTCTGTGTTCACATATTTTGACAAAATGATTGTGTATAATCATGGAGACAAAGCTTATTGTTTTAAATGATTTTGTTAAATACTAGAAAGTAGTTCACTGAGTTAAAAGGTTTCATACAGGTTTCCTAAAAACCATTTGGCTTAGATATATTTAACTATCTGTGAAACTACTTGTTATTATCCTCTTTACTATTGTATGGGTTTGGTTGGATTTTGTCTGTTGAACACAGATCCTCTGATTTTATTTCGATTTTATTTGAATTGCTTTCTGTAATATTCAACTACATGGAAATTGTGTTTAATTTGGGCTTATGTAGAGTGGTCCATAGACTTTGAGTGTGTGTTTGGGTTGCTGTTCTGAAGAACAGAAGTAGCCAAGAAGTAGTCTGAAAAAGTAGGACCATAAAAAATTAGACTGGTAGAACAAAAAAGAAAAAAAAACAAACAAAAAAAACCTGTAATTTTTACCATTCAAAAGTCCTTATATAGGTTTCATAATAAATTTTTTTCCAAAATATTACTGATGTACTTCTCCAAATGTTTATTATAGACATGTCAAAAGACAAAATTATGACAAATTTAGTTATAAATCAAATTGTCTTTTATTTGTGATTCATAAATTGGGGCAGCCTCCATTCAACAAAATAGAATGAGAGCTCCCACTGAGCAATGGCAGAACAGTGGGTTTGGAAAGTGGGAACAAGGAAACAACTATAGAAAAAAAGAAACTGGTTAACATCAGGTTACTTCCGGTGACTCTTTTGCAAGTTAAAGCAGAGGAGACTTCTTTATTGCACTGACTCAGGTCGACTGGAATCTCCTGTTTTCAGGAAAACCCAATCTGTTTTGGGATCTATCTGCTTCTTTAACGTTTCAGTTTGATTATATGGCATTTAGCTTGAGTGACTCCATTTTGGTTTGGTCTGGTCTCTTGGGGTTGGGTGCAGAAGCTCAGTCTAAAACAATGGGCTCCCATAATTTTTGTTTAACGGACATAATTTTTAGAATGTATACTTCATTTAAATTTGAACCTTTTTATAAAAATCTGAAATGCATAACACATTTTTAGAATTGTGTAGACTTCATAAGTATGCAAAACAAAAACAGCTGGTATCAAGCACCACTTGATCACCTTTAAATTCAGAAAACACACTTGACAAAATGCGACACCCCTTCAGGATGAAAACACTCATTAAATAAGGAATAGAAAGTACTTCCTTGACCTGATAAAGGGCATCTATGAAAAATCCAGAGCTAACATACACAAATGGGCCATAAGGACAAATGGCCAAAAGATGTCAACATCATTAGCCATCAGGGGAAATGTAAATCAAAGCCACAGTGAGATACCACTTCACACCCGCTAGGATGGCTAGAATCAAAAAGACAGGTAACAGCAAGTATTAATAATGTTGTGGAAAAATTGGAACCCTCAAACACTGCTGATGGGAATGGAAATGGTGCAGCCTCTTTGGAAAACAAGTCTGGCAGTTCTTAAACAGAGTTACCATGTGAACCAGCAGCTCTGCCCTTCCAAGAGAAGTAAAAACATATGTCAGTATAAAAACATGTACACTAATGTTCATGGAACATTATTAATAACAGTCAAAAAATGGAAAAAACCTAAATTTCCATCAATTGATGAATGGACCAAAAAATGTGGTATATTTATACAATAAAATATTGTTGGGAAATAAAAAGGAATGCAGTACTGATACATACTACAACATGGCTGAGCCTTGATTCAGCATTTTAGTAATGTGAGCTCCTTAATTGTGTTAGCTGTTTGTTTGTTTTTTTGTAACCATGAAAGTTTATTTATTTATTTTTCAATAGTTTTGAGGGTACAGGTGGTTTTTTGTTACATGGATAAGTTCTTTAGTGGTGATTTCTGAGATTTTGGTGCACCTGTCACTGGAGCAGTGTACATTATACCCAATATGTAGTCTTTTATCCCTATGAAGGTTTATTTTAATCCTAGCACTTGTTAATATTTATCCTTAATTCTTACTAACTTTTAGATTGTGGGTATTATATCTTCATGAGAATAGCTAAAATAATTTTATTTGGATATTCCTCAAAGAACTATTGAATGTGAGCATGCTAAGATTACCCCTGGCAAAATGGAAAATGCCTAGCACCTGGAAGCATCTGTTTCTGCCGGTCTTCTAGGAGAGAGGAAATATTTATGTCTTCCATTTATGTATTTTGACTGGGGAAAATTTTCCCTTTTATTCTGGGGAGCTGTTACTCAGCATAAGAGAATGTAGAGGAGAATCACCCCTTTCACATATCTAATAGCTTTACCACATTACTACAGTAGTATCTTATGTTGTATGCATTGATTGTCAATCTCTTCTCCTCATCTCCACCATTTTGATAGCTTAAGGCTTATCATTCATTCTCTGTGCATAGAAAAAAAAACCGAAATGATGTTTTCCAGTATTTTGTAATCTTTCCTTCATGAATTGCAGAAGAAAAGTGTTTGGGTTTTGTCCCATTCATCATAAAGCGGTACACAATAGATACGGTTGCATTTTAAAGCAAGGCTAAGATGGATTTAAGATGTATTTCTTGTCATGTGAAACGTCCTCCTCAGTGGTCTTAAATAAAATATTAATTAGATAATTCTGCAGTGATTAATATGAAAATGGTTACATAATTCTTAGATGGTATGTATTGTGTTGGGCTAACACCACATTGCTTTTCTAGAATACTGGTATCTATGGGATACCATAGATACCCCATAGAATACTGAATATCTTATGGGACTGCCCTTTCACTAAAAGCACAAATCTTTACTAGTGGTCTTGAGCTAACTGGAACTGCTGTAGATCACTTGCAAATTTTCCACTAGGATGCTTTGGTGTATTTGGTGCAGCTATTCCCACAATCACTTAGAGTAGGCATGCAGAGGGAGCTAACCCATAGGAAATTAAGGAATTTGAAGAATCTTTGAAAGTTCATCTCATTTAACTTCTTTAAAACAAAATTTGTGAACATCTCAGATAAGAATCTGTCTTTAAAAATAAGACATCTTAGACATAGAGATGGAGGTTAAAGTTCAAAGGTTTTTTGCATTCAAATAAAATTAGTTGTTGTCTTTCACTAGGTGGCTCTCTTTTTTTTAGAATGAGTTCAGTATTTATTCAAGTAAACAATCAAGTTTTGATGTGCCTGTTCAGACAGACAGCTTATTTTATGATACAGGTGGCATCAAGCCCATTATGTGACTTTTCCTCCGCAAGAAGTTTGTAACTTCCTTTGGCAATTGGGATGCACTTCCCTATAAGATGTTTTATGTGGTGGTTTTGTCCGGATTAACCAAAATGCAAATCTTCATATCCTCTATAGTGCCTAGCAAAGGGTCTTGCACATAGGTGCAAGTTGTCAGAGTTGGCTCAGTTTCACTCTGAGCCCCTTGTAGATAGCCTTTATTCATTCCTGCATTCTACATGTATTTATGCCTTTGACTGAGAGGTAAGATCTAAAAAAGGAATAGATATATCTGAATTCATTTGTAAAAAGGGTGCTAGCTGGCAATGTATGCAAAGGTTTGGTGGCAGTGAGTAAACAAGAACTGGGGATGGCCTTGCTCATCAGATGGGGAAGTAAGGAGGTCATTGGAAGCAGCAGATTCTGGGAATGACTTGATGGGAGCATGTTTTGGGAAGTTGGATTTGTTGCTCTTCTTTTGGAAGCTGGGAGAGATTACAGTCTGGAAAACCAGTAGTCAGGGGGTAGGAGGAGCTACTGTAGAGGCTGTGTGAGGTGATGGGAGGTGGAATTGGAGTTCTGATTGTGAGATGTAAAGGAAGGCATTATGCAAGAAATACTACAGAGGGAAGATTGATGAACTTAGTGACTGATTTGGATATGCAAGAGAGGAAAGAATGGAGATTATTTAGATTTCAGGTGAGGCGCATGGTAAGAGTAAATGTCACTAGCAACAGAATTGAGGAAGGGGAAAATAGGGACTTTTAATTTTTTAAAAAAGGTAATAGTTTGGCTTGGGAAAGGTGACCCTGAGATTAAAGTGGACTGTCTAGGAAGAAAAGCCAGGTATACCGCTGGAAATAGAAGTCTGCAGTTTTTAGGAGAGATCACGTTAGAGACATAAATCTGTAGTTATTTAAGTAGTAGATGGTTCTCGAAGGATAAGTCCATTTAGAGAGAGAAGCAGAGAGGACCAGGAACGGAACTTAGCCAAGCACTTATACTCTGAAGATGGGCAGTTTTCATATGTAATAGTTATTAAAAAGTGGTACCAAGTCATTTAAGCAAGTTACTGTTTTGTATATTTTCAAAAAGAATTAAAACCACAGAGCTGCCCTTTTTATATGGTGGTACTGCTTTCAATTCTTATTCTCTTTTTAATTCACTCTGTCTCAGTTTTAATGAAGTTTGTTTGCAGTCCATACCAATTTCTTGTTGGGGTTTTTATCTTCTAGTGCTTTTGGTAATAACATAGCTGATACATGAAAGATTGTGTAGCTCTCATGGATTTCAAATCTTTAGGCATTAATGAAATTATATTCCAGGATACCAGGAGAATTGTAAATAAATCCATAAACAGCTACAGAAAATGATTTTGAGAAATCATGAAAATGAACAAAAATTTGGATTTTTTTTTTCAAGTGGGAAGAGGGTGAATTCTTCTCCCAGGAAGATGGGGGAACTTAATGCCCATCCTAGAAAAGTTTTAAGAACTGACAATTAAGCAGATTATATGGGAACCCAGAGAAGAAGGCTGGCATCTAATGTGGGCTCAGTAAGGACAGGTTGTATCAGAACTCAATTCTGTCTTTGGCAAGATTTCCAGACTGAAAATGGAGTTTATATTGCTTTATCATAATAGCCAAATGGAGAAATACAAGCTCAGTGCAAGTAATTGGTCAAATGACCATGCTCCTCATCAACTTGGAATGTGTTGGCTCTGCATTTTGCAGGATTTCCTTATTTATTTACTTTTTTAATATTTAAGGTGTTAACTATGATGTTTTGATATACATGTACATAACAAAGTGATTACTATAGTCAAGCAAATTAACATATTCATCATCTCACATGGTCACCTTTATGTATGTATGTATGTATTTATTTATTGTGAATAGAGTTCTTAAAGTCTACTGTCTTAGCATATTTCCATCATACAATACAACATTATTACCTGGTGATCATGTGGTGCTTTAGGTCTCTAGACTTATTCATCCTCCATAATTGCAACTTTGTACCCTTTGACCTACATCTTCCCATTAGCTCCTCTCCTGACTCCTGCCCTGGTAACCACCATTCTACTCTGTTTCTATGTATTTAGTTTTGTTTGTTTTAGAATCCACATATAAATGAGATCATGCAGTATTTTCCTCGTGTGTCTGGCTTATTTCACTTAGTATAATGTCCTCTTGGTTTATCTGTATTGCCTTAATGGCAGGATGTCCCTCTTTTTAAAGGCTGAATAATATTCATATATATATATGAGTTTTAAAATTCATCTGTCGATGGATAAAGTTTTTTCTGTAACTTGGCTATTGTGAATAATGCTTCAGTGAACATAGGAGTGCACATATCTTCATGAGGTGGTGATTTCATTTCCTTTGGGTACATATCCAGAAGAGGGATTTTTTCTGGGTCATATAGTAGTTCTATTTTTAATTTCTCTAGGAACCCCCATTCTGTTTTCTACTGTGGCTGCAGCAGTCTTACATGCCCACCAACAGTGTACAAGGGTTCCCATTTCTCTACATGGCTACCCACACTTGTTATCTCTTGTCTTTTTGACAAAAGCCATCCTAACAGGTGTGAGATGCTTTCTCATTGTGATTTTGATTTGTATTTTTCTAATAATTAGCACTGTTGAGCACCTTTTTGTATACAGTATCTGTTGGTTATTTTTATGTGTTTTTAGGAAAAATGTTCAGATCCTTTGCCCATTTTTAAATTGGTTTATTCATTTTTTTTTGCTGTTCAGTTTGTGTGTTCCTTATATATTTTGAATATTAACCCCTTTTCTGATATATGGTTTACAGATATTTTCTCCCAACCCATAGACTTCCTTTTCTATTTTTGATTGTTTCCTTTGCTGTGCAGGAACGTTTTAGTTTGATGTAGTCCCACTTGTTTATTTTTGCTTTTGTTGCCTGCACTATCCTATTTTTTTTTTAATCATTGCCAAGACCAGTGTCAAGGAGCTTTTCCCCTGTATTTCCTTCTAAGAGTTTTATAGCTCCAGGTCTTTAATTCATTTTGAGTTGATTTTTGTGTATGGTGTAAGATAAGTATCCAATTTCATTCTTTTGCCTGTGGATATTTATTGAAGAGACTGTCTTTTCCCTATTATGATTTCTTGGTGCCCTTGTTGAAAATTAGGGCATATAATGCCACATAATGCATGTAATGCCACATATCCTTGGGTTTATTTCTGGATTCTCTGTCCTATTCCATTGGTCTATGTATCTTTTTTTTTTTTTGCCAGTACCATACTGTTTTGATTATTATCACTTTGTAGTAGATTTTGAAATCAGATAGGGTGATGCCTTCAACTTTGTTCTTATTGCTTAGGATTACATTGGCTATTCAGAGTCTTTTGTCTTCCAGATGAATTTTAAGATTTTTTTCTTATTTTTGTAGAAAATGTCATTGTAGTTTTGATAGTGATTGCATTGAATCTGTAGCTGCATTGAATCGGTAGCTCCCTTTTGGTAGTATGGACATTTTAACAGTATTAATTCTTTCAGTCCATGAACATGGGACATCTTTCCATTTATTTGTGCCTTCTTCAATTTCTTTCATCAATGTTGTGTAGTTTTCTGTATACAGATTTTTACCTCTTTAGTTAAGTTTAGTCCTAAGTATTTTATAATTTTTGATGCTATTTTAATGAGATTGTTTTTAGATTTCTTTTTCAGGTAGTTTGTTTTTAGTGTATAGAAATATTACTGATTTTTGTATGTTGACTTTGTATCCTGCAGTTTCACTGAATTTGTTTATTCTAACAGCCTTTTGGTGGAATCTTTAGTGTTTTTTAATATAAAAGATTATGTTACCTGCAAATAGTAACAGTTTAACTTCTTCCTTTCAGATTTGGATGTCTTTTATTTTATTTTACTTTTTCTTGTCTAATTGCTCTGGCTAGGACTTTCAGTACTATTTTAAACAGAAGTGGTAAGAATAGGCATCCATATCTTGTTCCTGATCTTAGAGGAATATCTTTCAACTTTTTAAGGTTAAGTATGGTGTTAGTTGTAGGCTAACATATATGACCTTTATTATGTTGAGATACAGTCCTTCTATACCTAATTTGTTGAGAGTTTTTAATCACAAAAGAATGTTGAATTTTGTCAAATGCTTTTTCTGCACTTATTGAGATGATCATATGGTTTTTGTCCTTCATTCTTTTAATATAGTATATCACATTTATTGATTTGCATCTGTTGAACCATGCTTGTTTTCGAGGAATATATCCCCTTGATTATGGTGAGTTATCCTTTTAATGTGCTGTTGAATTAGGTTTGCTAGTATTTTTTTGAGGATTTTTGCATCTATATTACTTAGGGATATTGGCCTGTAATTTTCTTTTCTTGTAGTGTCCTTGTCTGGCTTTGATATCAGGGTAATGCTGACTTAGTAAAATGAGTTTGGAAGTGTTCCTTCCTCTTTAACTTTTTGGAAGAGTTTGAGAAGAATTGGTATTAATGCTTATTTAAATGTTTGGTAGAATTCACCATTGAAGCCATCAGGCCCTGGGCTTTTCTTTGATAGGAGATCTTTAATTACTGATTTAATATCTTTACTTGTTACCTGTCTGCTCACATTTTCTATTTCTTCATAATTTATTATTCATAGGTTATATGTTTCTAGGAATTTACTTCTAGGTCATCCAATTTGTTGGCATATAATCTTCACAGTAGTCTCTTATGATCCTTTGTACTTTCATGGTATCAGTTATGTCTCCTCTTTTATTTCTGATTTTATTTATTTCATTCTTCTCTCTCTTTTTTTAGTTAGCCTAGCAAAACTTTTGTCAATTTTTATCTTTCAGAAAAAAACTAACTAGTTTGTTGATTTTTAAATGTTTTTCTAGCTTACATTTTATTTATTTCTGCTCTGATCTTTGTTATGTCTTTTTTAAATTAACTTTGTGCTTAGTTTTTTTCTTAATTTTTAAGTTCTTTGAGGTATAACATTAGGTTGTTTACTTCAAACCATTATTCTTTTCCAATGTAGGCATTTATTGTTATAAGTTTTCCTTATGGAACTGCTTTTGCTGCATCCTATAAGATTTGGTAAGTTGTGTTTTCGTTTTTGTTTCTCTCAAGATATTTTTTGATTTCTCTTTTGATTCTCCTTTGACCCACTGGTTGTTCAAAAGCATGTTGGTTAATTTCCATATTTTTGTGAATTTTTCAAAATTCCTCCTGTTTTTGATTTCTGGTTTCATGCCATCATGGTTAGAAAAGATACTTGATATGATTTCAGTCTCCATAAATTTGTCAAAATTTGGTTCATGGCCTAACATATGGTCTGTCCTGGAGATTGTTCCATGTGTGCTCGAGAAGATTGTGTATTCTGCTGCCGTTGAATGGAATGTTCTATGTATGTGTGTGAGTTGGTCTCATGTGTAGCTCAACTCCACTTTTTCCATAATGATTTTCTGTCTGGACGATCTAGCCATTGTTGAAAGTGGGATATTGAGGTCTCTTATTATTATTGTATTGCCTTCTATATTTCCCTTCAGATCTATTAATATTTGCTTTATATATTTAGGTGCTCTGATGGTGGGTGCATATATATTTACAGTTGTTATATTCTCTGAATTAATTGACTTCTTTATTATTATGTAATGGCCTTTTTTGTCTCTTTTTACAGTTTTTGACTTAAAACCTATTTTGTCTGATGTTAATATAGCTACCCCTGCTCTCTTTTGGTTTTCATTTGCATGAGATCTTTTTCTACCCCTTCAGTTTTATTCTATGTTTGTCCTTAAAGCTTCTGAAGTGAGTCTCTTATAGGTAGCATATAGTCAAGTCTTCTTTTTTAAATTAATTCAACCACTTTATATCTTTTGACCTTTTGGAGACTCTAATGTATTTGCATTCAAGGTAATTATTAATAGGTAAGGAATTACTATGCCATTTTATTTGTTTTGTGAAGGCTTTGTTCCTTTCTACTTCTCTTGCTTTCTTCCTTTGTGATTTGATATTTTTTCTAGTGGCATACGTCTTGATTTTTTTCTCTTTATCTTTTGCATATTTACTATAGGTTTTTGCTTTGTAGTTACCATGAGGCGTACATAGAGCATGTTATAATTATGATAGTTCATTTTAAGCTGATAAAACAAACTTAACTTTGATTGCACACAAAACCTCTACACTTTTATGCCCCACCTCCCAGCCTTATTTTACGTTTTTGTGTCACAATTTACTTCCCTTTATATTGTGTATCCTTTAACAAATTATTACAGCTATGATTATTTTTAATAGTTTTGGCATTTAACCTTTATATTATAGATACCAGTGATTTACACACCACCATTACAATATTAGAATATTCTGAATTTGACTATTTACCATTACCATTGAGTTTTTACTTTTATATATATTTATTTTGTTAATTTGCTTTCTTTGTTTCAACTTAAAGAACACCCTTTAGCATTTTTTTTGTAGGGCAAGTCTAGTGGTGATGAGCACTCTCAGTTTTTATTTGTCTGGGAATGTCTTTATTTGTCATTCATTTCTGTAATACAGCTTTGCTGAGGATAGTGTTCTTGATTGGCACTTTTGTTTTGTTTTGTTTTAAATCCAGCACTTTGAATATATTAACCCATTCCCTTCTGGTTTTAATGTTTATGGTGAGAAGTCCACTGATACCTTTATGGGGGTTTTCTTGTATGCGATGAGTTTCTTTTCTTTTGCTGCTTTCAACATTCTCTCTTTGTCTTTGACTTTCAACAGTATTTTTTTTTTTTTTTGAGATGGATTCTCACTCTGTTGCCCAGGCCGAAGTGCAGTGGCCCAATCTCAGCTCACTGCAACTCTGTCTCTTAGGTTCAAGTGATTCTCATCCCTCAGCCACCCACGTAGCTGGGATTACAGGTGTGCACCACCACACCTGGCCAATTTTTATATTTTTAGTAGAGACAGGATTTTCTCATGTTGGCCAGGGTGGTCTCGAATTCCTGGCCTCAAGTGATATGCCCACCTTGGCTTCCCAAAGTTTTGGGATTACAGACATGAACCACTACACCTGGCTGACTTTTGACAATTTGATTATAATGTGCCTCGGAATGTTCTTCTTTGGATTGATCTTGACTGGGATCCTTTGAGCTTCATTAATCTAGATGTGTGTACCTCTTATGAGATTTGTGGAGTTTTGAGATGATTTCTTTAAGTGAGCTTTCTGGTCCCTTCTAGCTCTGTTTGCCTTCTGGAATTCCCATAACTTGTATATTTGTATGCTTGGTGGTGTCCCATAGGCCCCTTATCCTTTCTTCGCTCTTTTTCATTATTTTTCCTTTTTTCCCTATAATTGGCTAATTTCAGATGACCTATCTATATTTGAGTTTGCACATTCTTTCTTCTGCATGATTGAGTCTGTTGTTGAAGCACTCTTGAATTTTTCAGGTCTGTTGTATTCTTCAGCTCCAGGATATCTGCTTGGTTCTTTTTTATTTTATGTTTCTGTTTATTTATTACATTTCTTATTTTGTTCATGCATTGTCTTCCTAAACTCATTTAGTTGTCTAATTGTATTGTTTTGCATCTCATTGAACTTCATTAATATGATTATTTTGAATTCTCTTTCAAGCAGTTATTAGATCTCCATTTCTTAGGAGTTGATTGTTGGAGCTTTATTAGTTTCCTTTGGTGGCGTCATAATTGCCTGATTCTTTTTTATCCCTGTCGTCTTGTGTTGGTGTCTGCATTTGAAGGAGCAAACATATCTTCTAGTCTTTTTTTGGAAAGAGTTTTTTAAATTGTATGTTATATATTAGACAAAATTATTTAAAGCCAGTAAATTTTTATTCAAGGAATTTCACATGTGATTCCTTCTACTGTTCATCAAGGTTACCTTAATTCCTCTAAAGATGCAGTCAAGATTTATCTTCAATGTAACCCTTTTAAAAAGAACTGAGACTTAATCCACAATTGTCCTGTCAGCCCTGTCACAATTATTTTATTTTGCCTTCTTTTCTTCTAGTTTTAATGGGGTTGGAGCTGGGTCATGTGGCTGCTACTCCTTTTGCAGTGGGGCCTGTGGGTGGCCAGCCTGTTACCAGGTGGTTTAGTGGGCATGGATCCTGCTGTTTGGTCTCTGGATGGACTGGACTGTCTCCAGGACTTTGGTCTACAAGGCTAGTTCTGGGATGAAGGTCAGCTTTACAGTCTGTAGAGAGCAGGCTTGATTACTAGGTTCATAGACAGTTGTGTTTTTCTCTGGGTCCCTGGGACATCTTCCCACTGGGTCACTGGTTGGGTCCTTGGGCAAACATTACTGCCCTGGTCTATGGTTGAAGAAGGCTGAAACTGAGTTGCAGGGTTGCTTTAGGGCCCACAGCTGGGACTAAGCTCAGCAGTGCTACCTGGAAGACTCAGGAAGGCACGTCTCCATCTTGTCTCAGTGCTGCTGGCATGACTTACCTCTGACCACCGTTGAGAGGGACTGTAGCCAGTCTCAGAGCCATTTCAGGGTTTTTTGTGGGACTGAGGTCAGCAACCCTGCTCCGGGGACTTAGAGAGATATATTTCTCTCTGGGACCCTAGTAGATCAGCTGGACTGATCTCAGACCACTGCTGAGAGGGACTGAAGCCAAGTCTCTTGGCCATTTCTGATCCACAGGTAGAGCTGAGGTCTGTAGGTTTATCATCCATGGCGCAAGTGGGTGTGATTTTTTCTGGGTCCCAGGGTGAATGGTTTTGATAGAAGGACAATGATCAAACAGAGCTGTAGCTGAGTCCACAGGAGTATGGAAGCCATTTTTGGGTCTGGAGCTAGGGCCATGGTAGGAGAGTCTGTCACCTCGGTGTAGTGCTGTCCTATCAAAAGGTTCTCCTAGGCCTTGTGCTCCAATATTTTCTCCACTCCATTTTATGTAAATTTATACCATTACCTGATTTATCAATTTATCACAATCTCTTACTTGGCTGTTTAAGCTTCCATAAAGGCACTTTTGCTGTAGAGGGCTCTCAAATTATTGTTACTGTTGGGAGCTACGTGCATCTGTTCCACCATCTTACCGGTGTTCTCTTGTGTTTTCTGCACGTGTTTTGCCATCTTACTGGTGTTCTCTTGTGTTTTCTTATTCAATTTTTACATTAGTATTTTAGGTAGAATGCCATTATAGGTGGCATGGATTGGAACTGAGAATTAATATGATGGGTAATAGTATCAGGATTCAGTATCTCAGTAAGTTCGATTAATGAGCTAAACATGATTAAATTTAATAGGAATAAAAGCAAAATTCACACTTAGGTCCTCAGTCTGCTACCCCAGGGCACATCAAATGATCAATTAAATAAACAAACTAGAATTTAGAGGCAGCACTTTGAAAAAGCCTCAGTAACTTCACTCAGGTTCAACAATGTGATGTGGTTTATAGGCTATTATAGTTCATCTGACTTTCACAATAAGTACGTGTTAATGGCTATGAACTGATTACATCCACTAAGTGATTTTTTGCTGTTAAATTTTCTCTAGTGCATGGCCTGAAAAGAAAAAAAAAAGTGATTGGAGCTGGCAGGTATTTTAGAGATTATTGAGTTTACCCAACTCACTTTACATGAAGAAGTGAAGTGAAGAAGAAAGAGAGCAGAGCTTACTTGACCAGGTTCGCACAAATAGCTACTCATTGTTCTGGGACAGCCTCTGGGACTCCCGAATTTTAAATTTTACTCTCAACATTAGTGATTTTGTATTTTTTATTTATTGAAGGAAGTGTTTTTGGTAATAATTTTAGACATATTTTGTACTATCATCAGTTACTATTTGTGCATAATGAAACATTTTATGATTGGCAATATGGTCTGTAAAAGTTGATACAGTAATTTAGGTTTCCATTTGTTTTAATGATGGGTAATGTAACAGTTTACATCTGTTTCCTGCCTCATTTATAAAAGTTTTAAAGGAGAAATAGTCAGTTTTATTAACTTTATTAAGTCTTTAAGGCATTAAATATATTTTTATATTATTTTTATTGTTGAAGTATCTTTTATTGGAAATTCTATTGTAATTATGAATATCTCTTGAGAGGAACAGGGAAGAGGAAGCCATGGAGAAAACGGGAGAGAGGAGACTGTAGAGGATGGTTCATTATTTGTATTCTTGTGGGACAACTGCTTCCTCCCAAGGTTTCCTTTCTTAAAGAAGCCTGTTATTCAATATGAGATTTTTCTTTATTTTTATGCATTTTTTTCAATGAAAATTCATAATCATAAATTGTTAAAAATGCAAGTGAGTTTATGATGAAAAACACTAGTTCACTGATTACTATTTCCCATCTGAAGAAGAAACCACTTTTACATCTTGTAGTTGTTTCATTGGGTGGTTGCTTGCATATTGCTAAATAATATATTTTTATGTTTTAAACTTAATATGTCTAATTGTTGTAAAATGTGACTCATTTACATGGTTCAAAAATGAAAAGCATAAAAATATATATACTGAGATATCTCCTCTAAACACAGAAAAATCATGAACTCTTTTTTTTTCTTTTTTTTTTTTTTTTGAGACGGAGTCTCACTCTGTTGCCCAGGCTGGAGTGCAGTGGCGTGATCTCGGCTCATTGCAAGCTCTGCCTCTGGGTTCGCACCATTCTCCTGCCTCAGCCTCCCAAGTAGTTGGGACTACAGGCGCCCGCCACCATGCCCGGCTAATTTTTTTATTTTTGTATTTTTAGTAGAGACGGGGTTTCACTGCATTAGCTGGAATGATCTCGATCTCCTGACCTCGTGATCCGCCAGCCTCGGCCTTCCTAAGTGCTGGGATTACAGGCGTGAGCCACCGCACCCGGCCTGAAAAATCACTGAACTCTTATCTCTTCTAGAAAATATTTCATATTAATGTATAAGCAAATACAAAAATATTTTCTCTACTCCATTTTATGTAAATTTATACTATTACCTGATTTATCAATTTTTGTCCTTATTTGTTGACTTCATGCTATGATAAAAGAAGTGTATATCCCTATGTCACCCTACTTCACTAAATTTTCATTTCCCAAAACAGGTCTGTCAGTATTTATGATTCCTCTGTTGGTTAAATTCTTAACTTTAAGCAGTCAACTGATACTTTGCTTTTTGTATTGTTTTAGACCATTCTTGCATTGCTATAACTATCTGGCACTGGGTAATGTATAAGGAAAAGAGGTTTAATTGGCTCATGGTTCTGCAGGCTTTACAGGAAGCACAGTACTGGCATCTGCTTGGCTTCTAGGGAGGCCTCAGGAAGCTTACAATCATGGCAGAAGGCAAAAAGGGTACAGGCATATCACATGGGGAAAGTAGGAGCAAGTGACAGAGAGTTGGGGGTGGGGAGGTGCCATACACTTAAATGACCAGATCTTGTGAGAACTCACTATCATGAAGATGGCACCAAGCCATGAGGGATCTGCTCCATGATCCAAGCATCTTCCACTAGACCCCACCTCCAGCATTGGGGAATATAATTCAACATAAGATTTGGGCAGGGACAAATATCCAAAGTATATCAGTTGTCAACTGTAGATGATGTCTCTTGATTCCTCATTTTGTGAGATGAGGATTAATAGCATCCCTGTACTCCCTTCAGCTCTCCTTTTTGTCATTCTTCTTCCAATTGTTAACATTTGTTTTTAAAATTTTTATATTATTGATGTCAATAACATCTACATTTTGTTCTTTATCCATAATTAAGTTATCAGTGATTATAGTTTAAAAAGTTGAAAACTGTACTTTTTACATTATGATGAACAAGTAAATATTGTTCACTGAGGAGCCAAGTGGTATACGATTATTGTATTTCCTTTCCTATGAAGAATTATTACAGTTTCTACTAGTCTTTTTTGCCCTTTCATTGTCTGCCTATGTGACCTTCTGAAGTTTTTTTAGTGTCTGCACTCTCTGATACCCAAAGAGAGTATCAAATCTTGAAATCCCTTATTAAAGAGGAATCCATGATTCTTCTGCCTGTCTGCTACTCTCTTCTGGGTTGATTGACCCTGGATCAGCTGCACAGCTGTCACCCTGGGATGACCTTTCATTGATCTTCTTGCCTGAATCCAGTTTTGGCAATATAATGCCTTTTTCTTTCTGCTTTGCCATCTAGCTTTGAGCAAAATTTCAAGTTATTCCCAAAGGAAGAGTGAATGAAAGGTAAACTTTATGCATTATTAGTCAATACATTTATAATAATGTCTATTCTTCCCATAGATATCTGATAGTATCTTTATTCTGTCCTGCTGATTACAGGGTTAACAAGGTGTGACTTCTAGACTGAGAAGAATTTCCACATTGTAACTGGAAGGCATTACTCATGATCTTTTAGCCTCTATGATTCTGATGAGAAGTCTGATGCCAATCTGATTTTTCATTTTTTGTAGATGACTATTTTTCTCTCTGGAAACTCATAGGATCTTCTCATTATCCTTGGTGTTCTAAACGTTTTAATGCAATCTAAGTGTGGACCTTTGAAAATTCATTTTCTTGTTTATGTGGTGGCTCTTTTCAATGAGAAGACTTATGCCCTTCATTTTGATACATCTTCTTGTATTAGCCTGAGATCCAGAAACCTGGTAATTTAGCCCACAGTGATGGGACAATGGGGAAGAGGAGTCAGCAGTCTGCTCTGTAACTTATTTCTTAGTCCCCACTAATTAGTACCCATTGTTGTCAGCCCCTACTTCATGCTTAGAGTACCCGGGAGTTCTGCACCTGGAGGCTATCTTGGTTTCTGCAGGGCAGGTCAGCTCCTTCCTAAGCTGTAGGTCCCCCAAAGATGTATTTTCTACAGAGTTTCTTTACCCTGCTTCTTTAGGCACTATTTTGTACCTGCTTTTGTAGAAATCTTGTAATCTTTGTTTGTCAATGGTTCTTCTTCCATTCTCTGCTTGTGTGCTTGTATGTTATCTTTATCCTTTTATGATAAAGGTATTGGAGACTTGGTGAGAAAAGAAATAAACTCATGTGCTCTGTCACCCCAAAGTTTGAGGGACTCAGTTGATCACAAGCTCAATAGGGCTGTCCTATAGCCTTGTCTCAGTAACTGGAGGTAGGGACCTTGTCTTACTTATCTTTTTATATATCCTGGAGCTTGGCACATAGTCAACACTGAATAAATGCTTTCGTACCTACTGCTGAATTACAGTAGTTATGAAAGTTGAATTGCTGTATTTAGGAATGAATGCTAAACTGCATCCTACCCCCCGCCACTGGAATACATAAGCATTAAAAGGACATATGAAAAATAATGAGATTTATGGTGGATTTGATACACATCCACCTTACTTTGTATTAACAGAATTGTCGGGTTTAGTAATTTCATTTTTTATATCATAGCTGTCTGAGAAGTAGTTCTTCTAAATACATTTCTGTTAATTACCTAGTTATTTTTTGCAATTAGAAAGCTGCTAGAACTTGACACTCCATTTTAATGTAAGCTAAACTGAATGTTAACTAACTTAAGAGTCTTGTGGTGGCATAAACTAATGTTTACAACAGTACTTTTTACACTATAAAGTGCTATGGACATTTGAGTTTTTGTTGATATTATGTAGGAATAGCCAGAATTGTTTTGTAAGCTGTGCTATTTTGAGCAGAGATTAAGGCACTAATTAGCATGCTATTATTATCTATTCTTGTACTTTAAATGGAGAAGGAGTGATTTTATAATGTGTAGTTGTGAACTGTAGCTAGCAATAGCAAAGATAGAGCAACTCTGCATAGTTTTTTGATTATTTTCAGATGCAATTGGCTAGCTTTAGGGAATTATAGAGGAGTGAGCCTGCTGTGAAGATCTTTGGCCGTATCTCATATATAAATGTAATATAGCCTCAGTGGTAAAAATCTACTGACCCATGTCTGTTTCTGTTTGGCTAGTTCTATTGAAGTAATCAATCAACTCTGCCTGACTGGATGGGAGTGTGGTGGAGCCTGACCACCGGCAGGGCTGAGGCATTGAGTTATCATTGAACATAAGAATCAAGCTCTTTGTGCAAGTCAAAACTCCTGGTGGCATTTGTACCTGAGGACCTGTCCTCCTCCCCTTTGTCCACTGTTTTGATTTTTTTTAAAAGTCATTAAACACTGAATCAATTTAGCAGAGAAAAGGGAATATAATTCATTTAAATCTCTGTTCAAAACATTATGTTTGCTTCTGGTTTTCATCTGTGTGTTTGTACACTTTGCATTGTTGTAAACTGTGTAATATGATGTCTAACTTTTCCTACTTAGCATTATTTTATATATGGTTTATAAAACTATGTGCTTAACATAGGCACTGTCTTCTATTTTGTGGTAAGGACATTTAACATGAGCTCTACCCTCAACAACTTCTTTCAGTATACAATCACAGTACTATTAAGTGTAGGTATGACTTTGTATAGCAGATCTCTGGATCTTAATCATCTTGCAAAATAAACTTCATGTGTACTTTCTTTTAACATTGGTAAGGCATTCACTGATATGACATAACGTACTTAACCTTTCACTGTTATAAATTGGCTTGTTTCTAATTGTTTATTATCATAAACAGCATGATATAGGCATCTTGATACAAACGATTATTTTGCTTTGGGATTATTTTCCTGGAATTAAACCCAAAGTGACATTATCAGGTCTAATGTTGCATACCTCTTGTTTATGCAGTCATTTTGGACTTCAGAATGACAGGGCAGTGCAGTTGTTTTATTCTGCATTTCATCATTAAGGAGGCTAGGCATTTTCTCCTGTAATGATTTATCATTTGTCTTTACTGATGGAATGGGAGAGCCCCTAGTTTGCTACTTTTAGCTGAATCTGATAATTGCATGGAAAAAGTTGGAATGCAGGATAACAATGTCATCCAAGGGACCCCGTCCCTTTTCTGGCCTGCTCATCATACAGTGGTTTTCTAGGGAGATTTCTCCAGCTAAAATGCAGACATTACTGGTAAGGGTAACAGAAGTCAAGTTTTGAGCAGCAAACCTTGTGGTAAGGATTACTTTATCAGCTCAATTTCCAATGCGAACAGCTGGCTAAGAGCAGTGCCTCCCAACAACAGGACACAGGACTGGTAGGGCAGTGGGCATGGGAAGCTTGGGTAGGATAGAATAATGAGGGAGTGGGCACAAGGATGCACTAGGCAGGGTTCACTCCCTTTCCTGGGCTTCCTCCTGTTTATGAGAAAGTTAATCAGGAAAGAAGGATACTTACTGCATGAGGGAGTGGGTGTTACTGAACACTGTCTGGGTCAGAGACATGATTATTTTGAGAAAATAACGACTCAGAATTAAAAGGCTACTTTATTTCCACCAAAGTCAAACATAAAAACTAGTGATAATTAAAATGAAGGAGCATAAATTTATTACATAGTATATTAATTCACCGCAAGAATAGATTTATAGGTGTTGTCATGTCTTTTGTTTTTAGGGGGTGAATTTTCAAAAGAGAGGTTAATGAGACCACATAAAATGGTCGTATGAAAAATGTTTTTGCCTTCTTTGGTAAAACTGCTCTGGGGACAGTGTTCATTATTTTCAATTTTCCTTTTATAAAGATCCAAATGATAGGGTCATGAGTTCAAGGCCAGGAACAAGTTGATTTTTTTCCTGAATAGTATGATTTAATTTATTAGATAATAAGATACACGTTACCATATGTAGCCCCCTCCTCTCTTTCTTGCTTTCTCTCTGTGTGGCTGGAAGGTAAATGAATGCATCAGAGGGACTTAAGACCTAAAGAAATTATTTAGGGCTGCTGCTTCCTGGAATATCTCTCATAAGAACTGTAATTAAATAAAGTAATAAGTTATCCCCATGAAAGATTATTTTCAAGTCCAAAGCAGTATATTCTGGTGGCAGCTAATTGATGATTCTGTTTCAAAGAGTATAGTTTTGTGAATATTTTGTTCTCTTCTTATGAAAGCCTAAAAAGTGATTCTTTTCCCACGAAGACACTTTTGCTTCGATCCTTTCCAGTGGTTTGCCAGGAGGTGGGTTGGCCTGCCTAACCTTAGCCTGCATGTCCGAGGGAAGGAAGTACCAGTTCAGGAGCTCAGCAGAGGGCAGAGCTGGGGTTAGATTTCATCCTCAGGTCCTGGAGTTACTAAATGCTAGGGTTGAAAAGGACTCAGTGAGGAACTTGAGGCCCAGAAAGGGAAAGTGCTCATACATATGCACATAATTTTTAGTGGCCAACAAGAACTTTTGCCATTTGATTCTACATTCAGGCACTTTTTTGGTGCCATGTGGTGTTTTCATCATAAAAGAGGTTGAAATTGCAGAGTAATTTCTACTGAACTGTGGTCAGTTCACCAAGGCACATGCCTGTAGGACTGGAGACTCACATGAGGTAGTGTCTGATTGAGAGTCCTGGAGGCAGTTAGACTTCTTTAAGGATGGATGGCAGAGAGATGGGGATTCCTGCTTAGTTAATCTGACTTTTATATTCTCTTATTATTGATTTGATAGAATAAATATTTAAACTTTATGTTCTACTAATAAATTATGGTGTATCCTAGTTAGGAAAAAAGGAAAAAAAAATCCTAGGTGTAAGCGTAGTCCCTGATCTCTAATTCTCCAAATAATTGCCCCACCCTCACCTAGCCCCAGGTTATGGTCCCATCTATCCTGCTTGTGTTCACTGCCATTTAAAATACAAACATTTACTACTTTCCAAACAACTCTCGACACTAAGATGCTTTCCTTTTCTCCCAGTTTCAGTTACCACTTTTTAGTCAAAAACTCAAAACGATTATCTACCCTATTCTTACCATAAATTCCGAATGTCTTTCATACACACACGATTTAATCGTGTGTGCCCAGATCTCTTTTTTACTTTCTCATCCAGAACATTACTTTCAGGGGAATTTCTCCATCAGTTAAAATGGTTTTTTGAACTTTTGGATTCTGCCAAATAAAGTAACGTGTTTTAAAAACAAAGCTAAAGAGTTTCCTCTATACTTCAAAGACACATGACCATCATAGTTTCATTCTTGATGGACTGAGCCAAAAATAAAAACAAAAACAAGACCCCTCCCCCTCTTTATTTCAGATGCTAATTAAACTACAGATTAGGTCCCACACACCTACCTCCTTCAGAGGGTATATTTACAGTAAACCATCATTTGGTATGAACTACCATTCCATTCAAAATGGGGGAAGGAATTTAAAATAGTGTGATGAATTTTATAGGCCTCCCTCTGATATTGTATGTAATACTGATTATGTATGTTGTGGTAGTAATTTTTTCAGAAAAGATTTCTCAAAAGACCTTCACTCCTCTAAGTGGAAAATGTATTGCTAAAAATAAAACTTAAGGTCTCTTCATTTTGTAGCTGTGTCAATGGCTCATCTTGGTAATTTATATTCCATATTGTTCAAAGGGAATAAAAGTGCCACTGAAACATATCAGTAAAGTTAAAAGATGGTTCATGTTTTCTGGAATATTTATAATATCCCTACATTATGAATTTCTAGAGAATCTTGAAAAAAACTATTTAAAATATTTTATTTCTTTTTTTGTTTTTTAGCTCTCTGGGTCCTCATTTTCAAATTATGGGGCCTTCGAGTCTGTCTGCATTTCATGTTTTGCAGAGATTTTTTTTAAATAAAAAAATAGAGAAAAGTGGATGATGCCAATAACCCTAATTAAGAGGAAACCAGGTCCCACATGGATATTGTCTGATTCATTATAAATTACAGCTTTAGAATTTAGAAAATTGTGTAATAAATCATGATGTCATTTCCAGGTAATCACATTCGAGCCATGTTTCCCCTGAGACAGTGTGCCTGTTACAACAGCTGTGTCATCCCTAGGGCTGCAGGAGAGGTTTGGGCAATTCATAATTGTAGAATGAAGTGTATGTTGATTGTATACTTCTTACCTTTGTCATTGCTCACTGTGAGAAGTAAAGTTTACTTACATTAAAACATCAGCTTATGAATAAACAAAGTTTGTTTAAATTAAAACACCATTAGTCACCATGGCAGTTGATTGTCCTGGTACACTTTCTATTATAAAATAAATTCAAATTAGTGAAGACTCAGATAAATAACAGGCATTGTTACACAGACGAAAGAGTGTGCATCCTGGAGGTAGACCTGGCCTGATATTCTGCCACTGATTAATTAGCTATGACCTCATATATTTTACTTTACTTTTTAAACTTAATATCACTATCCGAATGTTGGTTTACTTATTCATTCGGCAAGTATTCTTTGAGTCTGTCTTATAACCAGCCATTAACTAGGTGCTGGAGATAACATGATGAGTAAAAAGGAAGTAGTCCTTGATCTCATAGAGCTTATGGTTTAGCGAGAGAGCCAGGTGTGGAACAGAGAATCACACAAATGATACAATGACAGTTGTGATAAGTGCTGTGAACAGAAAGAATACAGAGCTATCTAGTAAAATTGGGGTAAGATTGCCTCTTTTTCAAGATTCTGACACATAAAAAGCACAGTGAATAGTAGTAGTGATTGTTGGAAGTATTATTAGTATTATTATTATGTCATCCTAAACCAAAACATGATCAGGTGAGGACAGGAAGTACGGATAACGAGATGCAGGCTGTATAATGAGATAATTAAATATGGTGAATTCAGGTTGAAGAGATATAATACATGACTACGTGAATTAAAATATAGCCTCCTAAGGTACAGATGGCATCTTCTGGGGGTCAGAATGGCTGTTATATTGATGGATCTTTGGGTGTTCTGTGGTTAATGCCCTGTTCCTGGAAGGCTGATGGGTCAGGATTGCTGTAGGAAGGTTGCATTCTAGTGGTTACTTTTTAAAAAATGCTTTTAAGCTCTTTGGCATTTGGAGGCAACCTATAGAATTATATATACATATATATATATATATATATATATATATATACACAAAAAATATATATATATATACACATACACGTATGTATGTGTACGTGTATATGTATATGTGTATGTATATAGCCATGTCTTTCTCTACAGGATATAGGCACTTTGGTTATAATTATATGAAAGAAGGAATGTTTCCATGTCTTCAATGTAAATTTGAAATGCGTGCTGCCCCAAATCCCAAAATAGAAATTCTCTGAAGAGTTCACCTAGAGGTGAGAGAATCCGTGAGCCCTCTAGTCAGTTTTCAGAACAGCCATTTTCTATGTGTGACCTGCACTTTTTGGTATAGCAGGGTGATGAGGGGAAGCAGTGTCCCAGGTGTTCTCCTAGGTCTGGAGCGATCACCACTTTGTGATAGTATGTCCCCCACACAGATACTGTGAACAGCAAGCATGTAGACTGTGGGCTTTTGAATAGCCAGGTTTCCTGGAGCATAGAAGTTATTATTGAAATGCTTGCCCTAGTTCAAGGAATTACTGGATGTAAGAGAACTGAGTTCTCCACTCAAATGATGTGGAATTGTGGGTGTAGAACTCAATCAAGTTTCTCTTACTAATAATGGTCATGGTTTATTGGGCATTTAGCTAAGTGATTTTCATCTAGAATCTCATGTAATTCTTGAGACAAGGCTGTGAAGTAGGTACAACAGTGCTCATTTTCTAGATGGAGACAATAGAAGGTTATCTAGTAAATAGCACAGCAAAGTCTGGAACTTGGGTGTGTCTGGTTGTGAAGCTGGCTCTTTCAACTGGACACTCTGTTGTCCCTGTTTGTTCTCTTAGTGTGAAAGCTGCACTGATACCTACTGACTTGTCTCATTTGCCATTGTAGGCCGAAGGCTGGTGTGGTGCCTAACCTTGTGTTAGGTGTCTTAGTGCCCTGAGTTTGCAGGTGACAGAAATAGAACTCAGACTGGCATAAACATAACTCAGACTTTATTGGCTCATTTAGATAAAAAAAAAACTCCAGTGGTGAGGTGCAGTATTTTAGACATGGCGGGATACAGGTGGATAGATGATGTCATCAGGACAGTCTTTCTTTCCATCTTTTGGCTGTGCTTCCCTCCACGTTGGCTTCATTCCCAGGCAGCTTCTCTCCGTGGAGAGGCAATTAGAGCAACCCGCAATTCTAGACTACTCAGCCCAGAAATAAGAGGTTATCTCCTTCTAACTGTTCTAACAAAAGCCCTAGGGGTGACTCTGGTTAGTTCGGTTTAGGCCAGATTCCCATTTCTGAAACAATTAGTAAGCTGGGGAGATGATGCCCCTAACCCCTGAAGTTGGAGGGTGGAAGAGTCAACCTCACCTTAATCTCATGGGCTGAAAATGGGGGAGCAGTTGTTTCCTCAGAGATACTGGCAAAGGAGAAACCTGTGTTCATTGCAAAAGCTGTTGCATAAATATTTGTCAAGTAAAGGAGTGAAGGAAGCAACGAATTTCTGCTCTGTTCTAGGGAAACTTCAGAGAGTACACAAATCTAAAACTATTTCCTGCTGGCCTTAGTGAAACAAAAACATCCTGTTTAATTGAATCTTATCAATGTTAGAAAATTAGGTTGAATTGAGAACAGCCAATATCATAAATGTCTAAAATATTAAAAATTAGGCTATTTATTAAGCTTGTAGTACCTTTTTACAAAATGAATGTGGGAAGAAATGAACAACTTTGAGAGGGAAGATTAGAATCTGTGTTCTACAGAAGAAGAAGATCAAATAAATGCTCCTTCTCAGAGTAATGCATATTTGAAGGGGCTTCCATCAAGTCCTTTCTGCCTATGTTCCTCTGCACCCCTCAGATATTGGGATCAGTATTGGGATAATGGAGGGAAAGGAAGTCCAGCAATGAGAGAATTATATTTTTCAAGTGGGCCCTCCAGCTAAGTCTCCTGTGGCAGAGAGGAATTGTAGACACCTTGAGGACTCCTGCAAAGGGAAAGTCAAGTGAAATTTCCTGGAAGTCTCATGTTTTATCTTAAAAGTTTATGCAAATTTTGGATTCTGCTTTATGATATTTACATACTGCTTTTAATAAGTTAATGTTTAAAGTTAATTACCATTGAGAGAAAAGCAAAAATAGTTCCCACTGGTCTTAGTGAGACAGAAAGATGCTGTTTGATAGAATCTTATCAATTTCAGAAAATTGGGTTGAATTGAGGAGAGCCAATACCATAAATCAGTTTCATAGTTCAGGCATTTCCTTCAGTCTTAGTTTCTTGGTATTTCAGATACCCAGATCCACATAAATACAAACTTCATCATCATTTAGAAGAGAAGCTTAAAATATTGCCATGAGGGCATCACACTCCCTGTTAAAGGAATAAGTCATTACTCAGAGTCTCTTGTCCAGCGATCTCTCTTTATGTGTCTCTCTCTCACTCTGTGTGTTAGGGAAACATGTTCAAAGGTCTCTCCATATCAGAAGAGTACTGATGGTCATATGTGTCATTTTACCGCTAATGCTTTTATTTGTTTTGTATGTGGATGAATGAAATGTCCCAAATAATTCATAGTGCTCATGATCAGCACTCTTCATCCAACTCTCAAACTTCATTTTTATTGCAGTTGTCTTGTGTTGTGTGGCAGAAACACTCAGCTTGGTTTTTCTTTTTTTACCTTTTCAGATGTTGCTTGAGTTTAAGCTGTTAAGGTACCCTGACTTTGTGAACCACTATATCATTAGGGTGAAGAGTGGATTTTTTTCAGCTTGTTCAGATTTATCTTATGATTATGGGATTTCCCCCCTATGTGGAAAAATATGTATTAAACCCTTCATTCAAATATTTGGATTAGTGCTTTCTGCTAAGCCAACATAAAAGTCACTTACTTGTGCATTACAGATTTGCTATAGAAGAGAAGTGTTCCATTTACAACACACACATATTGAAAGTAATTTTAACTGTCTGTTTGATCATGCTGAACCAATTGGGCATCAGACTCTTTGAGATCTTTGCAATGATCGGGGAAGGGGCAGTGGTTTTGGCACGGGCTCTTGCTTCTGCAGTTTCTCTGTTCGTAAATTTGTCCACTTTTACACATGTATTTATATGTGTCAGTATCAGTCTTGCTAAAAACTCCTAATTGTATATAAGATTTCTTCACCAGGTGGTTTCACTTACGAATTTTAAGGACGGTTGTCTTCAGAACACATCTTCGTTGTGAATACGTCAGGGAGAGGAGAAGATGACAAATCATTGTTGCGCATGCTTTCTTCCAACCGTGGAAAAACAATTAGATGCGTTTTAATATAGAAGCAGCTATTTGAAAACTATTTTTCTCTTTCTAAAATGTTTTTGTTTATGTTCTTATTTTTCTTCTGCTGTGTGTACTTACACACACATATATACACTTAAAAATGTTTTCTTGTGGCCGGGCGCGGTGGCTCACGCCTGTAATCGCAGCACTTTGGGAGGCCAAGGAGGGTGGATCACAAGGTCAGGAGTTCAAGACCAGCCTGGCCAAGATGGTGAAACCCTGTTTCTACTAAAAATACAAAAATCAGCTGGGCATGGTGGCACGTGCCTGTAATCCCAGCTACTCGGGAGGCTGAGGCAGAGAATTGCTTGAACCCGGGAGGCGGAGGTTGCAGTGAGCCGAGATCGTGCCACTGCATTCCAGACTGGGTGACAGAGCAAGATTTCATCTCAAAAAAAAAATTTTTTTTTTTTGCCAGGATGAGGATCATACAAGAATTTTCACTCACAATTTTGAAGTTGTCATTTCCTTGTTCTCAGGCTTCCAACGTTGATGTCAGGAAGTCACGTGGCTTTCTGATTCTTGCTCTTTGGAGTGTACCCTATTTTCCACTCAGGGTGATATTTCAGTATCTTTTTTCTATCCTTACTATTCTGAAATTTCACAGTTCTGTGGCTTGCTGTGGTCTCTTTGCCTTTATTTTGTTAGACACTCAATGGGATTTTTGCAGTCTGAAACCCCAAACCCTCAATTCTGTGAAATGTTCTTGTACTGATTCTTTGATTTTTTTTTTTCTGTCTCTGCCTCTTCTCTAATTTTTAAAAATTTATTCTTGTCCTTCAGATTTGGGGCCTTCTGGATTGAGCTTCTGATTTTCTTATTTATTGTTTATCTTTTGGCCCTTCTGTTCTTAATTTGAAGGGATGTCTTTCAACTCCAGTATTGATTTACTTTAATTTTTGCTATCATATTTTTTAGTTTCCAAGAGCTCTTTCTTGATGTTCTGTCCTCCCCCAAGCTCTTGTTTTATAGATGTAGTATATTCCTTTTTTTCTAGTGGTTCTAGTTGATGTTTCTTTTTCACTTTTTTCTTCTCCCTAGATAGTCTTCATTCTCCGATATCCTTTCTTCTCTTAGTAGAAGAAAACTACTGGTCAGTTAGCCTAATTAGTAGTTTGGCTTCTCTTTCATGTGAGAGGCTTTCCCCAAATTTCTGGTGATCATTGGCTATCCATTCATAATCATAGAACATACCAAAAAGCCACAGAGACCCTATGTGGATGGCTGAGACTTACTGAATGATGAGCTTCGTTATAGGGTTATGGGTGACCAGCTAGACTTCTCACATCCATAGGTCTTTTTTGGGCGGTGGTTTGGTTCCTCCTGGAAAAGATCTTCCAGTCTTCTGCCTGGGAAATGGAAGCTTTGCTCTGGTGTTCTGGGACTGAGTACAAGGAAGGAGATTAGTGGGGAGAGGTCTCATCATTCAGCTTGCAGACATTCACTTGATCTCCCTGTATGCATCTCCATTTCTGTTCATACCTTTTTCTGGGCCTGGTGTCTCCCATTCAGTTTCTGTTGACACTAGCTGTGTATCTTCTGTTCAGGAGGAGTAGTTTAACTGTAGTATTGAGATGGAGACCTGGCAACCTATCTGCTCATTTTACAGACTTTCAGACAATGCATCTATTTTCAGCTTCTGTCTCCAGCCTGATTTTCTAGTTTTTGAGACTTTTAAGTGTATTTACTCTGCATTTTGAAAATAGAAGTTAAGAATGTCTTTCAAGCACATTAAAACATATCCTTTAAGAGTGTCATTCAACAATGATGGCTTATTTCAATTTGGTTATTCTGATTTTTTTTCCCCTTGAAACTGTTTTCACTACGTCTCCAGTGTAGAACTTCAACCAATTTTCTCTAAACATATGAACTTTTCTTCTAAAGAGATTCTGTAAGCAGTCTCAAAGGCAGCTTTGAGCACTCTTCTTATTTGCTTGGTGGAGTTTTGTATCATATTGCTCCTGGCTAATACATGTCCTTTTTTGGTTTCAAAAAATTCTGGCAGTTTCTCTTTTGATTTTGCATGATTGGTTTTATAAAATGTCATTCTAAAATGAATGGCTGTGTGTACTTCTTGGACATATTTTCACGCACAAGAGTCATCCATGTGATCCTTATTGGCATCTGCACATAATTAAACTCATATTTTAAAGACAGCCTTTGCCTTTTTGATTGACTGCTGCTATTCACTAGGGATTCATTCATTGTGGTAAGGGGAATCCTACACTATCAACTCATTCTGGGGACTCTCAGGGACAATGAATTCCATGTCTCAGTCCTCAATACTTTCAGGTTGTTTTTAATTTTAATCACTGTCTTGGACATTTGCATGGTTCAGAAACCTCTATTTCTCATTTCCTGCTTGAAACCTACAATTGGTATTCACAGTTGTAAATATAATTTTAAACTGTTGCACTTTAAACAAGTAAATAAATAATATCACACAAGTGCAGGCATCATGAGGTTTGCTACTTTTGTGCCGTGGTGAATTGGATTTGAGAGTAGTTGTATGTTGGTAAAGAGAACTTTTGATCAGTGTCAATTATGGCAGAAAGTTGAACCAGTAGGTTTTTGTATAGTCAAAATTGAAACACACAAAATCAGACAAAATGCTTCCTAAGGTGATAAGACAAACATAATTTTCAAAATAATAGCCCTGAGGGGATCCTGGGAGTTCCGAGCTGTCACAGATTCCAGCCGTGGGACAGGTGGTGGAACAGCACTGGCTGTGGCAATTTCTTGCATAATATAATCTTATTGAAGTAGTGCACCATTTCCACTTTAAGACCATAGCTGTGATATTTAAAGGATGATACATTTTTCAGTCTCTTCTGGCTTTCATGAAGAAACAAAAAGACCCAAAACAAATTAGCCACTATGAAAGAAGGCATTCTGCTAATCTTGGTGAGCATGACACACATTTTTAAGAGTACAGAAATTCGAAACCTGCTCCCCTTCCTTCTCCCTTCAGTCACAGATAGGAAGTGTTGCATTAATCGGGGCAACTTTCCAAATAATTACACTTCAGGTTAGGACCTATTGTCTACTTCCACATGAAGGGAGCAGGGGAATGTAAGATCTGTCTGTATCCTCTCTTTCTTTTTTGTTTGAGACAGGGTTTCACTCTGTTACCCAGGCTGGAGTGCAGTGGGTGTGTGCTCATGGCTCATTGTAGCCTCAACCTTCTGGGCTCAAGAGATCTTCCTGCCTCAGCCTCCCAAAGTGCTGGGATTACAGGTCTAAGCCACCATGTCTGGTCTGTCTATATTCTCAAATTGTTATCAAATAGTCTAAAAGCATCATGTGATAACTAGGAATAGATCTGCCCAAACAAAACAATGCAAATAAAACCACAGAATTTAAACCCCTAAGAGCCCTTTCTGCTTATCAATTAGCAGATGAAATCCAAGCTAAGGGACGTGCACAAGGTCCCAAAACTGCCATATTTTACTGATTCTAAGATGCCTACATTTCCATTTGAACAATTTTGAAAACGAGATGGCTTCTTTTAGCTGATGGCATCTTACAGTTACTCAGAGCCACACAGTGGTTGTGATATAGTTGTGATTGCCTGTGCATGCATGAATATCCCAAGTACCAGCAGTGCAATTTGCAAAATGGAAGAAATCTCAGAGACAACAGTGAAACACTCTTACCAGATGCTGCATTGCCAGTGTTCTTCAAGGCTTAGAGATGGTATGACATGGAAAAGCATGGGCTTGAATGGTTTGGAGTCAAAATATAATTCAAAGTTGGATTCTGAATGTGAAGAAGGGTTAGAGATACTGAATGAACTCATTGTTCTGATATTTTCTTTTGTACCTAAGCTTAAAAGTGATATATGGTAAAAATATGTGTCTGTGTATAAAATAACTTCCATAATAGGTGGAAAATAAAAAAATTTGAAGTAATAAGGCACCGTGTCAATTTAATTGACAGCTTTTATTTCTTTCTTAGTCCATAAAATAATGGTGCATCTTACAACACATGGAGACTTAGAGTTCATTAATTATGGTAACTAAGAGTTGCTGAAAGTCCCTCTTCTTCATAGTCTTATTCCAGTATGGCCTCATCTCATGGATTATGAATATAAGTTATGACACTTTTTGATAGAGGATCAGAGAATTTAGCCTCAAAGTTGGACTGTTTACATTATGATACTCCAATACTGGCTTTCAGAATAATCACAGATAGGGGGGCAGGGGTCACATGGCCATTTCTATGGCTTTCTTCCTTGCAAGCTGAGGAGATCTCTCCAGAGCACACCTCAAGAAAAGCAAAGTGGTAATACATGGCTATAATGAATGTAGCCAAGACAGTTTCAGAGCAGGATTAACAATGACTCATTTCAGCCGTGGAAATATTTTAGTGGTCCACATGTCTAATTTTATTTCCTGCAAAACTCTCCCCATATATTAGTTGCAAATTATCCCCCTAAATGAATTGTTGGTTTTAAGCCAGTTAATATTGGAGGACTGCTTCTCAAAATTATGGTTTTGATTTCAAACTGAAGCCATTCTTCTTGATACTAAATAGTTCCATCGAGTCACCAATTGTCTGTCAAACTAGTGAAACTAAAATCATATCATCTGGAGGTTACTCATCTCTCGATTTCTGTAGTGATTTTAAATCAGTAAGTTAAAAGTCAGAAAGAAAGGGAACCAAACATCTCTTTGTTTTACACACTGAAATGTTTTCTGATCCCCTGGAGATCATTCTTACTGCTCTTCCTTAAACTCTGGCATTTGGTGATAGACACAACATCAGCAGTATCTGGGCTCAGTATGGCCCACTGAGCCTGAATAGAGCTGAGTCAAGTGCACAGAATGGAAGACCAAGGAAAGGTCAACACAAGCTGCAAACTGTCCTGTGTTTTTCTGACCGATCTCCCATGGGGGCCTCAGGGGTGTCACAGCGGGAGAGTGCAATAACCTGGTCTAAGTATTTTGCTATTCATGGAGAATGTTAGTTAGCCTGAGAAACTGAGCCTTGAACTCAGTTTCTGACGGAAACTCATAGACATTATGTTTGGCACACAGTCATCTCAATTCGTTTTTTTCTTTTTCAAATAGGACAGACTCATGTAGGACCACGTCGGTAGAATTATCAAAAAATTGGCAAACAATTTACCTGCTTAGTCAGACTAGACCTTGAAATCTGTGGTGGCAGGAAGTCTCCATTGGGCTGATTTAATTGGAAGGGTTTTTTCGGGTTTTTTTTTTTTTTTTTTTTTTTTTTTTTATTGAGATGGTCTCACTCTGTCACCTAGGCTGGAGTGTGATGGTGTGATCATGGCTCACTGCAGCCTCAACGTCCTGGCCTCAGGTGATCCTCCCACCTCAGTCACCCGAGTAGCTGGGACTACAGGTGCCCACCACGCCTGGGGAATTTTTTGTATTTTTTGTAGAGCTGGGTTCTCACCCTGTTGCCCAGGTTGGTAATTGGAAGGTTTTAAACAGTCTCTGTATGTGAGAGTGAGCACATCTAGCCATCCAGTGAGGATAGGAGTCTCCATGCAACCGAATGTGATTTAATGTTGTTCCTCTCTAGGACTCATCTCTAAACTCCACTCACAGGTCAGAAAACTTTTCCAAGACCATGTCTCCACATTTTGAGTTTGAAAAAATGAGATCAGGGTCTTACAGATGTTTTGGGATTGTAGAAGATAAAGGGAGTAATATGGGTTTGGAAGACCCTGTTATTCATGACAATGCAGAAGGGACTAGAGCAATGCTTATGTTTTTGTGTCTGTGAAAAGGGGGCCTACTGGAAGGGAATAAAGTCAACAGATGCATAAGAGACCAAGATCTTCAGGCACATGGAAGCTTGTATTTATCCACTGTCTACAATTCCCAGTGTAAGCAGAGACCAGTGTACAGGCTAAGAAGTACTGAAACTTTCTTTGACTTAGGAAATTGAGCTGCATCTTGAAAAAAAAAAAAGAACAGTTAATTCAGTTTAAAAAGGAAAAGCAAAACCACCTAATGAACCAATTTCATATTTTCTGAAAGTAGGAAACTGCAGTAAAACTAGGATGTCAGGCATTCTCACATTCGATCCTGAACTAAATTAGCTTTCTAGTTGATTCATGTCTTTGGCTATGATATGCTAATTGCAGACCCTTTTTATATATTTATTAAAGTAGGATCTCACCTTTAGCAATTCATTATGATTTGGTTTTAAAAAATAACTCTATACTTGAAAGAATTAAAATGTATTTCCTCAGAAATATTCTATAAATCAGACTTCTCTATTTTAGTCAGATGGGCTTTTAATAATATGAATGTGAATTAGTGAGGCTTGATTTTAATTGCTTCATTTTCCTTATTCTGATGAATAACAGGATCCTATAGCTTTTCAATACAATAGCTGATAATAAAACCACCTCACCTGTTATTTATGAGTCATATTCTATTCTCCAGAGTGCCTTCAGCTAATGAGCAAACATCAGCTGTATCCCTGAAAGAATAATTGTTCTTATAGAAATAATTACTGATTGATAATTACTGACTTTTTTGAGATTGAAAGACCTGCTCTCTATTTTTCTTTTATGCTATACTCAACAGGAAAAGTCAGTTGGCGAGAGTACCAAGTATTTAATTACTCAAAATATTAATTTAATTAATTTCAAGTAATACATATTGAGTGTATAGTACTGCCTGTCAGGGGGACTTTGGTAAGATATGACCCACACACATGAAAAGTTACATGACAATAAAGTCAGGTTATCATTATGTGTCAAATGAACACTTAAGACAGTAGCTATTGTAGAATTCAAGAAGCGGAGGAGTCATAAGATCAGGAGTCACTGAAGGATTCATCATTGGGGGAGGCCTTTTTGAGGGCCTTTACTTGGGGTAGGATTTTTTTTTTAACTATACTTTAAGTTTTAGGGTACATGTGCACATTGTGCAGGTTAGTTACATATGTATACATGTGCCATGCTGGTGCGCTGCACCCACTAACTCGTCATCTAGCATTAGGTATATCTCCCAGTGCTATCCCTCCCCCCTCCCCCCACCCCACCACAGTCCCCAGAGTGTGATATTCCCCTTCCTGTGTCCATGTGATCTCATTGTTCAATTCCCACCAATGAGTGAGAATATGCGGTGTTTGGTTTTTTGTTCTTGCGATAGTTTACTGAGAATGATGATTTCCAATTTCATCCATGTCCCTACAAAGGACATGAACTCATCATTTTTTATGGCTGCATAGTATTCCATGGTGTATATGTGCCACATTTTCTTAATCCAGTCTATCATTGTTGGACATTTGGGTTGGTTCCAAGTCTTCACTATTGTGAATAATGCCGCAATAAACATACGTGTGCATGTGTCTTTATAGCAGCATGATTTATAGTCCTTTGGGTATATACCCAGTAATGGGGTGGCTGGGTCAAATGGTATTTCTAGTTCTAGATCCCTGAGGAATCGCCACACTGACTTCCACAATGGTTGAACTAGTTTACAGTCCCACCAACAGTGTAAAAGCGTTCCTATTTCTCCACATCCTCTCCAGCATTGGGGTAGGATTTTTAAGCAGGTGAGGAGAAGGGTAGAAAAATAGAGAGATGGTAGCAGTGGTACCTTGTGTAGCATAAGCAACCATAAAAGGAAATGACTGTGTTTGGAGGGGATCGTTAAGCAGTCTGCTTTGCTCTGCCAAACAAGGGGCTTATGCTCATCAACACTGTCAATGTCTTGAAGGACAAGGAAAGGCTGAAGAATTGATTCAGATGGAAGGAGACTAAGGCAGCATGACAACTAAATGCAAAGTGTGATTCTGGATTGGAGACTGGTTTGGAAAAAAAAATTTCTTTTCTTTCCTTCTTTCCTTCTCTCCTTCTCTCCTCTCCTTCTCTCCTTTCCTTCCTTCCTTCCTTCCTTCCTTCCTTCCTTCCTTCCTTCCTTCCTTTCTTTCCTCTTTCTTTTTTTTGGTGTGTGACAGATTCTCCGTCTCCCAGGCTGGAGTGCAGTGGCGCGATCTTGGCTCACTGCAACCTCCATCTCCTGGGTTCAAGTGGCTCTCATGCCTCAGCCTCCTGAGGAGCTGGGACTATAAGCGCGCACCTTCATGCCTGGCTAATTTTTGTATTTTTAGTAGAGATGGGTTTTTGCCATATTGGCCAGGCTGGTCTTGAACTCCTGGCCTCAAGTGATCTGCCTGCCTTGGCCTCCCAAAGTTTGGGATTATAGGCTTTTCCACTGTGCCCGGCTGGGAAAAACATGTCTATTTAAGACATTATTGGGAAAAATTTCTGAAATTTGAATATAGGTTGTACACTAGATGCCAGTATATCAGTGTTAAATTTCCTGAACTTCATAAAGGTATTGTGATTGTGTATCCCTAGGTGTTCTGTAGTAATGCACCACAAACCAGGGACCTTCAAAAAACAGAAATACATTCTCTTATAGCATCTGGGGCCAGCAGTCTGAAATGAAGGTGTTGGTGGGACCATGCTTCCCTTGACAGCTCTAGGGAAGTATTTCTTCGCCTCTTCCCCACTTCCAGTAGTTGTTGGCAATCCTTGGCATTCCTTGGCTGGCAACTGCCTCACTCCAGTCTTTGCCTGTGTTGTTTCCTGGTGTTCTTCTTGTGTGCCTGTGTCTTCACATGGCCTTATAAGGACGCCAGTCATTGAGTTTAGTCCCCAAGCACATGTGACAGCATCTTAACTAATTACATCTGCAACGATCCTATTTCCAAATAAGGTAACATTCTGAGGTTCCAGGTGAACATGAATTTTTGGGAGAACATTATTCAACCCCATCCAGATTATATATGAGACTCTCCTAGTTTTTAGGAGATAGATGCTGAAGTATTTAGGGGAAAAGGATAATGATGTCTACAACATACTTTCAAATGGTTCCTCAATAATAATAAAATTATGGTCATATTTATGGAGAGGGAGACAAAATACAATATGGAATAATGTTAACAATTGATGAATTTCAGTGAAGTGTATGTGGGTTGTATAATTTTTGGAAATTATCTAGAGGTTTGAAATTTTTCATAATAAAAACATTTTTTAAGAAGCAAAAGAAGGCGGGGTGCAGAGGCTCACACCTGTAATACCAGCACTTTGGGAGGCTGAGGCGGGTGGATCACCTGAGGTTAGGAGTTCAAGACCAGCCTGGCCAACATGGTGAGACCCCATATCTACGAAAATATCAAAATTATCCAGGCATGATGGCGCGTGCCTATAATCCCAGCTACCCGGGAGGCTGAGCTGGGAGAATCCCTTGAACCCAGGAGGCGGAGGGTTGCAGTGAGCTGAGATTGTGCCATTGCACTCCTGCCTGGGCGACACAGCAAGACTCTGTCTCAAAAAAAAAAAAAAAAAAAAGAAGCGAAAGAAAAAAGAAAAATCCACAAAAATGTTGATCATATAACATTTTTCCTCTGAACATTGTTATGTCTGGAATGGTGCCAAAACTGCTAACTCTATACTGCTTCAAGTCTAAGGAGGTAGCAGTATCAACTAGTCTTGAAATTTATACTGTCTCTGTTCTTCCTCTATGGGAGATTTTTTTTAAATGGCTTAAACAGGTTTGACTCAGGATTTTAGTTTCTTGCAGCTGAAAACATCTTACCTCAAACAATAGACTATTGCAAGACTGTGTGTTATATTAGCCAAGTTAAAGTCAATATTAGCCAAGTTAACGTCAATATATTTCCTTTATTTGAAACAAACAAGAAATCCACTTTGATACTTTCATGCTTTATCTATATTTATAAAAATAGGTGAACTTTTAAAAATCAGAATTCCAAGGCAGTTTTCTTAAGTGAAATGTTTGGCATATTGCCCAAGATTTTGATACATGATACCTGTCCTAATTGTCCCTTTGAATGTCCCAGATAAAACTACATTTCTTAGAGACAAGTTAAAAGGTCTAGATTTTTTTTTCCTTGTGACTTTTTATTCTTTGTTAAGAAATAGCTCTCAGCAAGAATATTGGGCTTTAGTGGGGAAGGTACATTTCTAATTTTTGTAACTTTATGTATTAATACTACTCAGATAAATGGTATACTACACAGGCTTGGGGAACACATTTAAAAGGCATTTTGGGTTTTAGCTGAGAATACTTTTAGAATATAAAATGCAATGTATTTTGCATTTCCTGAAATAAATAAAACAGAGCTGTACAAAATATACAGTGCAGCCCTTTGGAAAAAGAGATATCCTAGCTCAGGGCAAGCCGTTTGATGGAAATAGCATTTTCTCCAAGCAGATGGGGCTGGCTCCACTTAGTCCTGCAGAGGGCCAGGGGGACTTGTTTGTGTGCAGAGCCTTGGTCTAATGCCAGGAGAGCCAGCTTGTAAAGTTATTCCCATAGGGCTCATTCCCGTCTGCCCAGCATCACCCCTGACACAAACAAAACAGCCACGGGCCTCCTTCATTTCTTTAAGATGAATGAATGCTGCCGTAAAGAAGGACTTTTATTGAACTGTGTGACATGATGCAGAAAGAATGCTGTAGTGAAACACAAAACTATATGTTATAAACGTCAACATAAGAGAAGTAGTTTGGGGTGCATTTTCTGATGTCTACCTTACTATAAGATGTTTTGACGGATAAGTTATAGTAGTAAAAGGCTGTCTCCATAGTATTGGAAATACCTGCTGGATTTTTCTGAGGTCGTCTTGGTTGTAAGGACAGAAATACATTCAGGCTAGCACACAGCTGAGACGTTAAGTGAAACATAAGCTCACGCAAATCTGAGAGTGGGAACCAGGGGACAGGGCCTAGCAGTGCTGGGAGCTTGAGGCTTTATTCTGGATCCAGAGCTGCTATCTGGGGCCCAGAGCAGCAGGTGCTTCTGGATCTTGCACTCAAAGGCTGTGAGTGGATGTGGCCCAGCCACCGTCTGCTTGGGTGTGCTGCCGCCAGCTGGCTTCCAGCCTTCTGCTCTGTTTCATCACCTTGCAGTCTCCACCCCCTCACCATTTCTAGTTTCTCTTAATGCTCTCCATGCATCTCTGGCTCATTGCAGTCCCTCTAAACCATTTACTCCCTCTTATCCTTACAGCTTCTCTTCTTGCACCTCACCCTCTCATTCCCTCAGTATTTTCTAGTTCAGCCCCCTAAGGAGACAGACAGGCTTATGGCCCAGATTGTCTTTGTGCTCTGGGCCATGTCACTGTCCCTGACCCTCCCTGGTCCAGGTGGCAGTAGCTGGCAAGCCATAGGGGTTCAGTGGGACAGAGAGTAGTCAGCCAAGGCAGCTTCCTTCAGCAAGAGCTTTGGACATAGACCTGATTGACACATCTGGTTCAACCAAATATTACAAAATAGTTTGGGTGTAACCCTCTGATGCCATTTTATGATAGACACTTTAAGATAGATGGTTTAGGTCAGGTGTGGTGGCTTATGCCTGTAATCCCAGCACTTTGGGAGGCCTAGGTGGGTGTGTCATCTGAAATCAGGAGTTAGAGACCAGCCTGGCCAACATGGTGAAACCCCATCTCTACTAAAAATACAAAAATTAGCCAGGCATGGTCATGGGTACCTGTAATTTCAGCTACTTGGGAGGCTGAGGCAGATGAATTGCTTGAACCTGGGAGGCAGAGGTTGCAGTGAGCCGAGATCATGTCACTGCACCCAGCCTGGGTGACAGAGACTCCATCTAAAAAAAAACAAAAACAAAAACAAAAAAAAGAAAAAAAGATAGCGTCAGTCCTAATTCAGGATCTAAGATCTAGATATATAACCAGGAGTAAGCATTACACTTAAACTCTTCATGCCAGAGTCAGTGCCTCTGTCTTAGGATGTTTGTCATAAAAGGAGGGCATAGAGAAGAATGTTTTCCTTTGAGACAGAGGTGGTGAGATGAGAGAACTTAGCTTCAGCAGCCTGATGTTATCAGGTGTCGAGTGGGCTTTGTAGGAGAAAAGCGGGATCAGGATGATGGTGGTGTGCCGAGTATTAAATATTTGACTAAGTTGATTGGAATACGATAACAGCTTTAATTGGAAGAACCTAAGGACATGCCCATAAATGGTTCAATTTATGAAGCCCATTCATGGATCTATTTAGGAGGTTGAGTTCATGCAAACAATAACAGTAATTCTTGGGTCTCTACTATAGTAAGTCAAGCACTGAGCCAAGATCTTTCACTGGCCACCCCGTTTCATCCTCATGGCAGCCTTTTAGGACACTTAGGCTTGTTATCTCTATTTGACAACTGCAGAAATTAAGTTTTAGGGAGGCCAAGCAACTTTCTCAGGGTTGCAAGGTGATGACCTGGCTGAAATTTTGAATTTTGGTCTCTGCCTAATAGACAGACATAAAAATAGGACACTGGGTCTCATTTTTTCTGGTGCTGCTCTCATGCCACCTCCTTCCACCCAAGCAGCTTTTGCTTAGCAGTGACAATTCACCATCCAGCCTTTAGGGTTCTGTATAGTGGCTTAAGACAGGAATACTTGTCATGCGGTGCAGAACTTGCTGGGAAGAGCATCCAGGAGGGAAAGAGACACTTGGGGGCAGACACCAGAGCCTTGTAGGGTGTGCCAGTTGCCTGTTGTATGACAGTCTCCTAAGAGACTTTACTGGTGCAAGCTGGTGGCCCTACACACTACCAGGTCACACACAGTGCTCAGCTAGAAGGAGGGAGACGGTGAGGAGGTCATTCTGTTCCTTTTAACACTTCTGGAGGGTGTGTAGAGGTGTGCTCTCACAGTCAGGGCAGGTGAACCCTCAAATTTTATGAAGAGCTTAGGTGAGACAGGGGACATGTGTGAAAGCAGTCATGTCTAAAGTAGAAATTATTTCTGCATGCACCGGCAAAACATTAGCACCCATAAAAGTCTCTGCTTTTTATTGCTACTTCTTCACTGATGAGTGTTTGTGAGGAGAGGGTGCTTCCAACCGATGTTTGCATTAAAGGAATTTGTTAGGTCTAAGAACATACCAAATACAGTGTTCTCAAGGTTTGGAGCATTAAGCCTTCTTTAATTCAGAGTTTTGTCAACGTGTTGCAACAACCTATGAATCAGAGGATGACAGTTTGAATCCTTGACTCTTCAGCAGTTTCCATGAGGTAGAAGAAACTGCTCCACCTTCTCTCAGAGGACCTGAGAGACACTCTTCGTTTACTACAGCTCGAGAGGTTTGTTGTTTGGTCCCTTGGAGCTGGAAGAGGTGAATGAGGCAGACTGGAAAAATAAAACAGTTATTATACAATACACTTGGATGGAAATTTAATTGTGTTTAGACATGAACAAACTTTTTTAAAAGGCAGATACAAAGTTATTATGCTTTTCAAATCTTTAGAATGTATTTTTGAAGATTCTCCTTCTCTTCAACCTTTAAATAAGAACCAGTAGAAATAGTGCAACTTTTTGAGAAAACAATGGTTAGTATTCCCCTGATATCACAGCCAGCTTATTTAGCAAGCAAGTAATTCCCAGGGCTGTGGTGACTTCATCAATGCATCTGATGCACAAACGAAAACATCCTTCACTTCTGTCCAAAAAATAAAACGATTATTATACTTTTATGTTGATAATAAAGTCAGCCATCAGTACTGTTTTGTGTGTGTGTGTGTGTGTGTGTGTATGTATGTCCCCAGGCCTTGAGGATTACTTGATTTGTTGTTAAATCCTAACCAGAAGCTTTGGATTTAAAGGAAGGAATACTGTATACACAAAATGCATGAGGCTTTTTTCTTTTGATTGGTAGCAATGATATACTACATATGTTATATCATATCAGTATATTGAAAAGTTCCCAATATTACAATATTTGAATAGAAAGTGATCTTGGCCTATCTAATGCAAGTGATAGGGCAGAATTTAAGTTAAACAGGATTCCTTTGATTCCTTCCAACAAACAATTATAAAATACAGAATTTGAAAAGGAGAAATGAAACAAACCAAAAATTCTATTGACCATGTGCTACTGTTAGTTCCAACTGTAGTTGGAGTAAGTTTCCACTGGGCGAGGCATAGAAATCGAAATACTTCTGAGGTTTAGATCTTACTTCTCTTATGCTGTCCTGTTGGCCTATGACTTAGCCAGGCTTGTGGAATGCCATGGCATATTCTCTGTCTTTAATTAAAAGAAGTTTTAATTGTGGTAAAAAAAAAACACACACATTACACAAAATTTACCATCTTAATCATTTTCAAGTATACAGTCCTGTACTGTTGGGTATGTTCACTTTATTGTGTAACAGCCATGCCATTTCTCTTACTTTTACATTTTTTAAAACCTTTTTTTTTTTGCCTGAAAGAAGTGGGGAATGAAAAGGGATTTTTCTAAAAGGTGCCTGCGTCTCCAAGGGAACTTATTTCTCAGCAGTATAACCTGTTGGGCCATGTAGATGAATCTGTTTGGGCAACCCTTCCCTTGAGATAATATTGTTCATGTGTGCGTTCCCCATAGAGCAACATCTATTCTGCTTTTGATGATTCTTACCTTGGGGCTGTGGATGAGGCTACACAAACAAAATTACCCCATAGTTCACCTCATCTTAGTCATGAAGACCTAGGCCTTGTTCATTCAGTATGCCCAAGTCAGCCACTGCATAATAAACTTGAAATATTTGGCTCTATTATTGATTGATCATATAGATAATGGCCCCAGATTCAATCAGCCATCCGAAATACTGCTGTGGTTGTGCTTGGTTTTTAATTTTTTTAAGTCATTTAAAACAGACATAGTCTTAAATGCTTTCTCTTGAAAATCTGATTTAATAGAGTCATTATAAAATTGCTAGGTGGTTTAGTTTTATTGGACTTTTATATTTGGTGGAGAATTTTCATTACAAAAATTACCTATTTTTTTTTCCAATGTTGGACTTTTTATGAGAAGAGGAAAGTGCTTATACAGATTTATATAATGAACAAAGGTGAGAGAGTTAAGTTTCTAATTTTCTGGAACAGTAAAAGATGGTTTATCCCCTATCTTTGCTCTGGTCATAGATGAGAGGATCCCTTCCACGTGAAATGCCCCAAATGAAGTGTGATAGTGATACTCGGTCATGGTTAGGGAGAGGTGATGCTTCCTGTGTCACTATACTGACAGCTGTGTGTCAGGACACCTCTGCGCCATTCGATAGGCTGTGATCCCTCTGGCCAGCCCACCAAGAGCAAACCTTAATCCAGTTGTGTTGTTAATCACACAGATATTTAGGGACTTGGCTTTACCTTCAACAGTCTTCCAAGGAGTTCTTAGTTCTAACATTTGCGTGATTTCAATAGCTGATGATAAACTCTCTGCAGGCATTTAGGGACGTCGCTTTACCTTCAATAGCCTTCCGAGGAGCTCGTAGTGCTAACATTTGCCTGATTTCAATAGCTGATGATAAACTCTGAGCAGATGAGGTCTCTTTTTTGAAGACCTGCCGATTTCCACATTTATCTTTGTTTCCTACAGATACTGTCTCCTGAATAATTCATATTTTTCTTAGTTTCCTTTCCTGGCTCCTTTCCTCTATCCATCCTTAAATGCTGCTGCATCTTGGCCATCTTCTTTTCTTTTACACTGTTCTTGGGCCATCTCTGCCACTTCTGTGGTGTCAGATACCACTAATAACATATGTATGTGTGTATACTTGGAACAGATAACATCACCTGAGTTCTAGGTCCCACGTATTCCATTGCTTCTTAGATATATTACAATTTCTAGTCACCATAGACACATAAGATTTCATATGTCCAATATAGAACTCATTAACTTTCCCTTCGCTTCCCTCCCTGAACCAAATATACCACATGAGTTCTCTTGTCTGTGTTCCTGATCTCTGTGAAAGCAGAAGTCTAGACGCCACCTTTGGCTCTTTCATTGCCGTTTTTCTGCATCTGTGTGGTAGTCTTTGTTAATGATGTTCCTGTTATTTCTGAAATTGTATAATAACATAGCATGGCATCTGTTGCTTCACATTTCACTTCCCATTCTGTGATTATAAAGAGGTCATTTTTGCAAGGATGTTCAAGGCCGTCATCAGCTTCTCAAGGATCCTCCAAGTCCTTTGGGAGACAGCCATGCAGTCCTCATCCCAGTTCACTTTAACCCCTTACTTGTTCGCTGGTCCCTCCCTTGTCAACAATGTTTTTGTGATTTGAGCAGTTTTTCAGCACTCCTTACATTGCCTTTATGAAATCTTATATCTTTGTAAGATTTGTGAATATTTTCATTGCATTTGCTTTCTATCCTTGAATACCTACCTCATTTGACCATCAGGAAGAGGCTGGGTGAGGGTGCTGGGTTGATGGGTGGAAGAGGCCCTTGCATGAGGCAGGGCTGTTTCAGTTGGAAGTCATTTCCTCAGTACTTAGCTCACCCCTGAGTGTTGCATTCTTAAGGCACCATTCGCTTCCCCACCCACTCTCTTAACCGTAGGTCTTGGATATTCACAGACAACGATCTCTTGCATATTACCTTTGAACTGTCCCTTATATATTTTGTTATATTTTTACTTTAGAGGCTATAAAGATTTTTCAATAGCAAAGGATGTGAAAACTTAGGGAGAGAGTGGACAACTTAGTTTGCTATCTCAGAGCACAACATAGTTTGCTTCCAGAAGGAGATATAGGGACATATCTCTGTTGATGAAACCGTTCTTAGAATTTGAAAAGCAATTTTATGCCTACCATTTTATTGGATTTGTTACTTCATTTTGGGTAGCTGGTGATGTTCTGCTGTTTATTATTATTATTATTATAATTGGAAGGGGTCTCACCTTGTCGCCCAGGCTGGAGTGCAGTGGCGTGATTTCGGCTCACTGCAACCTCCGTCTCCCAGGTTCCAAGTGATTCTCCTGCCTCAGCCTCTTGAGTAGCTGGGATTGCAGGCATGTGCCACCATGCCCGACAAATTTTTGTATTTTTAGTAGGGATGGGATTTCGCCATGTTGGCCAGGCTGGTCTCCAACTCCTGATCTCAGGTGATCTGCCCCCATCGGCCTCCCAAAGTGCTGGGATTACAGGCATGAGCCACCGCACCCAAGCTTATTATTTTCTTCATTGGTGGCTCCTACTAGTCAGCAACTGCTAACTTGTAGGGTAAGAAATTAACAGTAATAATAGGAATAACAGTAAGACAATTGAGTGTTTACCACATGCCAGGCAGTATGCTAAGTGCTTTCGTCACATTTGAGTGTACAAATTGACTGAATGAATCAGATCATCACTGCAAAGGATCATGAGTTAGCATGCTATAGCCCATTCTCTGTCCATCTAAGTTCTCAGACCACTTTTATGGGGCATTCAGTGAATGGAATCAGTTGTTAGGACTGCAGGAGTCCAGGAAGTTAACATGAATGGAGAAGACATTATATAAATGTGTCTAGAGACATGTTTGGAAGAATAAAGCTATTATGACATCCTTTGGCTATTCATTTGGGTTTAAGTCATATAGTAGTTGGTATAGGAAAATGGTCTTAAGAGACAAACTGGAGTATGTTTGTTTTCATCCTTCCTAAATCTCAGAGACAATCAGCTTTGGTAATTCCTGTGGATTTTTTCCATGCTTAAGAATGTGAGGAAAATATTTCCTATTTATACATTATATCAATTAAAGCCCTCAAAATGTCTCTGTTACACAAAATGCAACTAATAATGCCACAGCGATTTTCCCATTGTCATGTCACTAAATAAGTTGGCTTATGCAGGCTTACACAAATTGTCATTTTGCATGATTATAGTATTACAAGAAATTTTTGTGGCTTTAAAAACCTGCTGTAGACCATTTTGCTTTGCTTGGCTAGCCTTTAGGATAATAATGCCATTTACTAGACTTTGCTAAACCCCTAAAATAGCAAAGGTAGATAATTAAACTAAGCCACAGCTACTGCAATGGTTGTTTCTGTGCAATAGGGAGAAGACGGGAAGCTTGGTAATGTTTTGAGCAGAACCAGCTCATCATTGAAATGCTAAGAATGAGCTGGAAAAATATTTTAAAATAGGAATTATATAGTCAAAGCCAATGAAACTAACAGAAACTCCTAACAGTTGGTCTGGTGTTAGTCCACCCACCCTAAATTTGAGTTTAAAAGATGCTTTGGGACTAAGCATATGTTGGAAGGAGTTGATTTAAGCCAACAGGCCTCTGACTTACTTCGCTTAAGATAATGCACTCAATACAAACACCTCGTTTGGGGCACTCAGTCTAATTCTGTGGTTCATGGTTTAGAGAGCCATACTTTTGTAGTTCTCAGAGATAAATGTTTTGCTTGTTTATGACTCTAGGGAAGAGGATAATACATTTCTGAACAGCACCATCAGAGCTGATGAAGTCTCTACACTTTTGTTGTTTCTATTCTGGACAGGGTAAATTCTTCTGAAATTGCATAGATGATGGATCATCCTAAGATATCATCCTAAGATAATGCTGTGCTTGCCCCTTAGACTTGTGGGATGAAGGAATGTAGCCAGCGGCTTCATATAAACTTGCGCAATAGTATTACAGATCCTACTTTTCAGAACTGAGTACAGATGGGTTTGAGAATAGAATCTGGTAGAGAGATGGCCAAGGAAGCAGAAGTAGAATGCTGGTGTTAGTTAGGATTGGGTTTGGCCACATGTAAGCAAATACTTAATATAATGATGGCTTCAACAAGTTAGTTTATTTATTTATTTTTCATAAAAGAAATCCAAAGGCAGGCAGGTACGTAGGTAGGTAGGTAGGTAGTCCAGGATTGTTATGGTGGTTTCACCATGTGATCGGGGAACCAGGATCCTAGTTTTCCACTCTCAATCTTTATTACTAGGATCTTACCTTGTGGCTCAACATGGCTGCTACACTCCAGTCATCACACTACATCTGCATTCTAGCAAACTATAAGGAGGAAGTGACAAAAAGGATAATCTTTTCTTCCCTATGAGGAAGCTTCTAGGAAGTTACATATCTCTTTAGCAGAAACTTGGTCACCTTACCACACCCACTGCAGGAAAGGACAGAGAATGTAGGCTTTTAGCTGAGTAGCAGTATACCTCACTTAAAGTCCAGTTCTTACTACTATGTAATAAGAAACAAGTGAATATCAAGAGAAGAGTTGCAGACCCTGGCACAACTGCTAGATACTATACTGTTTATGCAAATATCAGAGCGGCACGAACTTTAAAAGATGGCATCATAAGTGTGGGTTATCTTTCTCACCATGGAGAAAAACAACATATATGTTGAAGCTCTTATTAGAATACAAATATTGGGTAGTTGATTGAAATTGCCCATTGAAACATTGATTCCCTCTTAGTAGTCTGACAGTCTTATGCAAGCCAAAAGGAAAGATGTAGCCCAGGAACAGAGAAACGGAAATGATTAAATGCCAGCTCCGTGACTTTTATAGCAGTTCATTCAGCTGCCTACCCACAAAGCACTTCCCAAGGAAGTTACAGCCAAGAATTCACTTGGCTGGGCTTGTCCATTTTTCATTCATTTCAATGACCATCTCCAGGAATAAAAAACATTCTGAAAGAAGAAAACCTATTGAAGGACTTGGGAAGTATGAACACAGTTTTCCTTTAAAAGAAAATTTTAAAAAGAAGTAGCTTTAAACCACCTATGTTTGATTAGGAATTTTAGGGTCCCGTTTTCCTCTGTGTGTTTGTGTTTGTGTATCTAAGTCACTACAAATATATACATATGTATTCAAGATCAAGTTATGAATTTCATAGAATTAGGAACTTTGTCGGTTTTCTTGTTTTAATGATGTTGAGTGAAAACAGAAAATAGGAGGACATTCTTTTAAAATAGCCTTGCCGAAAACCTGAAAAGGACTCTAGCATTCAATAAACAGTACATTTCTCCCTCATTGGGGGTCAATGAATGTTTAATGCATGGGGCAAGATTTTGGTCTGATCTGCAAAAAAAAAAGGAAAAAAAAATGGTAAATCACAGACACAGGTTTGCAACGACTTCTTGGATAGATCCCATAGCTCTCCAGTTGCTTTCAGGGATTTAAAAAGTTGGGTCCGGTTTTCTTCATGGCAGGTACCTTGATCACTTTGGAGGGTTCCCTTGGGGTAACACTTACTCAGCTTGAGGTAGGTGAGTGGGCAAGGTCAGAGCACTGCTTATGCTTGTGCATTGCTTGTGCCTCAGAGAATCTACTAGCAACAACCTCTAGTCTCTTACAGAAGTGTGGCTGGGCCAAGGAGCAGTTTCAGTATCTCAGGAAGGTCTGCGGTGATGTGTTCAAAGTTAGGGTAATTTGTGATCTACTGCCCTCGGTTTTGAACTTTAGCGAAAATTTGGAGGCAACAGGCAAACTTCCATTCCATATCCAGTCATACATGTAGTAAGTTTTATATTTTAGGTATTTTTTACTCTCTCATTTACTATTCACCCATTTTTGTAGTCTCCTCTCAATTCATTGTTCACTTCATTCTGTGTTTGTTGGAGTAGTTTATTTGCTTATCTCTAGTATTTTAGAAGTTTAGTGTAATTTAGAAAAGGAGGTTAGTACCAGCTAATGTGTGGCAAGCTTTTAGAGTATAGTCTTGTAGAAGGTTTTCTAGGCTTTAACTTATGCTGACAAGTTGTTTGCAAAAGTAACATAAGAATATATATATACTTTTCCATCATTATGGAGTTTATATTTTTAGCAGTAAAGTGGGGATTATGAAACTTCAGACTTATGGTATGGTGAAAAAAAAGAAAAAAAACTGAAGCCAGGGGTAATTTGCCACTGGTGTTGTGTTTCATGCCTATTCAAAAGAATCTGAAATTAACCCCCTCTATTTTTTTGTCTAAAAATGCACCACATTAGGAAGATTGTTTAGGATATTTTCACTCACTGCTTAAAAAAATGTAAGTGAACTGCTGCAAAGTGGTAGGTGGTTTCAAAAACCTTAAGCAATTGCTTCAAATTCTGTAGTCTTCTGAACCATCTGTTCATTTGCCAGGTATGGACAATTAGGGAAAGCCGTTTGAACCAATGTTGAAATAATTTAAAATCTCATTGGAAGTAAATGGCTAACAGCTTCCAAACGGTCTCATCATTGATTCCAGGAAATGCTGTAGTCATTTGAAAATGGCTTTGTTGTTAAAATATTTGACCATTTAGTATGCAAATCACCAGAATTAAATAATTTGCTTAACTAACAATAATTTAGATATTTCTCAAGTCATTTTTTTTCATCAGGATTTGCTAAACACTTAAAGTATACATAGAATTATACTGGACATTTTATGAAATAGAAAATGGAAACAAGGTCTTGCTCATGTGTTGGGTTATAGCATATTTAAGTTAGTTATGAGACATAACTGTAGAACAACTACAAAAACAGCCATATTTATTCATTCCTTTCTTCCTTTATTCACATATTATTTGCCGAGCACCTACTTCTGCATCATGAATGCTGGGTTACAGTGGTAACCTATAAATTAAGATGCTGTTCTCATAGATCTGTTATTCTGATTGGAGGAGACACATGGTGTAAACGTAAAAGAGTGAATGAATGAATGAATGAATGAATAAGATGTTTCAAATAGTAAGAATTCCTATGAAGAAAATAAAATGCTGTATGCTCCAGAGAGTAAGTGAGCAGAGAAGGGGGTGGGTGAACAAAGAAAGTGCCCTCTGATTCAGCCCAGGAGGCAGAGGCTGCAGTGAGCCAAGATCGCACCACTGCACTCCAGCCTGGGTGATAGAGTGAGACCACATCTCACAAAAAAAAAAAAAAGCTCTCTCTGATATTGGAAATGAGATTGGAACGACACAGGGAGCCGAGAGAGAGAGAGAGAGAGAGAGAGAGAGAGAGAGAGAGAGAGAGGGAGAGAGAGAACTGTAAACATGTAAGCATAAAGTAAGAAAAATCAGCGTGGGTTGGCTGCTTTATGGAAACTTTTTTTGAGTTATTTTGTGGTTGTGCCCACCACACTATACATCTTGATGTAGTTTGCATATATTTTTAAAGTGGGTTAGCATCATCAGCTAATGCTTATTGAACTGTCAGCAAATATTTATGGAGAGCCTCCTGTGCTCAAGAACCCTTATTAAGTGCAGAGCCCTGAATTATGAGTTACAAGGATTTTCAGAAGGTAGAATTCTAGGGTTTAAGGGAAATATTTCAAAGGAATTACAAATTAATTTGAAAAAACTCCAGGGCCTTCTTAGAGAAGCACTGTACATTCCAGACATAGCATCTAAAGCCAAAAGATTAAACCAGATGGGCAATCATTTTCTTTCTCATTACCCAACTAATGGGGACTGTGAAGATGGGCAGGGACTCATGTCTAGAGCCCACCTGAAGTCACAGTGGACCTAGAATGAAGTTAACGTCGCAGTTAAGATTTTCACCGGCTACTTTGCTTCCCCAGGATTTTATATTTTTTGAGGAAACGGAATGTCTCTGTCATACACAGAGAGGTGCTGACTTCCCTGCATGCCGTGTAGACACAGGAGGAGTGGTCACAGAGGGGACATGTGCCATCAGCCTTCTTCTTGAGCTAGTGGCACCCTTAAGGATGCAGGCGGGGAATATCAATATATTATTTTGGAAAAATCAGAAGCAAACATTGTATAAAGTTTAAACAGTGGCGACAGAAGGTGCTGGACACTTTAAAATGTTCTTGTGTGGATAAATATTTTGTATGGGAGAAAGCACAAGCTCTGAAAACAGCCAGACACATGGTTAGATGGATGACTTATCATCTTGGAGTCTGTGTCTACTCATCTTTAAGATCGTAGTAGTAACGATGATAGCTGTCATTTATTAAGCACCTGCTAGGCATTTAACGTACATTATAGCCATGCTGAGCTGGACGTTTTAATCTCTATTTTATAGCTGGAAAACAGGCTCAGAGTGAGTAGGCAACTTACCTCATGCCAGATATTTAGTATGTGGCAGACCTGGACTCAGACCCAGTTCCCTCTCTTCCAGGGTCTTCCCACCCACACTGCAGTGTCCCTTGCAGGCTTGTTCAGATTAGCAACCTTGAATGCTAAGTGCTGCTAAGCAGGCTCACAGAGAAGGACAACGATGAGGCATGTTCCCTCACTGCTTTTTCCTCCTACATCCCAGGACCTGGGATCACCTTGAGATTGTCTGTGAACAAAGAAATCAATATGACTCAATATAATTCTCTGTACAATTACATTTTAAAATTGACAGCCTCTTTCACTGTTGCTTCACCAAAAAATAAATAAATAAAACAAAAGCCTAGGAATTATGTTTATGTGTTTTCCAAATGAAGAAAAGAAATTTGGGATCCTAAAGAGTATATAAAATATGTTGATGTAGCATGTAAGTGGAAATGGCTAAAAGGTAACAGAACATAACCAATGTTGTAGGAATTTAAAATATTAGTGTCTTGTTTAATGACATAGATAACACACAACAATGGTGCTTTGCATGTGAAGTCCCATTATAGTATGATGAGTCTCAGTACAGGTATGGAAGCTGCTACTCAATATTAGGTTAATTTTGGTCTTCATCAAGACCTTTAAAGATGATTTCCTGGATTTTAGTTCTTATAATCACTGTTCTGCCTTCAGCAAGGACTTGGTAATGATAAATTGTTGGTGTAGATAAGTCATTGGCATGAAAGTTGATCTCAAACAGCTTCTTTCGGCATTTAATAATTACTGCAGTGAATTTTCACCTGAATGTGTAAGAACTGTCTCACCCTGAACTGTCAAATCTAGGAAATTATAAGATGAGACACTTCCAAATAACGAAAGACCTGATTCATATGACTCCCATGAGCTAACTTTTCTAAGAAGGAGTTTCTTTAATAAGATTTTATTTCAATTTAAGGTAATTTAAATCAAACTTTTTACATTCCTGGTCTTGATGCTAATGTAACTTACCAGAAATTGACTACGTGTCAGCGTTTTGATTCATATAGAATAGAAAGGAAGGACATAATGTTATATGAAACCAGCCAGGCACAGAAAGACAGCTACTTCATGATTTCACTCATATGTAGAATCTAAAAAAGCTGATCTCATAGAAGCAGAGAATAGAATAGCGGTTACCAGAGGCTGGAGAGGGGAAAGGGGTGGGCAAGCTGGGAAAAGGTTGGTCCGCTTATATAGGAAGAATAGTTTTGGGTTTTCTATTTCATAGTAGGGTGACTATAGCTGATATCAATGTATTGTATATTTCAAGATAGCTAACGAAGAAGATCTTGAAAGTTATGACCACAAAAAAATAAAGGTTTGAGGTGATGAACATGCTAATCACCCTGATTTGGTCATTATACAACGTATACATGTACCGGAACATCACACTGTACCCCATAAGCATGAACAATTATTATGTGTCAATTATAAACACGTTTTTTGAACTTGTCAAAAAAAAAAGAATAGAATGGGAAGCCGCTTTGTGTATTATTGGTATCAGAGGACATGAATCACACCTGTATAAAAGACATTCTTTTATGATGGAGGGATGCACTGTTTATTCCTAAATTACCAGGAGGTGTGGATTTGACTCATACTAAACCAAATCTATGAATTAATGTTTCCTAGAAAGTTGTCTCGAGATGGAAAAAAGGTGTCTATATAATACCTTAGTTTCTTTGTCAAATCATGCCTACCTTTCTGAGTTGCTTTGCACTATAGCATTATAAAGTTATCTAGTGAATCAAACAGTGTATATGCACATTTTAAGCATTCAGTATTGATACTTTTGTGCAGTATGAAGGTGGTTTCTTTCTTCCTAAGTTATCTGGGTAATTACATCAACTGGTCATTTGGTTTTTACTTTATAAATATCGGCTTAAGTAAAATAGCATAACAGTTGCTCAGAGAGTATTTACTTTACATCCACTTTTATTTTTCCTTTTATTCTCAGCAGCATGTCTAGTTTTTTTAGCCAAAGTCTAAAAATATCACTATAGTTCAGAAAATAATACCTCTTAAGTAGAACTAGCAAAAATATTTCTTCAGAGTTAAGAGGTCATCTCTTAATGCTAACAGGTTATGACATGAGCAGAACTGAGAATTACCCAGCTGACGTTGCTCCTTTAGCATAGAACAAAAGCATCTTTTCTGTGACTAATGTAAATCCCAAAAGTTAGTGTTTTTCAGGTATACAGAATAAAACTTGGGCAGTAATGACTGAATTGACGATATTGTCAGTCAGTGGTAATATCCTAGGTGACCGTAATCACAGGATTGGTTGGCAATCAATAACTGTATGTGTTTCTTGGAAGTTATCTGGGATGTGCTTCAGCAAAATAAGGGAGAAAATTAAGAAAGGAGGTGAGGAATTCAGGAAAAATCTATCTACAGATAGTGGTGAAATATTCCATTGAATGAATACACGCAATGGGGTTAAGAAGTCAAATAGTTTAACAGAAGGCTCTATGTTAAAAAACAGTGGTGCCATGTCCCACCCCTTCTCAGTTGATTTGCATGTAGTATTACAAAGTTATCTAATGAATCAAACAAGTGTATATGCACATTTTAAGCAATTCAGTATTGATACTTTTGTGCAATATGAAGGTGATTTTAGAACGCAGTGGGGTTAAAGGAGAACCAATAGCAACAGGGTTAAAGGGAGAGCCAGTTCAGATGACAGCAGGAGGAGTCAGGGCTCCTGGAGGGTGGACTCTGGAAAACTCAAGAAATATCCATTTAAATAAAGTGTTTAGAGATGTGGATGTCACTTTAGAAGAAAGTATTTTAAAGACTTAAAGCATGCTTTTTTTAAACATAAGGCCTTCTGCTGAACTATTTGACTTTTTAACCACATTACATGTATTAATTTAATGGAATGTTTCATTAAAAATAATACTGTGATTAAAAAAATTTAAACTGAGCTGGTAAGACTGGTGGAGGAAAAACTTTGCCATTCTTATTAAGGATGCTTGACTTTGGCCTGGGCCTTGGCATTTTCTAGGGATGCCTCAGGTATGGTGGAAAAAGTGTAGGCTGGGGACCCAAAGAGACTGATTGTCAGTCCTCTCCCTGCCCTACTAGTTGTGTGGCTGTAGATGATGGCAATGTTGTATTTCCTACACACCTGCTATGTACCTTGGGGGTTGGTGTTATCTTTATTTGATAAAAAAAAGGGAGCACCAGAAGCTCTGTGACCCCAGGCAAGTTATTTAAAACTTTCTGCATCTTCGTTTCTGACACAGATATGAGTAGTGCCTGTCTAATACCGTTGCTGTGATGGTCAGAGATGTACTCTATGGGCAGCAGCTAACCCAATGCCTGGATTATAAACACTAAACAAGTGCTTGTTATTGTTACTAAAGTGTATGGTTTCAGCCATCCTCCTGGCTAGGTATTTGACTTAGTTCCTCTCTTCTCTAAAAGATGAAAACAGTAATTCCAGACTTGTATTGGGGTGTACTTTAGGAGTATATATTGGAAGTTCTCTCAACTCTGTGATAAGAGGATCTAGCAGTCTAAGAAAAAAGATGAGACAACATCATCTACAGATACCATCTCAAACATGGTTTCTTCCAGAATTAAGATGTTATCTCTCATTGATGGTTAAGATGGAGCAATTGACATGTAAATATGATGCATTTTATTCTCCTGTTTAGTTTTTTGGTGAGATTATCAATCTCACTGGAAAACAAGAAGGGTCTGCAGATGTCTGGTAAGGAAAACATTAACATCAGTTGTACATTAGACATATTACTTGCTTTCCAGATCTTGTTAAGGTATCAGGAAATCCCTTTATCCTTTGGTATACAAAGTAGTACTTGAATTCTTGCAATATATTTTGTACTTCCTGTTGCAAAAGGGAAGATTTAACTAATTTTTTTCTACTAGGGATTTGTAGTAGGATATGAGAATAAATAAAGCAGTTTCATTGACTCACTTATGCAGCTGAAGTTTGTAAAAAACCTCACCTAGATATTTCAAGGAAGTAATAGCTAATTTTTTTATCCCCTTATGTATGAAACCTTTTAACATACATCATCTCCTACAATCCTCACAACAACTCTTAAGGATACTATCATAGTCAATGCGTGTTATTTTTGGTAATTACATTCTACACAGTCACCACAAACACTGAATAAGGGAACACTGAATTGTTGCTTCTAGTGAAATGCAGGATTAGTTTCCTGGGAGCCTCTGGCCACAATATTTTTGTCAATGGATCAACATGTTAACTTGTTTTATGTGTGTTTCTGTTTAAAGACACCTTACTTAATATTTATTTTTGATTAGTTAAAATTGAACTCATGGCCGTCAGCATGACTATTAATATTCTGTGACTGTATGAAGCTTAGCTAACACTTATATTTTCCTTGTAAGGCACATCACAGATTTCTTGTACTTAGGAACACTAGACAGCACTTCACCACTACCTTGGGAGGCATTTTAAACAGCGACATCACCGTCAAAAGCACAAAAATGTGAAAGACCTGACACTAAATAGACCGTAGAAGGCCAGGCACGATGGCTCATACCTGTAATCTCAGAAGTTTGGGAGGCCGAGGCGGGCAGATCGCCTGAGGTCAGGAGTTCAAGACCAGCCTGACCAACATGGTGAAACCCCTGCTCCACTAAAAATATAAAATTTAGCCGGGCGTGGTGGCAGGCTCCTGTAATCCCAGCTACTCGGGAGGCTGAGGCAGGAGAATTGCTTGAACCCAGGAGGTGGAGGTTGCAGTGAGCTGAGATTGTGCCACTGCACTTCAGCCTGGGCAAAGTGAGACTGTCTCAAAAAAAAAAGAAAAGAAAAAGAAAAAGAAAAAAGGACACTTGTTTATAGTATGAGAGCTGAGGCAGGAAGGCAGAGCATCGCCTGTTCAACAGCAGCTGGGAAGGACAACACTCTGCACATGACCAAGGAAGTACTGCAAGTATTGATTTGGGGGTTACAAATAAATTTCAGAGAGTAGGTGAATTTGTAAATGCAGAATCTGCAAATAATGAGGAATGACTTTATTACTGTATTATCATCGTTTTGTTTGTTTGTTTTTGAGATGGTCTTCTTTGGAGGGGTCTCACTCTGTTGCCCAGGCTGGAGTTCAGCAGTGTGATCACAGCTCCCTGCAGCCTGACCACCTGGGCTCAAGTGATCCTCCTGCCTTAGCCTCGTGAGTAGCTGGGACCACAGATGTGCCACCACATCCATCTAATTTTTTTGTTTATTTTTAGAGATGAGGTCTCTCTATGTAACCCAGGCTGGTCTTGAACTCCTGGGCTGAAGTGATCCTGCCAGAATTTTCAATTTCAAATAAAAAACTTAATTTGAGTGACTTGCCTAACTTCCACGCAGGTAATAGATGGGGAAACTGATGCCTATACTTTTGGACTTTCTTTGTTCAGGGTATGCCATCTACTGAAACACTCCCTTCCACCCAGATCTCAGGGGCTTACCACAGGTCAGCAGGGATGTGGGACTGCAGCAAGCCCTGCTCCATACAGTCATTCAGGGATTCAGGCACCTCTATCCCCCAGCCCTTCCCAGAATCCCCTGCATCCCGTCGGCTGACTCACAGGAAAGAGGGAGTGGCAAGGCCTGGATGTAGTTTGGGGACATTGCTGTACGTCTATCCATACTGCATTGCCCCCACTTACCTGCAAGGGAGCCTGCAGAATTTCTTTTCCTATGTGCCCAGGCAGAAAAAGGAGTGGGGTTTGGTGAGCATCGTGGCGTTTTCTTCCTTCCAGGAGCACATAATGATGTTTTAATCCCATTCTTATATTCCTTACGCCATTTTTCTGTGTCCCTTTGAGAAGTGTTCGAGACTTACAGCTTCTACCTGTTGGGATTCAATTTAAGAAAAGAGTGGAAGTGGAGGTTTTGTTTTCTATGCAGTAAGTTTCCTGAATTCCAGGGGAAATGAGCTGATTATTTTCTTATACTTAGCTGGATATTTCAACAGAGTCTTTTCCAAAATTGAAAGAGTTTTCTAAATGAAATGACTTGATTTAAAATTAAAATAGATGCAGAGATGTATTTTTCCCCCTCAATAAATTTTCTGAGTCAGGTTCTTGCCTCCCATAATTGAAGGCAACCATAATAACGAATTTGATTGCATGGCTTTTACTCTTACTTTTGAGGTAATTGCCAGATTGGCATCCACAGTAATTTGTATGTGAGAGGTGATCAGATGTGAACATTTCCATTCAGTCAACTCCCTGGAATTCAGACACATCACTGCTTCTGGTTTTAGAATTAGGACCAGTAATTGCAGCTGTGGGGTGAGCTGCGCATCTGAAATAGGCTGTGTTTCATGTGTGATAGTAATGTTATCAGACTTGCTTAGGGAGGCAGAGGTGAGCAGATTCCTATTCTTCTCCATATCCTAAAGTAGTAGTGGTAATAATAGTAGTAATAGCAAGAGCAGCAGCAGTTGTTGTTGTTGTTCTTATGAAAATACAGCAGGAAATGTGCAGATGGGGGTGGAGTTGGGGGTGCCCAGCTTCAGGATGTATTAAAACAAGCGTGGAGACAGAATGAAGACTGATGAAAGATTAAGATGAAAATATACAAGTTTCTTACTTTTACTTTTAATCCTAAATTAGATACTGGGTTAATTTTTTCTTCAGTAGAAGTGGAAACACATTTTTCCTCTACTATGCAAAGAGAATAGTGGCTATTCTTCAGAGGATTTAAAAAAATCATGTGAATTAAAGGTTAACAAGCCATATGGCTGTGGATCTACGCTTCCTTCTGGAGCTGTCTTTTAAAGGGATATGTTTTCCAGCTTCCTTACTCTTATAAAAAGCACTTTCATTCTCCTGCTTGTTTTTAATTAGTTAATATGCATTTGTTGAACTTCCGCTGTGTTCACAGCATTGTAACAAGCACTTCTGGTGGATACTGAAGACATGACTAAGACATTTAGATCAATCCTACATATCTTGTAGGGATTTATAAAGTTGGTTGGCCAGTAACATCTTCATGCTGCAATCCTGTTACCATTGTTTTAGACATACTGTGTTTGATATCCGTAAGAGAGAGAAAACTGCTGAGAGTTATAATCTGCTTTTTTTCAAGTTCTGACTTGCAATTTATTCTGATTTCTTTTAGATTTGGCCTAGTTTCTTTGAGGCTTGGGCCTGAGGTCCATGCTAATTTATATGATTGATGAGCTGTCTTTCATTTTGTGCTGTTGACAGAAAAGGAAAATTAACCTCAAATCTAGTCGTGATAATGAGGCCACAGCTTAACTCACTCACATGTCCTGGGGGTCAGTTTCTTTCTCTGTCTGTTGTCCAGTCATGCGCAGGCAGGTGGCACATTAGTACCTGGGCAAAGAAACTCTTCCCCTGGGGATTTGTCCTTGAGGACAATAGACTTTTTTTTTTTCACTTTCACCTACCCTTTAGGGGCTGTGAACTTGGTACGGAGATTTAAAAGAAAACCCTAAATGCTTTGCTGTAGAGTATTCAAGATATAAACACACTAATATTTGACTGGAGTCTTGGTGTTACCATGACTCTTTCCCTTTATTAAGAAAGGAAACCATTTTTAAATGGTAGAAAAACTCAATATCCAGCCATATTCCAGAAGGAAGAGAATTCATCTGTACATATGAATTGCTTATGAGGTCTTGTGGTTATTTCTTTTCTTCTTTTTCTTCTTCTTTCACTGCTTCTCTTGAATGGCCCTGGTTTCTGTAGACCTGGACGATGTGTGATTGGGTGACAGCTCCAATCTGTTAACATCTCATGGTGTAGGATCGTACAGAAGATGAAGATTAAATATTGTTTTAATATGCCCTTTCCTTAGCTGTCAGCAGCTTTAGTGATTCACAAATAGCTTGTGGTTTATAAATATTAAATCAAGGATTCATTATGGGGAGGCGTCAGTGTGACTAACCAAACCCCAAACCCCAGGGATCTAGCTATCACGATGCCATTTGTGATGAGAAATTCAGGGCTGAAAAATAGTTTCTATTCTCCTTAGACATTTAAAAACACATGGGAAATATTCTGTTATTATCATAAAGTAGTCTGGAATCTACGTTAAGAAGACTCTGTTAATAACCTTGAATCAACACTCTCGAGCATTTTATGGTGAAGAAGGCAATATAATAATACAACATTTACCTGGGGCGGTTAGACTTTTAACACCTTATTCTTTGAATTTGTAGAGACAAGAAAATGAAACACAGTAAAAATAACTAAGCACTGAGTAAAACAGTTGTTACAAAACCCATACATTCCTAGTTAGTAGAAGTCTTACAGAAACACCCTTAGACCTTATAACTAGGGCCCATTTTGTTATAATTCTTCTATGAAAACAGCAATTCTGGTTTGATAAGTTTGATTCTCAATTTTTCCCTTGAAACTCTTAATTCAAGTTTATATGGACAACATATTATATGACACATCTCACCTTGAGATGAGACAATTGAGCAGCAGACAGCAGAATCACTAACAATAATGACATCGAGATCTTGGATCCCTTATTGAATGGGTGAGTAACTCTGCACATCTCACCACCCCTGAAGGCATTCTCGTACTATATTGTCCAGGATAGTGACAGATTTTTATAAAGATGACCCCAAGACACGAAGGAGATATTAAATTATGCTCAGCCTACTGGGGAAATGTATTGTTCTTTTTTAAGAGCCCGCCACTGAAATATTTTTTAAAGGCCTTGGTGTTCTAGGAAGAAAGCTTCATTATTGGGTAATTCACATGTGTGAAGCCCATATCATCTAACAGAGCTGGATATAAGAAGCATTGGAATATTTTCTAGATGAAATGTAACACTACCCCTGCTTTCCATATTTGCATTTATTAAGTATGTTTGGTCCAAATAATTACTATGTCACTGTTATTTTATTATTACTGTGATCTCCTCTTTAGTTTTATTTTCCTCTTAACATCTGTCTTTCCAAGACAGAGGCATGTCAGGAAGGAATGTAGACCATCTCCACGCCTCCTGGAATATGCCTTTGGCTGGGAGGTCCTGAATAAAACATTTAGCACTTACCAGCCAGTTTAAGGATGTGACTCCAGTCCCCGAGAAGTCCAAGTCTGTTTCAGAGCCTGCCTTGTCAGCCTCACGTCAGCATGGCCCAGTCACTTCTCTGCTCCTGTCCTGGGTGCCTGGGAGAAGTCTCCAATCTCAGGGAGCCCTTGTAGCCTTGTCTACTTGACTCCCTATCTTAGTCCCCACCCGGGCTCTTCCAAGCCATTTCCACACTCCCCAAGCCCCCAGCCCTGAGCCTGATCCTGCCACTCTTAGTAAATAACATCACCTCTGGTTTGGAAGTTCTAATCTACCTGACATGAGCTGCTTCCTGCTTTTTATTCTCCCACTCCAAATTTCTGGAGTCCTTATTACCCTCTCTTCCCAGCTCAACAGAAGAGCCACCCTTTTCCTTTTCCAGGCTGGACGCAGCAGCCCTCTCCAGCACTCCACCACCCTGAACCATCAGCTTTCCCTTCTCTCTGGCCTGCCTGGCTCGCTCCTCTGCTCTCCTCTAGGGTGCCTCTCCCCCATTCCATTGCCTGAACCACCTGCCAAGCCACTGCTTCCCCCTGCCTTGCCCCTGCACTCACCTCCCACTCTGCCCTTTCTGTGTTGCCGTTGCCCCTGCCGCCTCTACTTTATAGATGCCTTCCCTCCGGGTCATTGTCTACTCCCAGGTCCCCCATCCTTCTGCTGTTTTGGAGTTCATCCTTCTTGCCTGCCGTCTTTATTTGGTGCTTCTGACCACCTTTTCCTTCTGGAACCCTCTTTCCTTGGAGCCCTTTGCTATTATCATAATTCTCACTATCCTTGCAAACCATTCTACCTTGCAAGGTAAGCTTCTACCCCGCCCCACCTCAAATATTTCAAGGAAATTGATGCCCTACAGATAGGCTAAGATTTCATTACCATTTTGCTTGTCTCTGTAGGTCCCGGGGGCACCCACATCTGAATTCTGGTGCCTGGGCTTCTTGATCCCTGGCCCAGTCTTTTTTCTAATGCCCACATTGCTTGCCAGGAACAGGTGGGCATTCATCTCAGTTCATTTCTCAGCTTTTTTCACTGTGCTTTTTCCATTTACCCTTTCTTCTGTACCCATGACTTTAACTACCATCCTTATTAATACGACTTCCAAACTTATCTTTAGCTAGATCCTCCTCCTCCAGTCTTTATATCTGAGTTTTTATCAGGTACCTGATACCACACCAATGCCTTAGAATTAACACCCACATCAAATCACATTCATAAAGCATTTTGAGATTCACAAAGTGCTCCCACATTTTTTAGCTTATTTAGTCCTCATTATAATTTAGAGAGGACGTTATTATCAGCCACCTTTTTAAGATGAAGCAATTGAAGCTCGGAAAAGTTACAGGATTGCTCAGAATGACACATGGAGAAAAACAAGAGGGTTGGGTTTGTGAGCTGTAATCCCTTTGCTCTTTTCCTGCCCAGGCAGCCTGGGGTCTGTTCCCAGGCTAGTTCAAGGCTGAAATTGCCATTGTCCCTCCTCTCGTCTCCTTGATAACAGTAATAAAATAACAGAAACAAGGTGCAAGCCATTAGCAGCCTCAGACTGGTGCTGGTATGGGAACGTCTTAGCTGCAGAGACCCCGTCTCCATCATCACTGGACCCCTGAACACAGGGTCTGTTATATAGGAGTTCATTTAAGAAGCATCTGCTGGTTTGGATTGAATTGTTTAGTGTTGAGTTCTTGTCTAATGCACCCAGACTTACAGCCTTACGGTCAGTCACGTTGGAGTCCCTCCTTACTGTTCTTCACTAAATGCATAAGTCCGATATATTTTTCCTTTTTCAATGCTGCGGGCATTTCTATGTTGCTCCCACTTTCTGCTTCAGATACCATACTCTGGTCCTCATGTTGACATGTCTCTTGTACTGTGCCTGTAGCCTCCTCCGTAGTCCTTAGGCTTCTGGCCTCTGGCTCCATGAGTGCCAGATACATCTCCTGAAAATACAGCTCTCTTCCTGGACTCAGACTTTTTCTTCGAGTGTGTGGGAATTTTAGAGATTGTCTGGCCCAGCCTCCAAGGAAAGAAAAATGTCAAAACACAGTCCCAGAGGGCCAGGCTCACCCCTGCGGGTGGGGAGCACCACTACCAACCAGGGGCTTCCTGACACCCAGTCCCGGGCTCCTGCCTCTGTGTCATTGTGCATCTTGTCAGTCCCTCCATCTGAAGTCTGCACCAATTCTCCCCAGCCAAAAATGAAGTCCAGGTTTCTTTGTCCAGCATTGAGGCCCTCTCCATGACCCAGTTCTAACATGTTGTTCGAATTATCGCTCACTAATCCCTAAATCGATGTCCCAGCCAAAGTGCCCCACTCACTGTTCTCCAGCAAGCCCACTGCTCTCTGGCCTCCTTGCCTTTTGTAGATAATCCTCTCTGTGCAGAATCCCTTCATCATCTTCCTCTCATGCCATCCTTTCCAAGGAAAATTTCCTGATTATTTGTAGTTGAAAAGAAAGGGACTCTCCCATCTCTGAGAGCCCCATAGCACTTTGCTTCTTTAGTCCGGACTTGACTTGGTCTGACTTGCATTGTATTTATTTTTATTCTCGTCTTATCTCCCTACTGATTCTAACCATCTTTAGATCAAGCAAGAATTTCATTTGTTCACCATTGGTATCCCTTAGCATCCAGCATAGTAGATCTGCTTGGCTTGGGGCTGGTACCAATTTGGTGATGGGTAGTTGAAGACATGACAGAGAGACGGTGCTGTGGAGGGCTTGGGCCCACATTTTGGGAGCGTTGGATTTAGTTCATCTCCAAAAGAACTCTAGGATTTGGGCTCCACTGAGTTAAAATTAGGTTAAAGTTTTGAAAACATCATAGAGATGTTGAGGGGGAGAAATGCTTTGCTTCTGCCATTTCTTGCCCCACCCACAGTGGTTGCTCAGTGGTGAGAATCCATCAGCTTTTATTGCAGTCACACCCTTATGGCTGGTTCTGTGCTTTCTTGGGAGAAACGAGTGTTGGTGTTCCAGGAAGGTGTATTATAGTTCACAAATACTGCGGATATGATGAAATGAATAGACATCGCCAGGGCTGCAGACTTCTCTTCACGTATGTAAATGTCATCCATTTGTCTACTTATACGACATAGATTTACATGGAAAAAAATATGCCTAACCAAAGGGAAAACTCACTGATTTAAAAATACATATGCACTCTAAATCTGTTAGCTTTGGTGTTAAGTGAGGTCAATGTTAAGCAGAATATGTGTGAATCTGCAATAATAATTAATGCATTATGTATGATAGGTTGTATTGTCCAGATTTGTTTTTTGCAATTGGCAAACAGAGGCTCACTTGAACTTGGCTTTTCCTGGCGAGGTTTTTGTGCTCTTCTCTTCTACTCCTTTACTTATTAATGTGCTGCAGGAAACTTACTGGACGTGAGAGTTTGCATTGTTCTTACCTCTGTAATGCGGGAAGATGAAAGGATGTAATTGGTCTTCACCAAAATTTATTGCTCCCAGGCAGTTTGATACCAGCAACTTACACTGTGTCGGTATGTTGCCAATAATTCAACATTTTCACTCATTTTCTTCAGTCATCTCAAGAACCAAATTAACCAGACAAGTTGTACAATTTAGTTATGAAGCAAACCAAAAAGCAGACCAATTACCAATCATTTGCTGTCTAAGTTCTGGGAATATAGCCTAGACACAGGATGTAAGTTGAATTATGTTATTTCAGCGTCAGACCCTGGAGAAATATAATTTTCAGAATATTATTTGTCTGGGGCCTAGACTCTAGGCTACTTCCCTCCAGGAGAAATAAAATTAGAGCTTCATATGTATTTAAAAATTTTCTGGTAGCTGTGTTAAAAATAGAAATAGCTGAAACTAATTTTAATAATATATTCTGTTCAACTCAATATATCAAAAGTATTATCATTTCAACATGTACGCACTATTTTAAAAATAATTGGCCAGGCACGGTGGCTCACACCTGGAATCCCAGCACTTTGGGAGGCCAAGGCAGGCAGATCATCTGAGGTCAGGAGTTCGAGACCAGCCTGGCCAACATGGCGAAACCCCATCTCTACTAAAAATACAAAACTTATCCGGGCGTGGTGGCATGCGCCTGTAGTCCCAGCTACTCGGGAGGCTGAGGCAGGGAGAATTGGTTAAACCCAGGAGGTGGAGGTTGCAGTGAGCCGAGATCGCGTCACTGCACTCCAGCCTGGGCTACAGGTGAGACTCCATCTCTAAAAAAATAATAATTTTAAAATAAATAAATAAAATTAATTGATGCGATATCTTACCTTTTTGCTGTTGTTTTACTGACTCTTTGGAATCTGGAGTGTATTTTACACCCCTCAATTTGGGTTAGCTACAATACATTCCAAGTGTACCCTGGTCGCAAATGCATGGTGGCTGCCATATTGGACAGCACAGGTTTAGACTGGTTGGGATGTGATTGTCTGAGAAGGAAAACAGGTAAAGGAACAATTGTATCATTACCCTTAAAAAGGGGACAGCAAACATTTTCAGTAATGGGCAAATTGTAAATATTTAGGTTTTATGGGCTGTGTGGTCTCTGTTGCTCTGCTGTCATAGCACAAAAGTAGCCATAGACAATGGCTGTGTTCCAAAACTTTATGTACAAAAACAGAAGGCGGGTGAATTTGACTTGCATGCTGTAGTTTGTCTACCCTGTTCTTAACTTTAAAATACATTGCTCTCTCATAGAAATCAAAATAACTTTGGTTTGGAATTGTTTGTATTTTTAATAATTGTGTATTTAGAAACCATCAATACAGTAAATGATAGCCTCTGTCATTTATTTCCTCTCTTATAAAGTGATGGGTGATTCTTACTATGTTTTAAGTGTTGTTTGTTGGTTGGTTTAGAAAATGAAAGTGTTTTTACATCACTATTGATTACCACTTTTCTCTTTTTTTCCCCTTCTACTCTTCATCCCTTCTGGCTGGAATAACATGTCTGGATGGTTTGGCTACTGTATTCCTACTCATATTATTCTGTTACAATAGGTAAGACCCTTTTCTTTCCTTTTGAATTATTATTCTGCCTAATGTTATAATATTAATATGTATGGTTTTGCTTTTAATAAGTGTTCAAGGAAATAGCATGGCATAGTTTCCATAAATTTATTCTAAATTAAATTATTTTCAGCTACAAGGAAATGTCATTGGTACAGAGTATAAGTGGAGATAGATTCCAGTCAACTGTGGAATATCCTCTTAAAATATTTTATAAAACATGGTTTACACTCAATACACAATAAAAAAATAGATATGTGCAGGATTTTACTGTCTTATTTTTTTCATTCTCAAATCGGATATAAGACAGACATAAACCCATACACGCCTTTATGTTTGTTAATGTGGTTATGTTTAAACATTTTTTTGAGCTTTTTCTCACATTAGAAGCGCTGGCAAGAGATGTTTCTTTGTGTTATAGCCTTGGGTAGCATGCTGGTATATAGTCTGTGAAGCCAGGAGAGTAACTATATAATGAATTGACCATTAGGTTATGTAATGGGGATGACTATCTTTATAGCCTTGGGTAGCATGCTGGTATATAGTCTGTGAAGCCAGGAGAGTAACTATATAATGAATTGACCATTTGGTTATGTAATGGGGATGACTATCTTCAGATTTATTTTGACAACTTGATGCGAACCAATGGTAGACCCGCTCATCAGGGTGTAATAGGAACATTTAATGAAAGAAGATATAATGAAGATCTTTAGGTCTCTTCTTGTCATGTAATTTTATTGTGTCTGAAAAAAAAATTATTTTAAGATTTGTTCTCCACCATTTAAAACAACAACAGCAACATCACCCTGAACCCCTCCAGGGTGAGGTCTGACTGGTTCCACTGCTCCTCCCATGGGTGACACAGTGACCACTGATAGAATCCTCCCCACTCTTCCCCAGAAACACTTTACCCCTTTACCTGTCCCTCTGTCCCTCTGTGGCTGTTACACATTACGAGGAAGAAACAGTGCTCTGAAAAGAGTCCCCTCAGCTTTTCTCTTCTCTCTCTAAAAGACCTTCTTTCTCTTAATTCGCTTTCTCTTTCTTTCTAATTTCATGGAAAAAAATAATCCATCTTTCAGAAGCTGAACTTTGCCCTTGTCACTCCCGCCTCCCTCCTCTGACTTCCTCTGGTACCTATTTCATCAGTTAAGTCTCGCCCTGTGGCATTTGATGTTTTTTCTTCTCCAGCAGATCCCTGAGCCCAGAGTCCAGCCTGCAGACATCACAGGGCTTCCTTGTGCCTGAGAGGGACAGAGAATATCCCCTCCCCTTGCTCCTTTGTCCTTCCTTTCCTCACCACTTGTCTGAAGAGATGTTATCACCTCCTTTTCCTTCCACTCCTGACTCCCTGCCCCTGCCGCAGCCTTTCCACTAGCCATGTCCTCCCAGACACCGAATTCAGTGGCGCCTTCTCAACCTCGGCCTCAGGCCTCTGCAGCATCTTCCTCCCTCTGCCCTTTGGCCTCCTTCCCTGTTCTCCTCTGGTTTGCCTTCTCCCTTTCTGACTTCACCTTACTTTTGTTCTTCTTGGGCTTCTTCACTTGTTCCCAGTCCCCGAATGCAGGTGTTCTTGAAAGCCCTCCTTGTGATCTTTCCTCCTGTCCTCATTGACTCCTGAGCCACCCCTAACTCTTCTCTCTCATCTGCACTGCAGCCCACACTTCCAGTGCCTGCCTGGGAGTGCTTTGCATGGAATATACCCCAGACACATCCATCACCTTCCTTCCTCCTGTTAGGGCCATGGTCATTCCCTTGGTCTTTTCCTCACCTGTCCCAGCTGTCATTTGCGAAGGCTTAGATCTGCCTCAGCCCTGACTTTTCCATTCCCTTCTCCATAACCAGTGTGGCCTTTGCAGGGTCACTGCCAGATTCCCCGCTCGCCCCTTCACCCGTTGCTGTTAGATTCATCTTCATAAAGCTCTCATCCCATCCCTCTCCTGCTCCAGAAAGTGTCCTTGACTTTTCATCACTACTTAGATTAGTGCCTGACACATAGTAAGTACTCAGTCAATACTAATTTTCCTCCTTCTCTTCTTCCTCATCATTTGTATTCTCAAATTCTTATTTTGCCATTTAAAACTTTCTGTGATCTAGACCAACCTTCTTTTTGACTTTATTTCCCACCAGTGGAAATAGAGTGGGAAAGACAGAACTGCAGGTAGTTCCTCCCCAGGGTGGTAAATGGGGGCCATAGGAGATGAGGCTGGCGAGGGGGCACTGGGGACAGATCAGGGAGGGGGGCTGTATCAGGTTTTAGAACTTCATCCTGTGGGTGCCATGAAGGATTTCAAATAGAGGTGTGATATGCCTGTGTGGTCATCAATACAGACCACTCATCCTGCTGACACATTGTCTGTCCCCTCTCCTGTGTCCCTATTGAAATCCTACCTTTTTATTTATTTATTTATTTATTTTTTGAGACAGAGTTTCACTCTTGTTGCCCAGGCTGGAGTGCAATGGCATGATCCTGGGTCACTGTAAACTCCACCTGCCCATTCAAGCGATTCTCCTGCCCCAGCCTCCTGAGTAGCTGGATTTACAGGCATGTGCCACCACGCCCAGCTAATTTTTGTATTTTTAGTAGAGACAGGGTTTCACCATGTTGGCCAGGCTGGTCTCGAACTCCTGACCTAGGTGATCTGCCCGTCTCGGCCTCTCAAACTGCTGGGATTACAGGCATGAGCCACAGTGCCTGGCCTGAAATCCTACTTTTAATCAAAGGTGGATTTGGAATGCCATCACTTTTAAGAAGTCTTCTGTTCTCTCTCCAGCTGGTAACAAGCATTCCCTCCTCAGAGTCTCCTCATTGCCGTGAGCATGTCCAGCTTTCCAGCTTGTAGTACATCTCCTTACGCCCCAGTCATATCTCCCTCCCCAACCTGCAGGGCCCCCGCCTGACACAGCCTCCAGGGCCATGCTCCACCTAGCATTGTGTCATGTGCTCTGCAGGTGCTCTGCAAGTGTTTGTTGGAATGTAAATGTGCCTAGATGTTTTTGAGTAGTTTCCTTTTTTTTTTTTTCGATTACACAGCAGATTTATTCAGGCTCACTATTTTTAGTGATGTTTTCATTATAATATTTAGCCTCGGTAATATTTGATCAATGTCAATAACATCTGTTTAACTAAAGGAAATAAAACTTTGCTGGGTCAATGAGAGGTCTACCAAGTTTGAATCGTTTCTCCCCAGGCAAGGAGGATACTCTGCCTGGTTCCTTCCTGTTCACCTGTTCTTTCTCATGCCTTTCCATATCAGGCTATTGTCTGAACAACTTTGGACCCATAACTTCTTCTGGGCATGGCAGCATACCAGGATGGATCTAGTAACCTTCATTTGACTTTTGAGGGAGGATAAGAAAGTAATTAGTTTTAGTTATTTGTTTCATTTTGCTGCACTTTGCTAATTCCTTCTGTGTGTGACACACACACACACATACACACATACATGCTGTAAAACATGATTTGTAGGCTGGGTGTGGTGGCTCATGCCTGCAATCCCAGCACTTTGGGAGGCTGAGGCGGGCCGATCACTTGAGGTCAAGAGTTCGAGACCAGCCTGGCCAACATGGCAAAAACCCATCTCTACTAAAAATACAAAAATTTTCTGGGCATGGTGGTGCAGGCCTGTAATCCCAGGTACTTGGGAGGCTGACGTAGGAGAATCACTTGAATCTGGGAGGCGGAGGTTGCAATGAGCCACGATCGCGTCACTGCACTCCAGCCTGGGCGACAGAGTGAGACCTCTGTCTCAAAAAACACAAACAAAACCATGATTTGTAGACCCTAGCAATGAAATGCCAGCTTGTGAGCTTTTTTTACTTTTATTTCTGTTTTTTGAGACGGAGTCTCGCTCTGTCGCCCAAGCTGGAGTGCAGTGGCGCGATCTCGGCTCGCTGAAAGCTCTGCCTCGCAGGTTCACGCCATTCTCCTGCCTCAGCCTCCCGAGTAGCTGGGACTACAGGCACCCGCCACGACGCCTGGCTAATTTTTTGTATATTTGAGTAGAGACGGGGTTTCACCGTGTTAGCAAGGATGGTCTTGATCTTCTGACCTCGTGATCCGCCCGCCTCGGCCTCCCAAAGTGCTGGGATTACAGGCGTGAGCCACTGCGCCCGGCCCTTCGCTTTTATTTCTAAGGCATGGAAGGATGGCAGATATTTGAGCGAAAACATCCCCAGTTTTAGTGTATTCGTTAAACACATACGAAATAAAGATACAAGTGTTTACAAGCGAGGAAGATGACAATTGGTTTATGCTATAAACATTCTCCCAGGACAAACTTGCTGGGTTTGTTTCCCCTGTCAGTAAGAAAACCAGCACTGGTGGACTCCCTCCACCGTCATGGCCTTCCTGAGAAGAGAGAGAGGATGGCCGTTTTCAGGGGATGGATGAGTCACGGCTGGGCGGTGAGAACTTCTCAGCGGGTCACAGTCAGGCTTCGGCAGCTCGGCAGGTGAGGGAGCACCCACTAAGAGAGTAATCGTGGTAAAGGAAGGAAATGCACTCAGACATCTTGGCGCCCTGGGAGAGGCAATTCCCTTCCCACTTTACTCCCTAAAACAGCCCTCTGGGAACCACATTCGCGAGCTTGCCGTGGGATCACGCACGCCGTGACTACAAAATGTAAAGCAATAGAACACACAGAACACACTGGAGCATTAATCTGAGGTTCTTAAATGCCATTATGCATTATTTATACTTCCTGATACGATAATATATCGCAAATGAATTTACATGAGAGAGATAATATTTCTGCTTTTCCCCTGATGATGGATTCAGAATGGATAAATTCCTTTATTTTATTTCAACCTGTCTTCTAAAATAGGCCAGCATGTTATAGAAATAGGCTTTTCTCTTTGAGGTGAGTGAAGTGGCTCAACTCAAGGAAATTTTTCTTTGGATAAAAGAGTTTTTTTTTTTTCTTAAATTGGCTTTCTAACTGTGTTACATTATCTGCTGATCAGCTTTGGAAATGTTAGAAATTTTGTCATTTAAAGCTCTGAGGTGAGATGAATAGAGCCACAAAGCTATAGGTAAATGATGAGAAAAAGATGAATTGTGGTATGTTTCTAAAGACTTACTCTGTTCCCTTTAACAGCATTTGGGGAAAATAACATGGGAGAGACAGCACAGTTTGATAATTATTTGTCACAGGAGTGCCCATTAGCCTACACTAATTTGATTGCTGTGAAAAAAACAGATTAAAATACTCTGTAGAAGGCAGAGTCATAACATTATTGAGTGTCCAGTAGGTTTCTTACTTATTTAATTCCCTGGATCCAGTCTCAGAAGTTGGCATTAATATCACCTTGTTTCACAGTGAAACAAACGGAAAAGCAGAGAGGTCAGGCAACTGACTTAAAAGCACAGAGCTCGTAAGAGAGGAGGGTGGGCTTTGAACACAGGCAGTCCAATGTCAGAGCTTGAACTCTTAACTATAATTCTATAATTACCGCCTCCCCATCCCAAAACAGCACTGGCCTAAGGCACACAGAATCCATAACTTCCCCTTTATGTTTACAGACAACTCTCAGTTACCTTAAATTGAAACATTACTTTTACAGCCATAGATAAATAGGAGTTGACTCTTTTCAACAGGAGGGCCAAAGGTACCTGGCATGGAAGATATCCTGTCCACAACCATAAATGTTTTGATGTTAGCAACATTGCAGATGATAGACAGGTGAAAGATAGATGAATGAATGGATGAATAAACACAACGATAGCTAGATGGATAGCGAGATGGATGAACAGACAGAAAGACAGATGAACAGGAAGAAAGAAAGGAAGATAGAAAGATGGACAGAAAGATAAATGGATGAAAGAAAGATGATAGAATAATAGATGAAAGAGAAAGAAGAAAGAAAAGAGAGAGAGAGAGAAAGAAAAAGAAAGAAAGAAAGGACATAGATGGACAGACAGAAGAAAGAAAGGAAGGAAGGAAGGGAAAGGAAGAAAGGAAGAAAGGAAGAAAGATGATAGATAGATAGATGGTTAGATCAATGGATAAACAGCTAAATAAATGGCAGTTCATAGATGTGGAAATACACTGGCTGTTAAAGTTCATGCTTTAAGCTTTGTATGTGTTAGGCTTTCATGTAAACAACATTTGCTGATGGGAACAGCAACGTAGGCACTCAGGAGATTTGTGGCTTGATACTACTGGTATTTTTACTGGAATGCATGTGTACCCGTAAGGCTGGTAATACAGGAGCTAACTTTTTTATTGTGCCACATTTTTTTCTGAATAATAACAGATGAGCAAAGTAAATCCTATTTTCCCATTAGATTCCAATATTTATTTAACTAAGTATTTATTGACTTGAGGAAATTCTCATCCTCCATGTAATAAAATCATGATGAAAAGTAATATCACACTTAAAATAAAAATAAAATAAAATCACACTTAAAATATTTTAAAAATAACTTGATTATAAGCAATACTGTAAAAATATTTGAAATATTAATAAAGTCTTAGGCTCAACCCAACAAATAACAGAAAATAAAGCCTCTACTTCCCAGGCCATACCGGGTTGGAGGCAAAAATTAAGTTGTACGTATAGTCTCAGAACAATTTCCCTGTCCCACCTGCTCTGGGGTAACAGGGTTCTGCACTGTTCCTGGTGTCCCTGAAGTCAACATCATGTCTTCTTGATCTTAATCCTCTGTTTTGGTCTATTCTCACGCTGCTATAAGGACATAGCCAAGACTGGGTAATTTAGAAAGGAAAGAGGTTTAATTGGCTCACAGTTCCCCAGGGCTGGGGAGGCCTCAGGAAGCTTACTATCATGGTGGAAGGGAAGCAAACAGGTCCTTCTTCACATGGTGGCAGCAAGGAGAAGTGCAGGGGAACTCCCCTTTACAAAACCATCAGATCTTGTGAGACGTATTCACTATCATGAAAACAGCACAGGAAAGACCTGCCCCCATGATTAAATTACCCCCCACTGAGTCCCTCCCACAACACTTGGGGAATTATGGTAGCTACAATTGAAGATGAGATTTGAGTGGGGACATAGTGAAACCATATCATCCTCACATATTCTGGTCCTGATGGCTGCTGTCTTCCAAGGCTCCAGCTTGCTGCAGTAACACCTCTGCTTGCAATGAATCTCTCTGGGCTTCAGGTTCCATGTCTGGAAATGGGCATCAGAACAGTGATGGTGACTGCTGCTGAGACTTAAATAATCAGACACTCTGACATTGCTGTCCTGTTTTTTCCTGAGAAAAGGAGACAAAACTTAGAGCTTTAAAATATTGAGGAGGGAAATAGACTATTTGGATTGGCATTGCTATCTGTTCCAAGAATGTTGTTTTTGACAGAAACGTTGAAAACTTTTAAAACAATGTTAAAACAATGGGTATTTAGGTGGTTAGCAAGTTATTTTTAACTCTTTACAATATTCCAGAAATGGTTTTGTGCATCACTTGCTATATTAGGTTTGCCTTCTAGTAACACCTCTAGTCCACCGTAGAATTCGTGCACACTTGCAGAGATCACCAGAAGATAAACTGCTACCTGTGGTTGAATTACTGAAGAGCAAGGACTTCCCTTGTGGACACGGATGTCAGCTCACATTTTGTTGGTAGCTTTACTACCCATCCTGATGATCCATCCATCTTGCGAGGCCTACAGTTTCTCTGATTCCCTTGGTTCTCCCTGCTTTTGCAAAATGAGTAAAGGACTGTGCTTTGGACTTTAATTTTTCTCATCTGTAAGGCATCCATGGTCTAGTGTTAAGGAGTATGGACTTTGGGTTATCCTGCCTGCCCCCAGCCCTGGCTTTGACACATACCAGCTCAGTGATCTCAGACAAGGTGCTTCTCTAAGCTTCAGGTGTCCCCATGGAGAATCAAATGAGATAATGTAAAGCTTCTATCACTTAGGTATGTCTGAGGGAAAGGGATAGTAGTTTACTAGCTTAGTACCAACTCCAGCTGCTTGGTACTCTGCTTGGTTTACAATCCTTCAGTATTCCTTGAAGGGGTGTTTCTTGGGGTGCTCTTGTGAGCTGAGTATTGTTCTACGGGCTAAGGGTGCAGTGATGAACCAGACCCCTACAGTTCCTGCCCTGGGATTAGAGTCAGCTTAGACCTTTTGTGAACAGATCTCACTGTCAGACCTGCTTTTGAGCTCAAGATTCTGTGATCTGGGTGTGACAGCTTCATGGGTACAGGGTTTTCTTTTGGAGTGATGCAAATGTCTTGGAACTTGATAGAGGTGGTGATGGCACTACTAAATGGCACTGAATGCACTAAATGGCACTGAACTGTACACTTTAAAATGGCTAGTTTTATGTTATGTGAATTTCACTTCAATGAAAAAAAAATGATTCTATGATCAACTCCCTGGCCTTCACTCCAAGCTGTGATTCATCCCGGGCCTGATTCATCCTGATCTTAGGTAATTTCTTCTCTGAAATTTTATTTCCCTTTATTTAGAAATGCCTTTGAAACTCATGGATCAAGGCCAGAAATTAGCCTATGTAATGTGTCATCAGCTATCTTGCAGAGTGTTTTGCACATGTAATGAGTTAATAATAATTAACTATATCTCCCAGGAATGCCTGCTTTCTACTTCTGCTTCCATTATTTGAGCCAGGGTGATGATTCTTTTCCCAGATACTCTTTGGAGGGCTCCCAGGGAAGGGAACAGAAGAGCTGAAAGTGCTGAAGGTGAACTTAGTTTCAGCTTGAGTTTCCTAGGGCTGCCCTGCCACAAAAAGTGTAGGTCTTTGCGTTAAAACTCTGCTAAAGGCAGAACAGAAAAATAGCAGGGGCTCTAACAGAAGGCCCCCCAACCTTGTGCCAATGTTCTCCTTTCTCTACACTCCCCTGAGCTAGAACAGTTACAATCATTTCCCATAAAACTAAACAGCTGTGTGTCTGTCCTATTGACAAAGCGTGCTTGAGGGCCATTCAGGTGGCATGGCTGAAGCAGGTGTGAGAGAAAGCTTGATTGAGTTAGTTGTCTTAAAGGGACACAAGTCCACCATTCTAATGGGAAATCCATTTGATTCAGGCATTTGGCATGAGTCTGAATGCCTGAAAAAGAATGCCTTGGAGAAAGTCTGAAACAGACATTTGTCTCCTCGTGGCTGGTATGGCTGTCTCAGATTCAGTCAATTCTGTGGGGCTTTTCTATTCCATTTTTTGCTCTGTGGTGAGAACGCATGGTGTGGGGTGGGGGGCAGAAACAGAGGGTGGGGGGGAATGAGTGACAGAAAGAGAATTAATGACTGAGGAAAAAAAGAGTTTATATTCGGCTGGATATGATTTATGCTAATAGAATCAAAACAGTACATAGGAGAATGTTGTCCATACTTAATGGTAGTAAATAAATCAGTTAGAAATAAGGCATTTAAGTGCTTATGCAATGTAGACCAGAAAGACTGAAAAACTACTGGCTCAGGCGCTGACTCAAATATTTAACTTCTAGTTTTTTGTCTCAATAGCACCAGATAATTTATTATAGGAGGTTTGAGAAATTCCACTCTTTCCCCTTATTTTCTTCAAAAAGTATAATGAACTTTGTGGAATATCAGTTGGTTGTAGATATGTGGCTTTATTTCTGGGTTCTCTGTTCTGTTACATTTATCTGTGTGTCTATTTTTATACCAGTACCATGCTGTTTTGGTTACTATAGCCTTGTAGTGTAGTTTGGAGTTAGGTAGTATGATGCCTACAGAAAAAAAAATACACAAAATTCAAAACCCAGTACAAAATTTAATGTAAAAAAATGTAGTTCGATATTCACTTAAATCACCCAGATGCTGTTTTGCCTCCTAGTGCAGGATTTTTTAAACTTGGGTTAATGAGCATCCAGGGCAGTCACTTTCATATTCTTTAACTCCAATCAATGGTAATAAATATATTTTATATCATTATCTAGAATACACAAGCAAATCATACAGTTAAATATTCTTGTGATATATTCAGATATTAAAAATAATTTCTGAGACAAAATTTTCACAAAATATTACTAACCCATCTTATACGCATGCTGTAGTTTATATTGTTCAATTTGGTTCTTCTTTATTCTATCATTTTCTATCTTGTCCTCCAATTTCATGTCACAATGTACAGCATACAACACACTGCTATAGGGAACCCATGGACTAGCTTTGGGGTCCTTTTGAACCCCTGAACCAATGTGCTAAATTTCTACTAGGTCATGTGCATTTTTCCAGGAAGAGCATTTGTGGTACTTGTCAAATATTTCAAAGGTAGCTTCAGTGACCCAGAAAAGCTGAAGAACTGCTACTATAGAGGGTCTTTTGATAAGTTACAGGTTATTTTGATAAGTTTGTAATGCACTTAAGTTCCAATTTAAGATGATATTAATGCAAATAGTGACTTAAATTCTTTCCCCTTTTGGTGGGAGAGTTTCTTTTTTCCCCCAACATGACTTTTTAAGCAACACCATCACTCTATGTGAAATGAGGTGTTGGGTTAGATTATTCTTAAGTCTCTCTTAATTCTAACTTTACCCAAATACTTTATTAGTATCAAAAAGTAATACATATTTATTGTAGAAAATTTACAAACACAGATAAACAAAATAGGAAAATAAAAATTGCCCATTAAACTACCACCTAAAAAAAATAAGATTAACATTTTGGTGTCTATCCTTCACGTCTTTTGTTTATGTACAAACATATATACTTTATAAACTATATTTTTCATATTGTAGTATAAACTATTTTGTAACATTTTGCTCACTATAGCATCATTTCTCTGTGTCATCATATATTTTCTACTGTATTATTTTTAATGCCTGAAGATACCTATAAAATATTTAATTGTATAATTTAACCAATAGCTAACACTGAGCAGTAGTTTGCTTCAGTTTTTCTCTCATAAGCAACATTACAATGACCATCCTTTCAGCTTTTTACATTAATTTGATTTTCATAGTCTAAATTAATTCATATAAATGGAATAGCTGGGCCTAAAGTTGTAAATGTTTTTGAGACTTTGATACCTGTTACAGTTTGCCCACCTAAAAGGTGTGCTTAGCGTAAGTTCTAGGTACCGCACTGGTCTTCCAGATGCAATGCTCCTGTGGCCGCATGAACTCTGAGTACTGTGTAGCATCCAGGTGCAACTTTAGGCAAGAGAGTCTTTTAAGTTTCCCTTCATAGGGAAGTGTTCAATAACATGAGGATTTCATTTGGAACTGAATCTGTGTGGGTAGTAAGTTGTTTACCTGACAGTAATCGAATCCAATCCTTAGCTGAATTGGATGTGCTGGTGATACCTACCTAAGGGAATTGCTGCAAGTCGAGTCAATAAAGCAATTTCAAATGGGAGAAAACTTGAACTTCCTTTTTAATAATAAATAGACAAAGGACTTTTCTTTTGAAACATTGTTAATTACAATGGAGTTTGAAGAACCCTTGAGCTGTGAGAAGCAGATTTGGTATTTCTCAGAAATCATCTTTTATGAAATGTGACTTGAATTTCTATTTTCTGCCTAATCTGAACAGAAGCCTAGCAGCAGTCCCTCCCCACCCCCGCACCTCCACCCCTCTAGAGAAGTGGGTTTCACATGGGACTCAAGGTAAATGGGGAAACCATGAGTACATAAGCTGGGAAATGCCATAGTATGTCACTAAAAGGAAATTTAGTTAGCATGATTTGGCTTGGCTTGATGATGGAAGTAGTTTCTTACCTCACAATAACTGAAGCAACATTTTACCTTTCTCCAAGTGTAAAAAAAATTTTGTGAAGTTTAGATTTTCTGTTGTTTATTAGTATTTTTATTTTTAAGTTCCAGGGTACATGTGCAGGATGTGCAGGTTTATTACATAGGTAAACGTGTGCCATGGTGGTTTGCTGCACCTATCAACTCATCGCCTAGGTATTAAGCCCAGCATGCACTAGCTATTTGTCCTGATGCTCTCCCTCCCCTTACCACCCACCCCCCGACAGGGCCCGGTGTGTATTGCTCCCCTCCCTGTGTCCATACTCTTTGGAGGGCTCCCAGGGAAGGCAACAGAAGAGCTGAAAGTGCTGAAGGTGAACTTAGCTTCAGTTGCATTTCCTAGGGCTCCCCTGCCACAAAGAGTGTAGGTCTTTGCGTTAAAACTCTTCTAAAGGCAGAACAGAAAAATTGCAGAGGCTCTAACAGAAGGCTCCCCCCAACTTGTGCCTATGTCCTCTTTTCTCTACACTGCTCCCACTTGTTCAGCTCTCACTTATGAGTGAGAACATGCGGTGTTTGGTTTTCTGTTCCTGCATTAGTTTGCTGAGGATAATGGCTTCCAGCTCCATTCATGTTCCTGCAAAGGACATGATCTCATTCCTTTTTTATGGCTGCATAGTATTCCATGGTGTATATGTACCACATTTTCTTTATCCAGTTTATCACTGATGGGCATTTGGGTTGATTCCATGTCTTTGCTATTGTGAATAGTGCTGCAATGAACATACACGTGTATGCATATTTGTCATGGAATGATTTATATTCCTTTGGGTATATAACCAGTAATGGGATTGCTGGGCCAAGTGATATTTCGGCTTCTAGATCTTTGAAGAATCACCACACTGTCTTCCACAATGGATGAAGTAATTTACATTTCCACCAACAGTTTAAAAGCATTCCTATTTCTCTGCAAGCTTGCCAGCATCTGTTGTTTCTTGACTTTTTAGTAATCTCCATTCTGACTGGTATGAGGATGGTAAAGAAAATTTTGTGAAGTTTGGGGTTATAGAAAAAAATTTTCTAAACTTTTCCCAGTACGAATAATAATGCTAATGATCCAGATGCCTCTGGTCTGTCCCTGCTTATAACTTAAGTGAGGGTCACACTGACAGTAATGATATTACTTACTCTTGCCCATCCGCATACCACGATCTTAGCTGCAGAAAAATTCCCCTCAGTCCCTGGAAGTCCCTGGGGGCTTGTGAATGTCCCTATGTTACTGAGAGCCCCTTATCAAAAAAGACCTCTTTGGTTTTCCCATGTCCGCCTTCTCTTCTCAGGTCCCAGGCCTAAGCCATAGGTCTAGGCAGGGGTGGACTTGGGCCGTCTCTGCCATGCTGTGTTCAGAATCACTGTTTGTCTCCAACTCTGGGTCAGGTTGGTGGCCCAGCTCTCTGTCACCTTAGGATAGATTCAGTTGCTGGAAGGACCCCAAGTATCTCATGTCCAAAGATATTTGACAGATCCCCCAACCCCAAGTCCACCAAATATGCTCATAGATGTTGGAATCCAGATTCAGGCTACCAGCCGAGTGAGTTAACTGAGGAAATAGGCACGTTTTTGGTGAGAGACTGAGGCCCAGAGAATTGAAATGACCCAACCAACTAGTAAGTGAAGATTGCTCTGATCCTAATGTTCCATGTTCTTTTTAAAATTCCTGTACTTAATTGGAGTCCGGTGTCAGCCAGTATAGTGCCAGGGCTGGTGTGTTTACCAACTTATAATAAAAGTCCCACCCTCAGCATTTTAAAGCCTTACCTGAGGCATTAGCCACCCTCTTTAGAACCTGGTCCTCCCCTCGAGGAAGGATATTTTTCCAATGGAATCCTCTGGGTGCAATTGAATTTCATTGGGTAGTCCCTGAAATTCTAATTGCAGATAATGGCTACACCTCAGAAATTACTTATAGCCTTAAAAGTTTACTGGAGAATTCTCTCCTTATTCCCCGATACAGAACTAAAGAGAGGCCTGAGAGAGGCTGTTTTCACTGTGAAGACTTTAACCTCCTCGGCTTTTTGGGGGCCAAATTGATCCAGTCTCCAAGTCTTTTTAGACAATTGCTAATAGCTGCATGTTTTTGATGGAAAGTCAGAAGTCATTTTTTTTTCTTTTTCCCTTATCTACAATGTTGCTTGAAAGGCATTTGGGGCCCTCTCCGTGACTGCGATGATTAATTCAGAGTCTGAGGGAGCAAGAGAGCCACTCAAAGGGGAAGCATAGCATTTATAGAGAGGATTGAAGCCCTTTAAAGGCAGGATATGGGAAGGTTTTGAGACAAAGTTATACCTTAAAGTGACCCCTGTGTCATTGGCCATCTTAGGGCGACCTGGCTGGAGAATGGCAGGCCCCTCACAACTTTGTCACAGGCTGCTGTTTGCTGAAGACATGATACAGCCCACAGGAACACGTTTAAAGATTGCTGGCGCATGAAGCACATTCTTTATGTTTTGAAATGTTTTACTATACTTCCTTGACTTGCCTTATTTCCATAAATTTTGCTTTCTCTGAGGAAAATTTGAACACCTTTCACTTTTCAAATTTCAGTTTTTATGAGGTTGACATTTTCCTTAGTGTATTGTTGGCTATAAATTATTAAGATATATTTAATAAGGCTCTGCCTCCTAGGCCCCAAACACCCTATAAAATGGATGGAAAATAAATGATTTAAGAAGATTCTAGCTGATCTACAGAGCCCGTTACAAAAATAATGAAGCTCAGAGGAATGCAAAAGTAGAAAATGGTCAACGTTTTAAACTTGGTATTTGCACCCAAACCCTGAGTTATGCTTTACAGAAATTTTTAGTCGTAGAATTCTCTAGTAACCTAAAAGTCATATCCAGGAAGATAAAAAGATTAAGATTGTATGGTAATATTTGCACAGAAACATATTCCTTTTTCCCTTAACATATTCCTGCTGTTCTCAACCCACTCCTTGCTATTTTAGCTAGGTAGCCTTTCTGGTGTGGACCTACTCCAAGATGGCCCCTGTGATCCCCACCTCCTGGTCTTCATGCCCTTGTCTAATCTTCTTCCCTTGAAGTGAGACCTGTGATTTGTTTCTAATCAATGTAACGCAGCAAAGGTGATGAGATATCACTTCTGTGATTATATTACATAAGACTGTAATGTTTGATATGGAGGTTCCTCAAAAAAACTAAAAATAGAACTACCACGTGACTCAGCAATCCCACTGCTGGCTATATACACAAAAGAAAGGACATCAGTATATGAAAGAGGTACTTGCACTTCTATGTTTAATATAGCACTATTCACAATAGTCAAGATATGGAATGAAACTAAATGTCCATCAGTGGATGAATGGATAAAGAAAATGTGATATATATATATATATATATATATATATATATATATATATATATATAAAATATATATATTATATATACACACACCCAATGAAATACTATTCATCTAGAAAAAAGAAGGAAATCCTGTCATTTGCAGCAACATGGATGGAACCGGAGGTCTTTATGTTAAGTGAAATAAGCCAGGCACAGAAAGACAAATATCACATGTTCTCACTAAAAAGTGGATCTCATGGAGGTAGAGAGTAGAATGCTGGTTACCAGTAGAATGGTAGAGACTGGGAAGGGAGAAAGGGAAATGAAGAGAAATTGATTAATGGTTGCAAAACTATAGTTAAATAGTAAGGATGAATTCTTGTATTCGATAATACGGTAAGGAAATTATGGTTAACAATATGTATTTCAAAATAGCTATAAGAGATGAATTGTAATGTTCCCAACACAAAGAAAAGATAAATGTTTGAATGATGTATCTACCAGTTACCTTGATTTGATCATTACACATTGTATTCAGCCATCACATGTACCCCTAACATAGGTACAACTATTATATATCAATTTTAAAAGACTGTCATGTTTATCTTGCTGACAAACTCTCTTCCTTTCTGGTCATGTTGGGAAAGCCCATGTGGTAAGGAACTGGGGGAGGCATCCAGCTGACAGCCCTCGTTCCAGCAGCCCACAAGGAAATGAATGCTGCTAACAAGCACATGAGCTTGAAAGCCAACCCTTCCCTAGATGAGCCTCAGATGAGACTACAGCCCTGGCCAACACCTTAATGGCAGTTTGCGAGACCCTGAAACTGAAGACCCAGCTAAGCTGTGTTTGGATTACTGACCCACAGTAACTATAATACATTTGTTTTGTTTTTTTTTAAGCCACTAAGTTGATTGTAATATTGTTGCACAGCGATAGATAACTAATATATTTTGGTACAGATGTATCCCCTGAGACTTACATTCATAGAATCGTTTAATCATCCAATTATTAAAAATTCCTTGAGCATCCACTACAATGCCAGGCTTGGTGTTAGGTGCCAGAGAAACAAAGAATACGTATGTCATAGCCTCTTGAAACTACATTAGTAATGATTGTTGTTTAAGATGCTGGAGATGTAGTGGCAGGAGTAGTCCAAGTATCTTACAGGAGCAAAGAGGCAGGGGACCTAACCCTTCAGGTGGTGAAAGATGAAGAGTAATGTCAGGAATGACTTCCTAGCAGCAGAGACACTTGAGCTATGCCAACAGTGACGAGGAGATAACCAGGTGAGGTGTGAGAGGATGCAGAAGTGAGGAGCGCCCAGACAGAGAGGGGACAACATTGGCAAAGGCATTGAGGTTCTGGGAACTGCCAGCAATGAAGTGAGATAGTGAGGGATGACATACTGTACATAAGAGATGGGAAGGGTGAGATAATGAAGGATCTAGTATACACTGTTAAGGAACTTGGGCTTATCCTATAGGCAAAGGGGACCATGGAAGAATTTAAAGAAAAGGATGAGGACATATTTGTACTTTAGAGGGACAACTATGGCTTCTTGGAACTCTGAATTTGGAATCCAGCTAGTTCTGCTATTTTGCCATAGCCCACTAATGAGCTAACAGATGTCTAAATTAGGACTACACTAGAATGGAGGAGAAGGACAAGTTTAAAAAATACATATGAGAGGAAATCTAGTAATTTGTTAGTGATTATGCTTTTTGGAGTGAGAGGCAGAAAGAAGTCATAGATAACCCCTAGTTTCCTAGCATGAGTAACTGGGCAGATCTTACAAATTAAATAGAAAATACAAAATAACAGGTTTACCATGGAGGAAGATGAATCAACTCAGTTATGAACATGTTGGATTTGAGTGCATGTAGCTCATCCAAGGTGAAGATTGCTGTTCAGCAGACCGCAAGACTTCTTATCTTTTGCCCCACTTTATGGCCTGGCAGTACAGAAGCTATGGAAGGATATGTAGATTTCCTTGATTGGAGCTATGGGGGAAGAGTTGTCCTCAGAGAAGAGCCTGGTTGTCATTAAGACATGGATGTGGGGTGGGTTTGGTGGCTCACACCTGTAATTCCAGCACTTTGGGAGGCCGAGGTGGGCGTATTATGAGGCCACGAGTTCGAGACCAGCCTGGCCAACATGGCAAAACCCCATCTCTACTAAAAATACAAAAAATTAGCAGGGTGTGGTGATGGGTGCCTGTAATCCCAGCTACTCAGGAGACTGACGCAGGAGAATCACTTGAATCTGGGAGGTGGAGGTTGCAGTGAGCCGAGATCTCACCATTGCACTCCAGCCCTGGCAACAGTGCAAGACTCCATCTCAAAAAAAGAAAAGAAAAAAGAAAAGACATGGATGTGGAGAGATTGTTCTATAAAATATAAAGGAGAAGGGTGGTATGTTTTCAATGAGAAGGAATGTCAGGGAGCCCGATAGAAAAGGTTATGAGAGGAAGATTGATAGTGGAAGGCACAGGTAAGCATTAGGAAATGCAGGGGTTTTGATTGAGATGAATGTTCTTCCTTTGCACAGAAGCTATGCCATGAAGCACTGACTTCTCCCTGCATGCCTGTATTTATAGACTCTTTATATTAAGGCATACAGGCCCAGCTTATTGAGTAGGATAATTTGAAATTTGCTACTTTCTTCAATTTAGAGTTCGACTTTCTTTCATTATGTCATTGTTTTGAACAGATGGTGCAGAACTGCTTCTTCTTGACCTTTAAAAAAACTATTAAGAGTAGAGTCAGTCGCTTGTCCATTTCTGCTTCTTCATGCCTCTCATAATGATTCCACCAGCTTAACTGCAACTGCTTTCATAGCCGGCTCAGCCTGGGCATGCACCATGGCCTTTTTCCTGAAGCCACTGGGAGCACGTTATATTCTCCTGACAGACACACTTTCATCTGGGGGAAGCCATTATTCATTCCTACAGGGTCACCTAAATTGGAAACATAACTATGATGAACTGAAATCTTTTATATCTGTTATTGGCTATTTTTTTCTAGTCTGAAGCCTTGGTTCTCCATGTATTTCATTAATACATTTGTGCTCTGGACAAACAGCTTGAAAAAGTAACTAGGAGAATGGCTGGACGGCACTAAAGAAGTGAGAGAACAGAGTTCTAGGCTTCTCCCCCACTTGCCTATGACAAGGTGATTGATACATTCTGCTATCCTGGGCAAGCCATTTAACCTTTATGGGCCTCGGTTGCTTTCTTAGTAAAATAGTATAAATTAAACTTTACCAAGCTTAAGATAGTGAGCTCAACCAAAATCTCTTTAAATCTTTTAAGGATCTAACACCCTTCCAAAGCCAAGCCCATGGGACAGTGTTACTATTATCTACTGCTGTGTAACAAACAACCGTGAGATTTAGTGGCTTAAAACAGCTGCCTTCTTTTCCTCCTGTTGTTGTGAATCAGGAGTTCAGGAAGGATTTAATTGGAAATTTTGTGCCTGATCCTCTTGGCAGTCATGTTGATGATTGGGGCTGGAGGATCCACTTCCAAGACGGTTTCTTCACTTGCACATCTGATACCTCCATGCTCTTTGGCATCTCCTTCCTTGTGCTGGCTCATCCTCCCAGGCCTTTCTATGTAGCTCAAGATTCTCACAGCCTGGGGGTCGCAGGTGGACACTTCTTACATGGCAGCTGGTTTCCAAGAGTCAGGAAGAAGCCACAGGTCTCTTAAGGGCTTCACATATAACCAGCACCGCATCACTTCAGCCATATTCCATCGGTCCAGGCAGTCACAGGGCCCGCCTCTTGATGGCAACACCACATTGCACAAGAGCATGTGAGATTGGGACATTGTGGCCACCTTTGGAAAGTATGACTTGTCATAGCCAGTGATTCCCTCCCAATGAATGGAGAAAAAGCTTGATTTTAGGGGTCATGTATGTAAAGCACTTGGCACAACAGCAAGTGTTTAATAAATAATACCTCTTACTAGTCCAGTGGAAACAAAAGACAAACAGGAATGAGAGCCAGGACATATCTCCCTTATACAGGGAAGAGGGTGTTTTGCTTAAGAGACAGAATGGATGAATAAGAACATAATACAGAAGATTGAATACTGGGTGTGAGATTCTCAAAATAGACTGGCTGAAATAAAAGAGTTGAATGTTTTTAAGATTAAATTATTCCTGACTTTATAATATTTGTCTCTAGGTTTTGTAGATCTTGGTTGCTTCACTTAAAAAGACAATTCAGAAACATTTTCAGACAAGATTTTTAATATGTGATGCTTGTCCTTTCTGCTTTTGCGACATCATGGTTTATGATACCATAGTGGGTGATTCCAGGGCATAATTGAGATTGCTGCTGCCTGTTTTTTGGCAGTGATTTTTTGCCCATTTTATGAACTAAATTTGGGTATTTACATTCATTAGGATACAGTGTAGCCATCTTCACTTAAAAGTCCTAATTCAGGACATAACTTGGACCCTTTAATCAACACCTCTCCATTTCCTACCTCATTTAGAAGGTACGTGTACATTTCTTTTAAATATTTTATGTCTTTGGTGATGTGCGAGGTTCAGCTTATGAAGAATTCTAGCTTTGAAGTTGGTTTAGAAAGATTGCCCCTTCTATGAATGCATAAAAATAGTTTAAATTATTTATAGTTCTAGAAAGGCTGTGTTATTTTATGTGGGACACAAATTATGGGAGATTCGGAAGGTTTCCCATTGCTTCCTGTCCAAAACTGAATCTCAATTTTTTGGTTGCAGATTTTATTTTTAAAATTTTTATATTTAAACTTTTATATTTGGAAAGAGAATGCATTTATATCTTTTGCATTTCATTTCCTTGGTGTGCCCCAATGTTTTCCCTGGATATGCAGTTTTAGTTCTTGTCACTAGTCACTCTGAATTTTTTCTAGAACCATGGAAGGGTTTACAAGATAGCGATCAAGATGTTGAAAGTAAATGGAAGAATACATAAAGAATGGTGGTTAAGAACACTTGACGTAAGATCTGCTCTCTTAGCAGAGTTTAAGTATATAATACCATTTTGTTAGCTAGAGGCCCTATGCTCTGTAACGAATCTCCAGAACTTATGTATCTGGCATAACTTGGACCCTTTAATCAACACCTCTCCATTTCCTCCTCCCTACAACCCCTAGCCACTACCATTCTACTCTCAGCTTCTATGAGTTTGCCTATTTTATTAACAGGTTCCACATTTAAATGAGATCATATACAGAATTGTCTTTCTGTCTCTGGCTTATTTCACTTAGCATAATATCCTCTATATTGTTGCAATGGGAAGGTTTCCTCATTTTTAAGCCTGAATAATATTCCATTCTATGTTTAAAAAAAAAATGGTTAATTTACTGACCAGCCTCCTTTGTAGGAACATATGTACTTAACTGGAGGTTCCTTATAACTTTAGAGTCTAAGTAATATTTTAATTGAACAATTTCTTGCAATACCTGCCTCCCAGACCTGTGTTTTATAAGTAATCTCAAAAGTAGGTGAATTATGGAAGTGGTATACCAAATAAAAACGAAGCTCTTAAATAGTTAAGAGGAGCTTCTTTGTGGTTTATTGCCACTTGCAATGGGAATGACAGTCACAGAAGAGGGAAAGGAATACTGGAACAGAAGCCATCTCCTTCTGCTTTGAAATCTCCCATGTCCTGTTCCCCATTGGGCCAGCTTGGTTGGCTCGCACATGGGACAAATACGTGGAACTCACATCCTGTCCCCCGTATGTGTAAAACAAATGAAATGCAACAAAGATCATTTATTCACTTTCTGCTTCTAATCGTGCAGCTTGTCCTGAGCTTGAATTGGCCCATGACAATTAGTATTGATCATGACAGTAACAGAAAAGAAATGATTGGTGTGCTGTAGTCTGATTTGACCATAATATTAGGAGACTGGAACCTGGGGTTCCATATTTGACTGTGTGTATTTACAACCCCCTGATTTTCCTTGGATTAATTAACTTGACAAAAGTAGATAGTCCATCTCGATGGTTCATTTTCTGAGGACCTAGTCTGTTGCTGTCACATCCAGAAAATGTGCAACCTGGCATGAGTCTTAGGAGAAGTACCCTACCTTGCAGCTGTCATCTGCCTGGAAGGTGGGGGACCATGTGAGCACAATGCATGCACGTAGAAACTGATTGGTTTTCTATTGTGGTAAAATACATGTAACATAAAATTTACCACTAGCGATGTTTAGTAAATTGACAACCTCATGCAACCATCACTTCTATGTAGTTCCAGAACATTTTCATCACTACAGAAGGAAACCTTGTACCCATTAAGTGGTCACTGTCCATTCTTCCTTTCTCCCAGTATCTGGCACCACTGAGTGGTGTTCTGTCTCCATGGATTTGCCTATTCTGGACATTTCATACAAATGGAATCAGGCAATCTGTGACCTTTTGTTGTCTGGCTTTTTTCAGCGAGCATAATGTTTTCAGCACGACTAATTTTTACTGAATGCCCGTGATGTTCTGGGCGCTGGATCTACAGAGAAAAACAAAACCAACGTGTTATCTGCCCTCATGAATCTCATGTCATAGTGGTAGAATCAGGCCAAAAACCAAGTAAAGGAACTAATAAGATGACTTTAAACCATGCTAAGTGCCAACAGACATCAAAGAGTGTGCCAAGCAGTAAAATATGAGAGTGAAGAAGGGGTTTGCTACTTCACAGAGGGGTCAGGGACGACCTCTCCAAGGAGATGACATCTATGTAAAAAATTTAAAGTTTAGGCCAGGTGCGGTGGCTCATGCCTGTAATCTCAGCACTTTGGGAAGCCGAGGCAGGAGGATTGCTTGAGCCTAAGAGTTCGAGACCAGTCTGGGCAACATATTGAGACTTTACCAAAAAAAATTAAAAATTAGCTGGATGTGGTGGTGTGTGCCTTTATTCCTAACTACTTGGGAGGCTGAAGTGGGAGGTCCACTTGAGCCCAGGAGTTTGAGGCTGCAGTGAGCCATGATCATACCACTGCACTCCAGCCTGGGCAACAGAGTGAGATTCCATCTCACAAAAAAGGAAGGAAACCAGGTCTGTGAAGAATGGGAGGAAGGAATGTTCCAATAGAAGGAATAACATTTGCAAAGGCCCCAATGTCATAAAGAATCTTGCAGCCTCCGAAAGAAGGCCAGGTTTCTGAAGCAGCCGGAGGGACCAGAGTGGCAGGGAAGGCTCTGGGTTTTACTCTGAAGGTAAAGGAATATCAGTGAAAGATTTTAAGCAGAGGAGGATTATGAGTAAACTCACCTGGTGCTGTGTGGAACACTCAATGGCTGTTCCAGTGGTTTGCAGAGGGCAGATAGCACTTTCCTGAGATTCATAGCCATATGGGGTACACAGCTGGGTGTGGCCTGCCGTTAATGCCGAGATAGCCTTCCTCCCTTTCTGATTTAGACTCTGCTCTCTGCCACTGCCTAGCCTGGCCTGGCAGTCATTGACAAGCCTTATGCTCAGAAGTCTCCATGACCAGAAGTCTCCACTGACATTCCACCCACTAGCACAGGCTGTCTCTGAGCCTCATTCTGCCTCCTCTGCAGACCACTTAGCATCCAGTGTTACTCATCTAGAGGGGTTCTGCTGAGTTCTTCAGATGAACTGCTTCATTTCAAGATGCCCAGTTCTCATGGCACTGAGGAGGCACACCGTGGGCCCATATAATTGACATTACTTGGATGGGGTTCAGACATTCTGCTCAGTTCCTGGAACCACTCACTTCTGATGGACCCATAAGCCCTTCCAACACACTCAAACCTTGTCTATGCTAAGAACATATGATACTTTGGTCCATAAGAACATATGATACTTTGGTCCATTATAACCCTGTTAGACCATAGCCCTTGTAGAAACAATACAAAATTTGACTTAGTTTAAGTGAATGTTTAAATAATCTTTTAGAGCACCAGAATATGCCCATCATCAGCATTAGCTTGAAATCAGTCCACAGAAAGGAGAATCTGTATTCTGTGTGACTAGTATCTCATTTGTCCCTTTGTAAAGAGATAATGCAGTTTCTTTGCCAAATGTAGTCATATTTCTTGCTTTAAAATATGGAAGACTCTCTGATTATGTCATTCCATATCTATATGGACAGGTTTTACAACTATTGAAACAGTTCTAATCAACTGTAGGAATTGAAATTATTTTCTATGGGAAGTCTGACTTCCTTCCATTCAGTGGCCTGCCTGATATTGAATGATTGACATTCTGATGGAGTGGGGAGATGTGGAAATTGCAGTCCCACTTCTCATTGCTCTCTTTTCTTCCTCACTGTGACGAGTGTTTTTAACCCGTTAATATCCCTTGAAATGGGTCATGAGACTGTGTGTTAGGAAAACCAGTTTCTCAGTGCCTCCAGGCAGGAGTAACATGACTAGTAAAATTATGACTGCTTAATCTTTCAAGAGGACATACTTGGGGTAAAAGAATACATCTAAACCAATGTTAAGTTTTAAGTTAGATGGCAAAAATGAATACTACAGTCAAACATAAAGGAGTTCTAGACTTAAAATTATACCAATATACCTTTTCTTCTTGAAATTATTTTTCCTTAAACTATATTTTTTTTATTATTTATTAAATGTTTATTGCATGTTAGATTCTGTTTTAAAAATTTAAATACATCATCTCATTTAATTCTCCAGTAGTCCTTTGCAGTTCGTATCATTACTGTCCCCATTTTTTAGGTCAGCAGACTGTGGCTTACACACTAATGCCAGATATATTTTAACCCACTCTTAAACTCCGAATTTCAAGTCAGCAAATTCTCATGGATCACCCAGTGCTAGGTGCCATGGCAAATTTAAAATGTAAATGACATAATTTTCTTCTGAGGCACTTTTAAAAACTTAAAGGTGTTAATTTTTTTTTCTGGAGAATCAACAAAATATAACGTTTAATATAGATCAAGATGGTTTCATATAGAATATTTATAGGTATGTGTATATACACAGGTTAGTATACATACATATATTTCTTTCCAGCTGAGAGGGCTTACAAGAAATGATACTCTAGTAGCAACAAGCACATCTAGCACCCATATCTTGGTTTCTGATGCTAGGACTGGTGGGGGGCAGGAAGTATATAAGATGAGCCTGGAGCATCTTGTAGTGCCTGAAATAAGGAAGTGCTACAAAAGAAAAACAAAAATCCACAATGGGTGGAGTCTGTTAAAGGGACACAGAAGCCAAATGAAACAATCCCCAATGTCCAAAGCTAAAACAATTTAGCACCAAAAGAAATAAAAGTATTGGATTATAACCTAAAGTGCAAAATAAATATCCATGAATCCATACCAATACAAATAAATGACTGAATAAATTAATTTATTCAGGAGAAGAGACAAATTTCACATGCAAAAGAATTTTAAATAAATTATGTAGATACTCCATCCTAGAAGGGGGAGAACATAGCCCCCTCCTTAAGTGGGGCTTTGCATAGTGATTTCCTTCCTGCAGCATAGAAAGGGGAGAAAAAAGAGTAACTTCACAGGGGAGAAACCTGGTAAATAGTACCCAAGCCATGTGACCAAGGGCAATTTCAGTAGTTGCAAACCGTTGATAGTATGTAGACTTGAGATGATGCAATGAAAATGGCACTTTACATGTGTGCTCTTCCTACCCATGCCATAATCCCAGTCTAATTGTGAGAAAGACACCAGACATAGCCAATAGCAGGAAGTTCTGTAATATGCCTTGCCAGTACTCCTCAAATCTGTCAAGGTTATCAGAAGCAAGCAAAGTCTGAGAAATTGACACAGAAATTGACATGTGAGGAACTTAAGGAGATGTAACAACAAATTATAATATGATACCCTGGATAGGGTCCTGGAACAGAAGAAGGGTGGTAGTGAATAAAAGGAAATTTGAATAATCTGCATCAATATTGGTTCATTAATTACAACAAATATACCATGCTAATATAAGATGCTAATAATGGAGAAACGTTGCGAGTTGATGAAGTGTATGTGAACACAATTTTCCCTACAATTTTTTAAAACAATCTAAAACTGTTTTAAAAACTGAAGTTTATTAATGAAAGAAGTGTGCGTGTGAACATTTTACTGTGATTCATGAGACAGGGTCACTGGCTTGGTTCTTGCCCATTCATTTTCATAATTCATCTGTCTAATTTATCCTGTGAGTGTAGGATGAACATATGAATTTATTAAAGTGGAGATTGAGAGATAAGTAATTTTTGTAAAAGGAAGTCGTATAAAGATCCCTTGAACCCATCCAACTTTAGAATATGGACAGTTCAGTGAGAAAAAAAAAATCTGTAGGCAAGAAATGATTCTCTAATTTTAATCTCGTAAATGTCCACATAAAGGTATTAAGATTGTTTATGTACAGAAATATATTTATTTTTGTAATAGTTGTATTAATAGATTTTAAATTAGCATTTGGTCTTTTCTATTTTGCTTCACTAATTACGTAAGGCTTTGACTATTAAATTAGGTTAATTTATCTCTATTGCATCCATCCAGGATTGGGTAGAAAAGGTAAAAAGGCCAAGTGTTTTCCTAGGATCACTCAGGATCAAAACCAGGCTTCAGGCCTCTCAATTCCTGGTTTCTGTGCTTTGCCTACCATAAAGATATTGGTTGACCTTCAAATCGCATACTCCTTTAATCATCTTTTCTCTTATGACTCTAATTTTCATTTTCCCTTGTGATTTTACAAGGCAGATTTTATTATGAATGTACTTTGAAGTGAGAAATGTGAAGCCCTTTTCCCGTCTCTTTCCCTCTAAAAAGAATTAGATTGGCCAGGTGCAGTGGCTCATGCCTGTAATCCCAGCACTTTGGGAGGCCGAGGCGGGTGGATCACGAGGTCAGGAGATCGAGACCATCCTGGCTAACACGGTGAAACCCCATCTCTACTAAAAATACGAAAAAGAAATTAGCCAGGCATGGTGGCGGGCGCCTGTAGTCCCAGTTGCTCCGGAGGCTGAGGCAGGAGAATGGTGTGAACCCAGGAGGCGAAGCTTGCAGTGAGCCGAGATCCCGCCACTGCACTCCGGCCTGGGTGACAGAGCGAGAACCCCTCTCAAAAAAAAAAAAAAAAAAAAAATTAGATTGCCAGAACACAATGGCATCTTCACATTTCTTGTGATAGTGCTTAACATAGTTTGTTGTTACATCTGATTGCTGGTTTCTTTCCACCACACTACAGGAGAGGCTGTGTTTCCTCCTTAGCGTAAGAGTTTGGCATATAGTAGGTGGTCAATAAAGGGAATTTCAATAAATAGCAAAGAGTGATTCAGCAGAATTGCCAAATACTGTAAGTTATTTGTAACAAAGACACTTTTTCCTTCAGCCTTTTACTATCCGGTTTTCCAGACTCATGTGCTTTACTGGAAGCCCAAGGTTTCACTGGGGGAATGTGAGTGTCCTAGAAGGGAAGAAAGTGTGGCAAGACTGGAAAACCACATAAGCAGACACGGATATGACCTCACAATTAGAAAACCATGGCACCAATTAAAGAGTCTGTATACCTTTGCCTCTTTGACAAATTGTCTTTTTGAATTGGCTTTGTGATTCATGGGCTCAAATTTGAAACATTAGTGTTTAATTCAATGAATGGAAAATACTTTTCATTTGACTCACGAATATTGTCACCATCGTTATGTCACCTGGCATTTGAGATTGTGATGCAACTAGCTCACTAGTTCTACCACCTGTAACGAATACTGCAATTAGCTGCTTTCTCTTTCCTAGCCTCAGTGGGTTCATAATCCCTTTAGTTATCATCTAAAGCCAAATTGCATTTTGCAAAACATGTACTCCCTGATAAATTACAAATGATTCCATTACAAAGGCTCCTGTAGTCAAATAAGTTTGAGAAATGTCGTGTTAACAAAGTTAAAGGGCTGTCTCTATTGGGAGACTTCTGAGAGTCCTGACCCTGTTAATGCATGCAGAACCCTCCAAGTATGGCATTCATATAACAAGTTTTTTTTTTTTTTTTTTTTTTGAGACGGAGTCTCGCTCTGTCACCCAGGCTGAAGTGCAGTGGCGCAATCTCGGCTCACTGCAAGCTCTGCCTCCTGGGTTCACGCCATTCTCCTGCCTCAGCCTCCCGAGTAGCTGGGACTACGGGCACCCGCCACCATGCCTGGCTAATTTTTTCATATTTTCAGTAGAGACGGGGTTTCACCGTGTTAGCCAGGATGGTCCCGATCTCCTGACCTCGTGATCCACCCGCCTTGGCCTCCCAAAGTGCTGGGATTACAAGCATGAGCCACTGTGCCGGGCCTCATATACCAAGTTTTTAAGACTTGCCTGAACATGGGCTTGTTGATAAGTACAACAAGAGGTTAAGAACTCTAGCTGTAGAGTCATGTTCATCTGGATTGTAGAGCCTTAGGGAAGCCCTGTGATTAAGCATCGGTTTCCTCGGCTTTTGGGTGGGTATACTAATAACAGATGACCATAAGGTTCTTATGAAAATTAAATGAAATAATTTTGTATAAAACACTTGGCACAGTGCATGGCACCTGGGATGTCCTTAGTAAATGGTAGCTAATGGTGATATTAATGTCTTGGAGAATATTAGAGTTCTGCAAAATACAGTTTTGGAAACGCTGATCTGTAATCATATAGGTTGTTCATTTCATCCAGTTTTACAGATAAGGCCAATATAAATTCCTGTGATTAATTCCACGGTCTAATCCTTGCTCTATCTCTAGTGCAAATGCCAGATCTTCAGTCTTACAGAACATATTGTGATGTAAACATTCTACCAAAAGGATCTCATTTCGAAACCAGGCCCTGCTTGTGACTTTAGCAACCTTACCACTGGAATATGTGGGGTTTTGATGATTTGGTCCTAGAGGTGCGGTTTAGTCTATTCAGTTGTATTGTTATGGCCATCAAATATTATCTAGTACCCCTTAAATGAGCATAATAGTATGTAGTCATATTGCATCAAGGTGTAATATGTGGCTCACCAATGGAGAGAAGGGGTATCTGGCTAAACTTGATGCTTGTGCTTAATTTAGATGTGAGTAACGTTTGTGCTATCTTAACAGATGTCCCAGCACATGGTACTTTGTTTGTATTTATTAATTCATTTATTGATTTACAGATATTTAATGATTGCCTCCTATGTGCTGGGTATGGGGACTGCAAAGATGAGTAGGAAGTGGGCCCTGTCTCCAAGGCTGTAGAGTCACCTTGTGGAGCTGATCCTGAGTGTGAATGATCAGAGTACAGTGGAGGGAAGTGTCCCAAGGAAGGACAGAGAGATGTCTAGAGAAAACGAGGCACTCAAACTCAGGCAGAAAAGTCTCCAAGGTAGAGTAGGAATATGCCACACAGCTTATAAAAGAAAAGAGCTTTGGGGTCTTTCAAGTGGTCTGGTATAATGCCAGCAGCAGTGGGCAGTAGGGAAGGGGCTAGGAATGCCAGGATATAAGATGGAAGTGGAGGCAAGAGCAGACCATGACGAAGCCTCAGTGACAGGGCAAGGGGTGTTGTAGGAGTTTGGACTGTGACATACTGATTAGGTTGCTTTTAAGGCAGATACCTGGAAGCAGTATGGAGAAGGACCCGGAAGGAACCAAAGTGGATGCAGGGAGAGCAGTTCAGAGAGATGAACCATTCAGGTCTGGGCTGGTGCATTTGTCTGGGTGCAGGACGAGGTGCATTTGTGTTTAGGAAAAAGAGGCAGGTGCAAGTTTTTAAAAACTCAAGCAACATTGTTCTAAGCACGTGAAGAGGGACTTATGAGGCAATGGCTATGGAGATGGAGAGGTGAGGAGAGGTTTAAGAGATTCTTAATATGCAGGATTGACAGAATATGGAGACAGTCTATTGCTGGCATTATTTTGGTAGACGGGAGGGAGAAAGGACATCGAGGATGACTCAGGTTTCTGGCTTTGATGATTGGAGATACAGTGAGACCACTGACTGAGACCTGGAATGCAGTGGCCAGAGAGAAAGAAGCAGTTTGTTCCTGAAGGATGGGATCCAGTGAGTTGGAAGTACCTGTGAGGTAGTCAGGAGGATTTGTCCAGCAAAAAATGCAAATACGGCCCTGGCACTCCCACAAGCTCTGGGTTGGAGATGTGAATACAGGATTCATCAGCCTATTTGAAGAGAGGGGAAGTCATGGGGGGAGGGGAGTGGTTCAGGCTGAATTGGAGTGAGCCAATGAGAAGGTCATAGCTAGGATAAGCCTAGTGTCATTGCACGTTGATTCCTTCTCAGTCTTAAGAGCATCCTGGCTTGGGTGCTGAATGACGTGATTATGCTTGATGGAACCCTAGGACACATCAACATTTACAGGGAGAAAGAGAGATGGAAACTAATAGCCAGGGAGGTGAAAGAAAATAGCAAGAAGAGTGATGTGATAGCAAGGTGGGGAGTGTAGACAAAAGGTGGATGACAGTGCCTTTGGGATTAAAGGAAAGATGCAGAAACATCATTCCTCCAAGAAGTTTGCCTAGAAGGAAAAAAATGCACAGGTAGCTGGAGAGAGGCACGGGGTTGAAGGAGAGCTGCTATTTATTTTAAAGTGGATTCTACAGAATGTTTTAGTGGACTGAAGGGCATCAGGCAGTGTAAAGGGAAAGATGAGAGATAGAGGAGAGAGAAATGATGGACGGGATCGCAGAGGAAGACAGGAGGAGATGAAGGGTACAAGTGGGAGAAGTATACCTTAAAGAGAAAGTATGGCTTTTGCTTTTTCTAATTGGAGGAATCATAAAAAGGATTGATAGGAATACGAATAAATTTGGAAGTAGCTGGGAAGCAGGCCTGGAAGCTGAGAAAATAGATTCCTCAGTGGCCTCTATACTCACTATAAAGGAAAAGATAAGGTCATTTGCTGATAGACAGGGGAGAAAAGGCAGGAGCTAGGTGCTTGAGAAGGTGGTAAAAATTTGGATAAATGGGAAAGGGAGCTGACTGGATGCCTCCCTCACAGAAATATTTTTGGGGTGTGCTGAAACTGGAAATCACAAATTTATCGCTAACGCAGTCTGCATCATTTATTTTTCTTCTGCAGCATGTGGCAAGCCCTGTGCTGGTGAGACATCCATAGATGGTTGGGTTGATCCTATTCTGGGAATAGGCTGTGTGTGGTAGAGAGATGAGGGCTGAAGAACTAAGGCTGAAGGTGAGCAAGCCCTACGGTGAAAAGTAAAGTCAATGAGGCCAATTGGAAGAAAAAGGACAGGAAGAGGAATCCCAATAGATGACAGGTGTTGGTATGACTGGAATAGATGAATGAAAAAGAGCAGGAATGTTAATGGGTTGCTGTTGGATATAGGAGTATCCAAATTTAAGATTACAGAGATGGAACAATTCCCAGTGGCAACAAAATCCAGGATGTAGACATAGCAAATTATTGCTTAAGTGAAGTAAAAACTGTTTGTCAAGTGAATAACATGATATTCCTTGAAGCTTTTCACTTGAGCAACCTTTCCAATTTATTAGTTTGGAATTTGCCATTGTTGGTTGGATTTTTTTTTTTTTTTTTTTTTTGATACGGAGTCTCGCTTTATCGCCCAGGCTGGAGTGCAGTGGCTCTATCTAGGCTCACTGCAAACTCCGCCTCCTGGGTTCACACCATTCTCCTGCCTCAGCCTCCTGAGTAGCTGGGACTACAGGCGCCTGCCATGGCACCCGGCTAATTTTTTGTATTTTTAGTAGAGACGGGGTTTCACCGTGTTAGCCAGGATGGTCTCAATCTCCTGACCTCGTGATCCGCCCGCCTCAGCCTCCCAAAGTGCTGGGATTACAGGCGTGGGCCACCATGCCCCCAGCCTGTTGGTTGGAATTGTACTGAGAACCTGAATCTTTCTATGACTGGCCTAGACAGAATGCTTTGTTGGCGGTAGGCAAACTGCAGGACTGTTTTCATTGGTAACTCTTGGGAACTTAAAAAGAACCTGAAGTTTGCCAGTTAGACACCGTGGCTCACACCTGTAATTCCAGCACTTTAGGAGGCCGAAGCAGGTGGACGATTTGAGGTCAGGAGTTCGAGACCAGTCTGGGCAATATGGCAAAACCCCGTCTCTACTAAAAATACAAAAATTAGCCAGGTATGGTGGTGCATGCCTGTAATCCCAGCTACTCAGGAGGCTGAGGCAAGAAAATCACTTGAACCTGAAAGATGGAGGTTGCAGTGAGCTGAGATTGCACCACTGCACTCCAGCCTGGGTGACAGAGCAAGAATACATCTCAAAAAAAATTATTGATAATTGGTCATTAATAACTTGTTCCTATAGTTGTGTTAGCTCTGTTGGATTTTGATTTGGCCAATGGTTACACTAATTTTGAATAAGCTTATTAATAAAGACAAAAATTGAAGAATGAATTTGGAATAATCATTTGGAGGAAGCCAAAGGGCACTGTCGTATTTCAAATAAACGATGTCATCAATGAAATGGTAGTTTCAGATAAATGTGGTATAATGAATGCAACAAATGTTTATTTTCAGTTGCCTAGGGATTCAGGTCAACATCCTGAACAGTGAAGACAGAGCATTTTAAAGGAGACTTTGTAGTGGTGCTTGGGATAACTAGAGAGAGAAAAAAAAAGCCAAATAAATCTAGACTGGACCCGTTTTGTTGAATTATGTCGTTTCATAGTCATGTAGATTTCTCATACATTACCTAACCATAGAGGGTTAACGTTTTGGGACCAACCTCATCTGGTGCACATTTATTGTGTTACTTTAAATATAATCTGTGACTTGATTTACATGTTTATTGACTCAGTATGCATACTTGAGACACTTCCCAAGTTGGTTGCTATGTTGCTAGAGTCATCTTTTTTTTTTTTAACTTTGCTATAGTAAACTTTCTTACATAGATTTTAGACCAATAATCATGATTTCTAAGTATTTTACATTGTTTTTTATTTTTTTTTTCATTTTTTTGACTATGGTAAACTACACATAACAAAATTTATCATCTTAACCATTTTTAAGTGTACAGTTAAGTAGTTTTAAATACATCCATAGTGTTGTACAACTCCCATCACTACCATCCATCTCCGGAATTCTTTTCATTTTGTAAAACCAAAACTCTATACCCATTAAACAATGTCCCCCTCCTCCCAGACCCTGGCAACCGCCGTTCTACTTTCTGTCTCTAGGAACTCAATTACTCTAAATATCTCAAAGAAGTGGAATCACACAGTATTTGTCCTTTTGTGACTGATTTATTTCACTTAGCATCATGTCTTCAGGGGTCATCTATATGAACTTCTTTACTTTTTTAAGACTGAATAATATTCCATTAAATGTATAGGCCACATTTTTTTTCTTGCCTTTATTTTATACTATTCTTTTTTTCTCCTGCTGAATATAACTGCATCTCTATGGAGAAAAAAATAAAAAGGCCCTCTTTCTCAAAAACACATCTGTCTTCCACTGAGTCCAAGATGTGTTAACCAAACTAAAGAGGGTAAGAAAGAGAGAGCTATGTGTAGAAAAGTTATCTTTGAAATTTAGTTTAGGAAACATTTCCATATCTCACAAGCCACAGGAGTGCCTCTATGGGAATGTGTCTGCCTTCATACCTCTCTGGCAGCTGCCCCACCTTCTGGTGTTCCCAAGAGTATTTTTAGCATGGCATTCGACTTACTGGATGATGTTTCTCAATTTTTTACTTATAAGGTTATTTTATGTTAATTTTGTTATTTTAAAGAGTTTTGCTAACTTTTTTAATATCCTGAGGCCATATGGAAGCATCTTGCTCCAATTAAAGCTAATGAAAAAAACCTTTTACAAAACCTTTAAATCCGCATCACACATTTTAGAACACCCGAGTCAGCTGGTGGTGTGGAGGTGGTGGTGGGGATGTGGATGTGTCAGAAGTGAGGAACACACCTGCTGCTCTTATTTCTTCTGATCAATTCATTTGCAACCTCTGTGCAAAGAAAGTTGCAGAAGGAAATCTGAAGCACTCACCTGTAATTCTAGTCTTGAAAATGTTCTTGTAAAGCATCCACATCTGATATTTATGCCTCTGTAAGTGGCAGTGCCTAGCTGTTTTCTGAGTGGGAGTTGATTTCTGCTGTTGAGTAAATAGTAGGTGTCAGAGAAGCATTTGTAATGAAATTTAGAAGGAGAAACACGTCGGTGTGGAAGTAATAATAGTATTTACAGGGGAGCACCTTGAAAATAAGGTACGTTATTTTAAAATTACTTTTTGGTGCTGCTGCTGTGTCCTTCTCTCCAGATTCCCTTTGAGCTTCGCAGTATAAAGTCTCCATAACTCCTAAATATGAGGGCATGTCGTGGAGCAATTGAAGAAGAAATAATAAATTTGGAGTCATCAGGGTTGCTGTAGGGAGCTATGATCCAGGACAAGATATTTTAACATGCATTGTGATGTAAATGGTACCCCTGGATTTGTATAGCCTGGTGGCCCTGGCTGTGGCAGAAGGGTGCACCTGAGGAAATAATCATTTATTCAGTGGTGTGTTTTGGGCTTACTTTGAAGCAACTTGAGTTCTTTATGAGTTATGCCTAAAATTAAAATCTTGGGTCTCATGGTGAAAAAAGAAAACAGTCTAAGACAGCCCTGTCCAAATAGCACTTTCTTTGATGAGGGAAGTATTCTGTATTTATGCTGCCAATATGGTAACCCTTGTCACATGTGGCTTTTGAACACTTGAAATGTGCTAGTATTATTGAGGAGCTGAATTTTTAATTTTATTCAATTTTATTTTATTTTTTTGAGATGGAGTCTCACTCTATCACCGAGGTTGGAGTGCAGAGGCATGATCTCTGCTTACTGCAACCTCCGCCTCCCAGGTTCAAGCGATTCTGCTGCCTCAGCCCCCCAAATAGCTGGGATTACAGGCCCATGCCACCATGCCTGGCTAATTTTTGCATTTTTAGTAGAGAGGAGCGTTCACCATGTTGGCCAGGCTGGTCTCGAACTCCTGACCTCAGGTGATCTGCCCGCCTCGGCCTCCCAAAGTGCTGGGATTATAGGCGTCAGCAACTGTGCCCAGCTGATTTTATTCAATTTTAATTAGTTCAAATTGGAATGAAAACAGCTTCATGTGGCTCATGGCTACATGGCTAATTGATAGCACCTGTGTAAAAAGAGCCCCTTCCTGAGTTTCTGCCCCGCTCTGTGTTGTTGTTGTTGTTTGTTTTTGAGCAGGAGGCAGGATCTCACTCTGTCACCCAGGCTGGAGTGCAGTGGCACAATCATGGCTCACTGCATGCTGGACCTCTCTGGCTCAAGCAATCCTCCTGCCTCAGCCTCCCCAGTAGCTGGGAGTACAGGTGCACACAACCACACTCGGCAAATTTTTTATAAATTTTTGTAGAGATGGGCGTCTCACTATGTTGCTCAGGCTGGTCTCGGGCTCCTGGGCTCAAGAGATCCTCCCACCTTGGCCTCCTAAAGTGCTGAGATTACAGGTGTGAACTACTGCACCTGGTCCTGATTATAAACCCTCTGCTTCCCACACATTTTAGAGGGGATAACGTTTAGCATAAGGAAAGCTGCATATGGCATCTGGAAATGGTGTTTCTGTATCGGATGCCTGGTCACTGGCCACCCTATCATTCTCACATTCCTTAGCTATCTTTGGAACTCAGCTATTGATTTCCTTTTTGAATCACTAGCTGGGGTCTTTAGAGGAAGGCTCTCAGCTTTCCTGGGTTACCTCTACAAATATGAGTTTGAATAGGGCTACATTGGGAGAATTTTTGAGGCCCTAGATAGGCCAAGGAAGCCAGGATTGAAGGAAACATGATGGGTGATTCATAAGAAATTACCAGCATCAAGTACCCTTACTAGCCAGATGACCTGGAGTCATTCACATACCCTCCTAGAAATTCAGTTTCTCACACATAAAAGGGGAGGAATAATAGCTGTTCTGCCTACGTGTGTGGTTGTTAGGAATCACTAATGAAACAATGTCAACTGCAAAGTGCTGTTTAAATGCTTGTCATCATCCTTGGCCAATGGCCTGTGCTTACAGCTGTTTTTTGTATCCATTCACTGACTCCTTTCCCTGTTAAGTAGAAATAAAGCTAAAATGGAAAAAAAAAGAATTTCAGATACTAAAAGAAATGCCTAAAACCATCAATGTCTTCACCATTGGTTCAAAGAAAAAGGCCTGATGTCTGTTGGGCAAAGGTTCCCAATCCTCTTTTGAACTGACAAGTGTCTAGAGAGGCTGGGGTTCTGGCATGGCTAGGACTCGGGCAGCGTCACCAAACTCAGTGTCCCTGGTCAGAAGGCCCCACACACAGAGGGAATCTTGGCCTTGAGGGGAAAGTTCTTGCTTCAGGAGAAAGAGGGACCCTTTTCTACTTTCTGTGATCCAGGAAGCAGCAGCAGTTTGCAGATTAGTTCTGCTCCTTGCCAAACACACTCGCATTTGTCCATCCCTTTCTGGGTTCCAGTTTTCACTCTGCAGGTTGTGAAAACTGCTTGCTCATTTTTCCACCCAAATGCATAGCCATGGCCCCTCTAGGCCAATGGCAACACAACATTAGCTGCCTTCAGAGGGGAAAATAATATATGAAGAAGTAGAGGAAATGATATCCTCATTTCTGCACAGATTATGAGCATTTCCTAAACCTAGACACTAAAAAACATGGTTAGAATCTGCCCCAACTAAATAGTTGAGTGACTTTTTTCTTGTATTCTATTTCTCAGCATCAAACCATTTCTTCTAATGCTAGACTGCTTAGACAGTGGTAGAATCCAAAATATTCCCTCCCTCTAAATGCAAAATAAAGTAAGATATTTATATGTACCTCTCCCTTCTGGAAAAAAATATAACAGATTTGTTTCTAGGGTTTCAAAGGATTGTGCTCAGCTGAATAGAAATTGATAAATTATTACCTTTTGCTGCATCATGTTCAGCCCACTTTATTATATATTTGCATTTAATACTCTTGATTATGTACCTAGGGAGAATGTAACATTGGCACTGAATTACAACTGAGCAGAAAAGAGGAGAAAAAATTTCTATTTTGATACAAGAATATGATTCAATTTGATTGTGAATATGACTACTCAAGTATCTGACCTAAAAATATTTTAATACCTGATTATTATACATGTGTCAACATGGGATCTTGACTCATGAATAAATAATCCCAAGTCACTCATTCAAAAAATACTTTGAGCATCTCTTGTGCCAGGTACTAGGGATGCTAGGATGTATCAGACACAGCCCCTTCTTTCTAGGAACCTGTAATTAGGTGGAGGAGGCAGAATTGTCAGCAAACAATGACAAAACTGCATGATTAGTGCTATTATAAAGGTATGAAGAGACTGATGGAGATATATAGAGGGAGAAATTACTAGTTTTCCAAGGGAGTCCGTCAGCAAAGTTTTCATGGAGGAGATTGTATTTTGATCTTGATATAAAGACATTTACTGGGCAAAGAAGGGAAGAAGAGCAAGCCAAGAAGTTCTTTCTATAGGGCTTGGGTGAGTGCTTGACTTATCCTAGGCACACTGCAAGTGTTTAACTTAACTGTATACGCTTCTTCTCTGAATGTGATATGCCTGTCCCCAGGGATCCAGCTACAGAGTATCAGCCTGCTTTGTCATGTTCATCTTTTATTTAGGCCAGTTTATTCTTGTGTACTGACCATACTCTATCATGAGGTTGGATGCCAGCCCAGCCCATATGCCAAAATGTGTTTGTTGAATTCACCTTTTCCTTATCTCATCCAACATGTTCCTCATGTCCTGCATAGCTCAGAGCTTGGCATGTAGTGGGTGTTAAGGAAGTACTTTTTTTTTTTTTTTGAGACGGAGTCTTGGCTCTGTCTCCTAGGCTGGAGTGCAGTGGCGCGATCTCGGCTCGCTGTAACCTCCTCTTCCTGGGTTCAAGTGATTCTCCTGTCTCAGCCTCCTGAGTAGCTGGGATTACAGGCTCAGGCCACCATGCATGACTAATTTTTGTATTTTTAGTAGAGACAGGGTTTCATCATGTTAGTCAGGCTGGTCTCAAACTCCTGACCTCAGGTGATTCACCCACCTCAGCCTCCCAAAGTGCTGGAATTACAGGCGTGAGCCACCGCACCTGGCTTGAATGGGTAAACATAGTTGCTTATTTCAGAGTCTACATTTGTGTCCTAGAACTGTCATAACAATTAGTACGATCTTGGTGGCTTAAAACAACAGAAATTTATTCTCTCCCAGTTTTAGAACCTAGAAGTCTAAAATCAAGTGTCGGCAGGACTGTGGTCCCTCTGAAGGCTCTAGGGGAGAATCCTTTCTTCTTTCTTCCAGCGTCTGATGGCTCCGAGAGTTCCTTGGTTTAGGGCTGCACAACTCCAGTCTCTGCCTCTGTCTTCACATGGCCTCTGTGTCTCAAATCTCCCTTCCCCTTTTCTTTAAGGACACGAGTCATTGGATTTGGGGCCTTTCCTAAATTCTGGATGATCTTATTGCTAGATCCTTAGTTATACCTGCAAAGACCCTTTTGTTTTTTTTTTCAAATAAGATCTTATTCACCGGCACTGGGGGTTAGAACATGCACATGTGTTTCGGGAAGGGTATCACCATTCCACCAGCTACAGGATGCTTGCCAAGGCCTAAGGCTGAGTAGGGTATAGTAACTATAGAAAGCTTTGGTCAAATAGCTGTTTCGATTGCCATGTTTGGATGGGGAGTGGAGGGTAGTGATGAAAGAAGATTTTTAAAGGTGTCTCATATTTCCCTCTGTCTTATCTGCCTCATTTTGAGGAAGGGTCTTCTGGAAGCGCATTTTAGTGAGTCATCTAGGCCATCCCATGTGGCTGTTCTATAGCTCCTTTGACCCCAAAGGCTATGCGGTAGTCCACAGTAGCTCACTTCTAATCACAGCTGACTTGAGCCCGGTTGGTGACCTGTCTCAAGATCATCCAATCTTCTAGGCTGTCCAGTGGCTCGTGGCTGATGGTCTTATTAGGAAATTGAGATGATCCACTTATATTTTTGCATGGCAACTTGAGTTTTGAAACTCAAGAGACTGAGTTAGTTGGTAGTGAACTCTGCAACTGAAGGGTCCCAGGGAGTTCCTCCGAGCCGGGCTGGCTACTGGGCCGAGGGTCAGCAGGAGTGTCAAGGAAGCCGGTCAGTAGGGAGAGCTGACTCAACAACGTGGAGAGAGCTGCAGAGGCACCATGATGGAGGGGCACCCGTGGCCTCTGAAAAAGACCAGCCTTGGACCTCAGCCACCTTCGAGTTTACATGAGGCTGTGATTTTGTGTTTCCTATTCTTGAAGTTCCACGAAATATAAAGATACACCTACATAGTGTTGATGTGTTAAGCATGCGCTCTATATTAAGCTTTTTATGTGCATTATCCGATTTATTCCTCATTGAATAGATGCTGAGATGGAGGCAACAGAGAGTAAGGGACTTGTCTAGAGTCAGTCCACTGGTAAGTTGTAGAGTAAGCCTCAAACCGGGGATCCAGCTCCAGAGCTGTGCCCGCAGTGACCCCAGCACCTCCTCTATACCCGTGTTTCTGTCCCAGCTTTTATAAGCCTCCCTGGTTTTCTCCCAAAGGAACTGGGTATGTCCCAATACTTATATCCCAGAGACAGATCCTGAATTGATTAGCCAAATTAGTAACAGACTAAAAAGTTCGCCAAGTTTTTTGGTGTACTCTTCATTGGGTTAATGTGAACATGAAGGTAATCTATGATAAGCCATGGAGATGTAGAGTTTTTGTGATATACATTTTTTGGAATGTATTTATATTCTTCATAATAAATCCATTATAGTTTTTAAAAAATTAAAGCAACCTTGTGTTTGATGGATGTCATGCCATGATACCCTAGCACCTTCAACTCAATCAGCCAGTCTAGTCGGTCTGTTTCACAGTGGCTGAAAACACTGCCCTGACTGTTTTCCTGGCCATTTTCCTGTACTGGGCAGACATGGCCACTGTAATATAATAAAACTATTTCGAGATTGGCATATTAGAGAAATGTGCTCTTGCCTCAGCTTACTTTTTCTTCAAAACGAATGGTCTTCGTTCTTTGGAAGGCTTTGTGCACAAAGGTATCTGTAAGGGTTTAAAGTCCTAAAAATATTACAATACATTATAATTTAGCTACAAAGTCTTCCAGGATAATACCAGAGATTCAGATTCTGAAATTCTACAGAGAACCGTCTGAGATATCTGATTGTGTTTCTGGAAAAGGGAATAGATTTGGGTTTGAATAAGGCGTGTGAAATTATAGGTTATCGTTTTTTTTCTATCATCCACTTATATAATAATGAAAAGAGAGGCTGGCAGAAGATAATACACCCTATTGAGTTAGTAATATAGGGTGTGATTTTCAAGTGCCCGCTACAGAAATGTGATTTACTTGATAATTTGAAACAGGTCCTCAGGTAAGCATATATCTTTCCCCAAAGTCTGAAATGTCCCTAAAGAAACACTGTTTCCTGATGAAAATTTAGGTTCGCAAAGTAAAAATCTGAAAGTATTCCATCTAAATCACATACCGATTGTCAAATCAAACACATAAATACCTGAAAATTAAATGCTCTGAATAGAGGGGTTTTTTTTCTTTTTTTTTTTTTCTTAAAGGCCTGCCTGTCAGTCAAGTTTGATGCGGGTGGTATTCACATGCAGCCTTGCTTTTGTGTATAAGAGCAAGCATCTGCCCAGTTGGGCATCTAATTGGTGATCAAGGAGTATTAAGTTAATTATTTGAATGGAGACTATAACTGATATAATTTCTAAAGCTCTGGATTATAGAACAGTATTTTTATAGTGATAGGAAGAAAAGGGACATGGCTGTGACTACATTGCCAAAACATTGGATCGTACACATGGAGCCATACATAGAGTCACATTAGTGGTGGTTTTGTTTTCCTAGGTGCTTGAAGGGCTCCTGAGTGCCAAGTCATTGTATATGTAGTTACCAAGGTAAATGTAAGTAATTAAGGGAACAGAGTGCAGTGGCTTCCACTGTGCTATTTCTCACTTTGTTTTGCATATTGCTAGGATCCAGAGCGATATGATTGGCATTTGAGGGAAGATAAGCACCATACTTGTGTTGCTTATTTTCTTTTTAATTAAGTTGCCGTCTGACAATCATACTTTCTGACATTTATTTAGCCTTTACATTTTATAAATCACTTTCACATATGCTGTTTCATTTAGTTCTCTCAACATCAGAAGGTAGTGTGATTTCTCTTCCAGAAGCTAAGTGGAGGGAGAGATGATTCCTGATAAACATTGGGGATGCCCGTAAGAGGGGTGGCTGGCACACTGTTTCTCACTGGATGACTGCCTACCCGCTGCGCTTACCTTTGTGCTACCAGAGCAGGGGGAAGGAGACTTGCAGTGAGATGGCAGGACGGGGGTCCCGTGAGGTAAAGGAGTCTAAGACAGCCTTCCATCCTCCAGTTAGCCAGATCCCAGTTTCCGAGAAGTATGGCGGACGGTTCCCCGGTGCTTGCCGGTCCTGGAGTTGGGCATGAACAATAGAGGAAGTCAGGAGACACAGTCTTGCTGAATCCTCTACAACATGCTGGGCAGAAAGGCACTCGCCAAAGGATGCTACGTACAAGGCCACAGACAGTGGTCTGCCTGCAGATCTGCCGCATGCCACAAGCGACCAAATACTTTTTATCTTTTCTTTTTTTCTTTTTTTTTGTTTCGCTCTTGTCACCCAGGCTGGAGTGCAGTGGCACGATCTCGGCTCACTGCAACCTCTGCCTCTGGGTATAAGTGATTCTCCTACCTCAGCCTCTCAAGTAGCTGAGATTACAGGTGTCCACCACCACACCCAGCTAATATTTATATTTGTAGTAGAGACAGCATTTCACCACGTTGGCCAGGCTGGTCTGGAACTCCTGACCTCAAGTGATCCACCCACCTCAGCCTCCCAGAGTGTTGGGACTACAGGCGTGAGCCATCGCGCCGTCTTTTCTTTTTTTCTTTTAAAGAAAATCTCATCTGGATTCTTTCTGTTAAAGAACTAAACCCAACTCCAATAACGCCTTTACTATCTGCCTATTTGCAGTTATACTCAACTTGCACAAAATTTGTATGCCATATACAAATATACACACATTCTCTTTACACTATATGCACATGAATGGAAATCTGCTGTACTAATATTGTCTTTTAATGTGTATGTTTAATGTGCTGTTTCGATTATAAGCATATCAAAAGCTGCAATTGCCTCTTTTTTTCTATTATCATTCTTCTTGGTCTGATATTGATTATAGGCTTGGTACATTTTGTTGTAAGACCAGTTGGTACTTCAGCTCGACAATGGCCAGTTATAATTGATAACTGAGAAAAAGTTGTTGGAAGCGAAAACAGACCAAGAACCACACAGATTGTTCCCGCATACTCTTAAGGCTACTTGGTATTTAAATAGGAAAAGCTGTGATTATACATTTTTTGATATGCCCATAGACTTGTACGTGTATCTCCTGAGATGCAGATTAAATTTTGAGAAAATGTTTTGAGCAATAATTTAATACAGCGCTGTGGTAGTCTTATTGTAAAACCACAGGGCTTAGTGGAAATTTTTGTCGTATCACCATAGATACCAAAATCTAATTTGATTACTCTTGTGAATAGTTGCTAACTATAATCTGATATTGACTGTTACTTTTCATCGGCTGGAAGTAGTCTGCTAATTGAGCTGGAGGCAAGCCAGGGAAATCTTTCAAAGGAGTAGTTTTATATACAGCAGTTTTAATAAGCAATTCAATGAAACCTTTTATAAAAACAACAAAGGCAAGAAGGGTCTGGACGCTCTGAGCGTGCTTGACACATCTATGACTGAACGCAGGACAATGCCGGATCATGTCGGTCCCTCAGACCTGGCTCGGCAAGGTTAAATAAGAAGAGCTTAATTTATTCAGCAACCGTGAGTATCCTTATTTGCTTAACAACTCTGTCAAAAGCAACCCTCTATGTCCCTGGAGTTGAATAAATGAGCAAGGTGCCTCTTGCGTCATCAAATTATGCACGTCTATAGTACTGTGAGGAGGGCAGTTTGCTGCTTGATTTTTCAATCACAATTAAAGTAATATCAGATACCTTTACTGGGAAGAGAGTTTTTTCAAAGAGGCAGCCATATCTTTGCCTGTTATCACCTAGGAGCTCCCAAAACACAGTGAATGTTGTTTTTTTTTTTCTTTTTCTTGAGGGAAGACAAATTCCATAGGGCAAATTGTTAGACCAGTTATTTGTGCTTGTTTAGTTTAACAAGTCTCTGCTCCTGGCCATGTGGTGGGGTGTGCTATATTTGTTGAGCTTTTCCTACGTGCCATACACTACTAAACTCTTTACATCCCTTCTATAATTTCATCCTTATAACATACACTATCATCTCCTACTTTTGTTATGAAGAGACTCAATTTCAGAAAATTTAATAACTGGCCCAAATATACACAGTTAATATCAGGCTGTACGTCCTGGTCTTTAGTCATTTTAACTGTACTGCCTCCCACCAGGGCTTGATCATTAGATGGGAGGTGAGTATGACACTATTTACAGGAAAAAGGTGTAAAAGTGCTGTTTCATTGGGCTGAAGTGATTGGTGTACCACTTCTACTTGGGCCATTGAATTTAAATGAATTAACATTTATTTGTCTATATGGTTGCGTGTAATGGAGATGCCCTATGGAAAGCACTTGACAGGTATTAGGTGCTAGTAAGTAGTCGTTTTTGTCATTGGAATTGCTTTTCAGTATGTTTGGCATGATTTTGCCTAGTCCTGTGTTTCTCAAAGTTACTGTGCTTTTCGGTCCCCCAAGAATCTTGTTAAAATGCAGATTCTGCAAGTCCAGAGCAGAGCCTGAGAGTCTGTAGTTCTAAACTGTTCTGAGCCAATGTAGTGCTGGTGGCCCCAGGATCACTTTTTGAGTAGCAAGGGCTTTGTCTTTGAGTGCAGCAATGAATTTCCCATGAGATGGTGTGTAGTTTTTAACTGAGATACAGCAAAATCACCAGCCCAGAGCAGACGTTTGTCCCTGGTCTCAGTAAAAAAGTGAAGAGCCAGTTGAACTAACTAGGAATTAGGCATTTTAATAGAAATGAGAAGAAGCTGGGGAGGGAATAGAAATGAAAGGAATGCTCCAAGTCAAGGAAATACATCTTCCTAGGAAACACGAAAGTAGTTGGAAAAAGTTGCTCTGAAGTGTGAACAGGTTATCATGGAAAGATCTTGGTAGGAAACCTCCAAAGACAAACTGTCTCAATCCCACATTGCTTTCATCATCAAGGCCCCTACTAATGAGGCAATTAAGGTTGCTAGGATACAGACTTTAAGGAGGCGCCCACTCTCAGGGCCCATCCTCTGTTTGCACCACCCTGAGAGTTAGTGCTTCATTAAATTTTGAGCCCTAGAGACTTTATTCTCCTCACCCCTGTTCTATCTATCTAACATTGTCAAACTGGAAGTGATCTTAGTAATCACCGTATTCAGCCCTCTATTTTATAGATACAGAAACTGGGCTCCAGGTTAAATGACTTGTTCAATGTAAGTAAGAGTGAAATCATATTTAATGGATTCCAAGATGCACATTTCTCACTGACAGTTGAACTGACATCAGGATTGTCTTATCATTGATGGCTTTTGACTTTAGTGTCATAGTTTGATTGGCAGTGTTTCACCTTTCTTCGTGGTATAAAAATAATGATGGTGCATCTTACCGTGGATGGGTTCTTATGTACCATGAAACACAGTATTAGAGAGTCAGGTCCTCTGCCTCCTGATTCGGTGCTCCTCTGCTGCACACTTGGTGACAAGGTTATCCTGATGTCTGCATGGTTACTTTGGTGATTTTAGAGACAGCTTAGCATTGTGGCTGAGAGCATGGGATGTAGAACCAGACTTCCCTCCCACATACCAGCCATCTAACTTCTGCCCAAGCAGCTTACTTCTCTGTAATCAAAGGTGGCAAAAGTGTTAACTACCCAGTAGTGTCCTTGTGAGAATGAAATGAATTAATCCACACAAATCAGTTGGAACAGTTGCTGACACATAGTAAGCACTCAATAAACATACTGTTGTTGTTGATGACAGTCTCACTGACCAAGTCACCCTGGACCCCCGATGGTGTCTGTACAATAACTTGAACCAAATAGGTATTCCTCTATGCATGCTATATGAATGTAACTGTATTGAGAGTCCTGTTAAACCCTGGACAAGATTTCTGAGTATCAGCATATTTCACTTCTTATGCTTACTACCAAGGGAAACCATAGCATTTCCACCCATAAAGGGTGTTAAAAGCATAAATTGACAAAGATTTGTCTTGACTGATACAGATGTTGGCCTGTCTGCAAACAGCTGTACCAGGTGAAATCCATGACAGTTCTGTAATCTTCTGTTAAGTGAGACCCGTTATTGTTTTAGTACTAATTCCACAATGGCCAGGGAGTTCTGACTAGATTGCAGTTATTATGAGCCTTGCTCAGATGAGACATGGTTGGCCACTGTGCCTTCCTTTACCCTGCCTCCAGCTCTGCAGTTATCATTCGTATTAGCCCCCTTGTGTGATTGCCTAATACAGTTGTCTTGAAAAGTGATGGATATAGACAACATGATTGTTCTTCACACTTATTCTCAAACTTTTCTCCTTATTTTTTCTTTCTCCTCTTGTGATCGCTGTGTTTAACTAGGTGATTGGGGAATCTGGGTTAAGCCTCTCCTAAATCTCTTCCCTTCACCAGGCAGGATACAGTTTCTCCTCCTGAACCCCCAGGGGACTCTGCAGCTGTCTTCTACCATTTACCACAGGCTTCGGTTTATGTGTTTACTTGTTTTGTCTGCTGCTCTGCTGCTTGGTTATGAGGACCCTTAAAGAAGGGATCTTGGCTCACTCTTTATCATCCTGCAGCAGCTGACATAGTACTTTACGGTTCTTAGTAGACATTCACTGAATGGATACCTTTTGGGTTTCTGAGTAGATCTGGGATAGATTTATTTCACCCAGTTCATATATATTCTATAAATAGATAATAGCTCATCTGGGGTTATGCCAACCTCCCTAATTATCTGCCTTATAAAAGCAGGGCAAGTTATTCTCCCACAACATAGCAAATTTTATCCAACTTCCATAAGCCGCATTACACATTAATAATAGCAGTAATGCTATACCTTGGTAGATGATAATAGATGACTTCAGACCAATTTGCTTCTAACACCCAGATTCCATACAATGAACCTCACGTTGTACTGATGCTCAGTTGTCAGGGAGAAAATCTGTTCTGTTGGTGGTGAGAGTTTCAAGGGGCTGAGCCTTGGAAGGCAAGTTGAAGGAGGCACTTACTTTCTGTGATGTAGCTGTGAACAAGAAGGTGCAGGCTATGCAGGGCTCCTGGCCCCAGGGAGTCTAGCAGATCTCATGAATGGGATTTTGGTCTTCCAGAACTGACAAAGTAGGGAATGCTTTTGGTGAACATTTTTTGGTGAATGCTCTAAAAGACCCCTCAGACTCCCTGCCAATCTTCAGGTAACATTTACTAAGTTTGCAACGAATCTGTCTTCTTAAATACACTTTTCATTGATCGGTGGACATATATTGGGAAGGGCAGAGCAATCTGATATTGAAGATTAAACAGCTATATCTATTTGAAAGGACTCTACAGTTCAGATGCTCAGGGATGTGTCTTGCTTCGAAGTTCTTGTAAACATTCTTAAGGAAGGTAGGTGTTAAAAGTTCATTCATTACTGAGGCATTTCACTGTCTCTTATTTATGTCTTTCACCTCTAAAAGTGTCAGCCACACATTTTGGTTTGCCATGTTACTTTGCACCAGTTTAAGGTGAAAAAGGCTATTCCTAACTCAGAGAGTTGGGAAGAAGCGTGAACAGAGGATTGGATTAGGAAACTTAGACAAATTTCCAGCTTCTGGCAGAGTCTTTATTTGGCAACTTAAAAAAAAATAATACTTGCAGTGTTAAAAATTATCAGGATATAAATCATAATCTCAATACAAGATAAGAAAAATAACAGGTTTTATTTTTGATTATCTGAATAACTTCTCTTCAGTTTTCATGAGTACTTATAAGTTGATTGTACTTAAATCCCCTTTGTAACAATGCAAGGTAAGTAAATAATTAAAACATGGCAACTGTGCAGATTAGTTCAAGCCTACAGATATATTTTTCGACTGAGGCTTTAGAATCAATTTTTCTAAGGCTTAGACAAATGCAAATTTTAACCAGAGAGAAAGCACATAGTTATATTCTAGTTATTCTTTCGTGAGGTGGTCTTTCTTTGCAAACAGATAAACTAAATGTATAGTTGGTAATGCATATGAGAATCACAGAGAATCATTTTTCACAGGCCGGAGGACTTTTCTTTGTATTCCTTTGCAATGACAGCTGGGGGCAGGTCATGAATGTATCTCCTATTTCCCTGTCTTCCCATCTTACCTCACTATGCTTACAGCATTCATGTTATGGGCTAAAAATGGAAGGAATAAAAAGCAAAAGAGCCTAAAGTACGATCCACAGATGACCTCAGCTGACTTTGTTTTTTGTTTGTTGTTTTGCTTTTTTGTTCAAAGTGAACTTTTACGTTCATAATTCTCTAGCTTCTCAACTCATAGTTGCTACAGATCTTCAGCAGTTTGCCATTCAGTCTCATTTTGTCTGTTCCTTTCTGAAGTTGTCCACACCTTAGTGACCCCAGAAAAACCCTTCCTGATGGCATGCAGCTAACTTAAGGGTGTCAAACTTCCTATTGATAGGAGCTGTTGAACTTGACAGCCTCGATAGAGGGTGAGTATGAGGCATGAATAACTCAATTTGTTCTTCTTGATCACTTAGGGGGCTTCATAGCATAGTTCTCTCTATTAGCATCATAAAATAAATTTGCATGAAAATGTCTGTGCATTGCTCTTTTGGCCTTTTCAGAGAAAGCAGATTTACTCCTGCTTTAAGGAGCTCAGTCTCTACTTTCATTTGACTTGAGGCATTATAGAGGTCAGAGGACATGGTCTATCCTTAGCGGCTAAGATCGCAAGGCATTCTGCATGACTGTAGCTGGCAGGGTAGCATTTCAGGCCAGTGCAGTGTTCTTTTCAGGTGTCATAGTGATTGCCTTCCAAAGCATTTGAAAAGAAAAGTTAACATTAACCACCATAACAAGTGGTAGCGTCATTCTAATGTTGAGATCGTTATTTCAACAAAACAAATGGTTCTGGAGTGATACTATATGCTGAAGAATCAAAGTTTAACGTTAGTCTTGAGTTTATTTGATTTTGAAGTTGCTTCATCAGAAATGAATAAATAGACTTAAAGAGAGAAATACCACAAGCTTTAAACATAAACACTAAGTAGATTGACATCTTGTCTCTAACTTCAAATCACAGTAAAATCAGCAATTCACAAAGGAATTATATATATTCCTCAGCCATTGGTAGGTGGATTAGAAGATGGTAATTCGGGCTAATGCAAGCTAATCAATAGAATTTTACTATCCTTAGAAGACACTCCAATGGCCATTCTGTTGTAGTCATTATAAGAAACAATCATTTACCCAGTAGGCTTTATTCTGAGTAGAAGCTGAAACCACATGGTGGGATTAGCTTGATCAGTCCAAACTGACTGACCATGTATCCCCGCTGCCCCTGCCCCACTCAACCATTTGATATGGCATAGCGATCTCACTGATCATTGGGTAAAACACTAGTACCTAGCTAACAAATTCATGTGCAGCTTGCAAAGCTAAACTTTATGGGCCTGTCTTCTGATGTTCTTATTTGGGCAGTGATATGATGCGAGTAACAAAAGATGGACTTTTATAGGCTACAGGTGTATGTAGGAAATTTGTCATATTTCTCTCACTCCTTTTTTTCTAGGTTGCTTTTAAATGTATCATTAGCATCTCTATATATTAATGAGTTACTTTTTGAAATCCAGTTCCTAATAACACCATTTTTCATAAGTAGATTATATCTTTAGTGACTTGTTTTGCTGGAGTTTAATGGCAGTGTTGAAGGATATTATTTATTTTTTGATTTGGGCTAAGATAGCTATAATTGGCAACAGTATGCGTTAAAAATGTAAAATTAGCAAAGCAGTTGAGAAATCTAAATGTACCAGATCTATGCATTTCATTAAACTCTACATCTGGCTCAAAAATTATAAGGCAGCCGGGCGCGGTGGCTCACGCCTGTAATCCCAACACTTTAGGAGGCCGAGGTGGGCAGATCACAAGGTCAAAAGTTTGAGACCAGCCCGGCCAACATGGTGAAACCCTGTCTCTACTAAAAATACAAAAATTAGCTGGGTGTGGTGGCTAGCTCCTGTAGTCCCAGCTACTCGGGAGGCTGAGGCAGGAGAATTGCTTGAACCCAGGAGACGGAGGTTGCCGAGATCGCGCCACTGCACTCCAGCCTGGGTGACAGAGCAAGACTCCATCTCAAATAATAATAATAACAATAATAATAAGTCTTTGGATCTTTCCCTTGAAACTAAAAAATAGAGTGGGTTTAGTTTTTTTTTTTAATCAGAGCATAAAAGCTATTAATTAAGTTTACGTTTACTAAATTGAACAACTGTGGTTAAGACAGTGTTAGGCTTAGAATTTTCTTTTCTTTATCGAGGTCTTGTTATGTTGCCCAAGCTGGATTCAAACTCCTGGGCTCAAGGGATCCACCCACCTCCACCTCCCAAGTAGCTGAAACTACAAGCACACAGCACCGTGCCTGGCTATGCTTAGAATTTTCTCTCTTTCCTGACTTTAGGGTGGAATATAATTCAGCAGGATGCAGAATAAATGTATTGCAAGAGTTTGGAAAAGTTAAGATAGCTGTGTGTTGGAGAAAAAGAACAGAATGTTTTACAAAAAAAGCAACCGGGGAGGCATTTTGGAAAGGGAGAAGATGAAGATACATAATAATGCTAATCATAACATGAAGAAAGTATATTTTTCCCAAGAAAGATTATAATGCTTGTTGTTTTGATGAAACAAACCAAAGAAGTACAACCAAGGATTCAGATCCACTTTTCCTCCCAAAAGTAATTGGAAAGGTTCTTGTCTATAAGATTCTATTCTATTACAGGAGAAAGAAATTTTTCAGTATATTCAACTTAATATTATGCAGAGTGAAATACATAGATTGACGAAAAGAGTATCCTCAAAATTTGTAGGATTTTGTGTGCATTCAATAATTGGAGGTTTTCCAGCTATTCGTAGATTGTGGTATTTCCAATTCTTTTTGTTTCATAATCTCAACTAGTAATTATGAGAAAATAATTTTTAACTGTCCTCTCTGACCTAATTAGTATTACATTGTGCTGTGGACTACTAGGTGATAAGTTTGAAGTCTCTGACAGGAAAAAACTGTTGGTTGTTTGTTTCAGGTAACATTCATGATGACTTTGTCTTGCATGAATTATTACTTAGAGTATTACTGACCCATATTAATGGGATCAAGACAAATACATCTTCTGTAAGGGAGAAGTTTTGCATCACTGAACAATAAAGCAGGACAGCATAGTTTATGGAAAAGAAGATTTAGAACTACATAGCGCATTATTTCACTTTCTGCGACATAATTTGTAGTGAAATGCAATGAATGAACTCTTGAACTTGTAGGGGATATATGCAACATTAAGGCCAAAGAAGTAATGATATTTTCCTCCATAGATGCAATGCCTAATGTCACAATGCCACCGCATCACCACATCAGCTGAAAAAACATTTGGGGAAAGTCAGGTCTGCATGTCTGACTTGTGAATTACATTAACTAAGCCTAAACCTAATAGCCCAAGTATGCTAGAGGGAAAGGATAAAAGGGAGACTTAAAATTGCTTTGAATTAAAATTGGGAAAAAATGAGAACGTTTGTAGAAACTTAAATTATCCCAAAAACATGTCTACCAAAAAGTAGCACTTCTAGGCATAGTTTGATATCTATTTCATCATGACTGTCATTTGTTTGTTCAGCAAATGCTTACTAGCACCTACTGTGAGTCAGCTATTGTGTTAGGCACTTGGGATATGGCAGTAAAAGGTATGGGAAAGAGTCATTCTCTTGAGCTCACATCCTAGTAGAAGTTTTGAACAATAGACAGTAAACATAATAAATGAGCAAATGCTATAGTATGTTAGAAAGTGGTAATAGGGAAAAGAAAGTATAGAACAGAATAATAGTGACTTGGAGTATGTGTGGGATGAGCTAGTGTGTGGGCAGTTGTCACAAGTTTGATTTCCTAGAAGATCCAATCCATATCATGGCATCTCTCCCCCGCCACACACACTTTGTAGAATAAATCTATTTTAAGATATAAGCCAACTGCTTCTCAAAAAGGTTAAGTAACTTGCCCTAGATCAAGCATCTGGTAAGAGAGAAATCTGTTTACCCTAAAATATTTTTATCATACCCTGCTGCCTCCCAGCTCAGTGGCTCCCTGCTCCCCTGTTTCTGCTGCTTTCTGCCAGGGATATCTTTGGCTCAAAGGGTTATCTCAGGATGGTATGCTGCAGATGTTTTATCGGACACTTGCTTTTTCTAGGCCACTCAGGGTTCTAGTGCCAGACGTAGTTCACTGCTATTGTTATATCCTTGGAAATAGCAGCTTATAATAACTGGAAATTAGACATGCATGAGAGGGTAAGAAGGCTAGGATCGAAATGTTAAGATGTAGAAAGTAGGTTAGAGGCCAGAGCTGTATAATAGGTGAAGGGAGATAATTACTTAACAAGAAAATTGTGTCCAGGGTTGATGCTGAGGACAGTAAATAAGGCATGACTCATAAAGGAAGCAAAATCACATGAAGAGTTAGTGCTGCTGGTTCTTAAAACTCACATGCAGTATCTCATTCAGTCCTTGGGGCCTGGAAAGTAGGGCTTATAGCCCCACTTCATGGATAGCTAAACTTAAGAATGGAAAAAATTAGGTGGCTTGCCTAATAGTCGTGAAGGCGGATGAGAATTCAAATGTAAGTTCTCTGGTTGCAAAGCCTCTTTCTTTCTACTACACCAGAGAGTAAGATTAGAAGAGAAAGAAACAGAGGCAAAAGGAACAAATACATCAATGTCTGCCCTTTGGTGTCCTCCACCAATTCTTTCTTAAGTAAAGATTGAGTTCTACTCGAGTTCTGATTTAAGAAATATTGATAGAGAGGCAGCAAGATTTATTTCCACCCCATCCACCAGTTTTCTGGGACAGCCTTCCTCTCGGTGGAAACTAACTCACAATTCTCATATTGTCTTTACAGCAACTTCTAGAGCTGCAGCTTTTAGCTTGCTGTGGACAAGAATAGCTAGCTTTTATTAAGCACTTACTCTCTGCCAGACAGTGTTCTAAATTTAATTCAATTAAACTTCATAATGTGCCTATGAATTAGGGTCTGGTATTTTCTACATTTTACATATGAGCAAATTGAGGTATAGAGAAAGGATCTTTCCTGAGATTTCACAAGTAAAAGGAGGACCTGTGTTTTAACCACAATGCTATGCTCCCTCTCAACTGAAAGATGAGTAGCTACCATAAACTAATAGTTGCCAGTGCTTTGCCGGTAATTGAATCATTGCAACAACTCTGGAGGCAGGTCCTTTTATTATGATGATTTTATTTTACAGGTGGGGAAACTGAGTCACAGGGAGGTTAAATTATTTGCCCCTAGTTACACAGCTACCAAGTAGTGGAATTGGGATTCAAATCCCAGCAGAACTGAGCCAGTTCTTGATAAAATTGCAATTATATGAAAGTCTATTATTGGTCTTTAAATTCTTAAGATGTTAGTGAACTTGGAAGGTGAAGGGAATCTGATCATCTTTTTTCCATCCTGCTTGCTTATTAATTGAGGGCTACAGAATCAAGATTGTATGGACTAGGTGTAGAACTGCTTTTTTATCTCAGGCAAATAAGTAATTACACTCACTTGTGGAAGAAAGGAGTGAGATTATATGGCATCTCTTGTAACTGTCACTAAAGAATACCTCTGTGTTTAGCATCAGGAACCAGCACTGTCCCACAATTGCTCCTTCACAGCAGTGGTTCCCAAAGTAGGCACCCACAAAATACTAGCATTAAATGCTGAATATGAAAATACTAAATGCTAAAAGAAAATAATGGTAGGCCTAACTTGCAGAAAACAATTATGCAGATAGAATTTTCTTCATTGAGTATTTCTTTCTCATGAATTCTTGAATCTTTGGAGCCTGGCTTGTCAGCGAGTGACAATATAAATGAAGAACAAACACCGAGCATTAGAAATTGCCTGCTCTGCTCCAGCTATATTTTGGGAGTATCCAAGAGTGCAGTTTCCTATTACATTCATAACATGGATCATCATCTTTGGGGGTTCCTCTAGGAGCACCCTAGCTCCCAGATGGAGGCCGTAAGGTCAAGCAGCCAGCATGGAGCAGGACATTTGATGGAAAATGGGTCACACAATCTACATGGCTTTTCTTTCTGGCATCTGGTTTAGTATAGACAAGGCCCACTCAAGGAAAGCTTGTTTCAAAGAAAAACGCTCAAGTAGGCGTTCAGAGAAGCTTTGCTGTTGCATTGCACCAATTGGAATGGGAGACTTTTTTTTTCATTTTATTCTCAAACGTAGTTCACATCCTGGTCTTCCTCCTTCCTCCGGCCCCACAACTCTCATTCAGCTGTGTTGTGAAGGTTCCACAACCCCTTTAAGGTTTATGGTCTTATGAAGCACAGCTGGATAGAGGTTCTTTATTCTTAAGCCTTTGGAAGGCTTCCCTTTGAAAGTTTACGAACGCCCCATCTCTTTTCTCTAGGTAGGAACATTAGGAGCAGATTTAGTGGAAGTGAGGCATGCTCAGTATCTACCAACACAATCAGGTACATGGAAGTCATTCCATTTCTGACTGCAGGGATTGTTTCCCATTCTTTTACTTAAAAGCAAGTAAGCAGATGGATTGGAGCAAATAACAATAGTCAAGGTCCTCTGCAGACTGGTGGAAGCACTCAGGAATGGCCTCCCATCCCTGTGGGCCATGAAGTCATTACATTCTCCTGATGTTCTGCCTTCGCTCTGTGGTCTTCCAGACCAGTTGGAAGCTGCAGTGTGCTGTGCTTCTCTGCAGGAGCTCCCCTTCAACTCCCACCCCTGAACAAACACACCTGCAAGCTGCTTTAGTGGCTGTTCCATCTGTGGCTTTAAGGATAGATAAAACAATCAATAGCAGATAAGTGGTATCATGCTGCTTCAAATACAGAGGGAAACATAGGGTCCCCTTTAGACAGTTAAGACGGCAGCTGCAAAAATGAACAGCAATGACTTGGGGGAGGGACCAATCTGACATCTGTTGACCATTTGGCCAGTAGGTAGTGGTGAACCAAAGAGGTAACTTAAACAAGTTCAGAATCCAAGAAAAAAAGGTTGAATTGATTTGGATATCAGAATAGGGGAAAACATTCTATCGTTTGGCACCATTTTGATCAGAGTTAGACGATAGACATCAGGCTGATTTGTCAGAATCACTGTAGAGATGATGGGTTTTGTGTTTTTGAATAGGCAGCTTTGGGGTGCTTTGTACACCTTCACATAGCTGGCCATTTCACCTTCAGAGATTGAACTACATTGTTCCCTTAGTCTTCCTCATTGTCATAGAACAGAGAAGTTTTTCATTTGCTGTGCTTGTGAAACCTTAAGGCTTTTCCATTGCTCTTCCACCCTCAATCCTGCATTTCTCACTCCTCCTCTGGCAAAAGGCTTATTGAGGCCCATGTCTGGGTGTCATTCCATGTTTCACAAGCACTTAGGGCTTGTAATTCGCTGCTGTGGCCCCACACTCTTGTTAACTGCCCCCTGTCTGGGGTCTATTTTTCAGGCCAAGGCTCTACCAGTCCATGCTAATGAGCCAGCGGCAGATAGGTCAGCAAGGGCATCTGGGCTATCTGAATTGGAATTAAGGGAGAACAGATTTGTTGTTGTTGTTGACTGTCAAACAACTCTGTTAGCTGTGGCCTAAGTCTTTTCTAAGTCACATTGACAAGAACGAAAAATGTCGAAAGGAAAATCTTTAATATTAAATCATATTTATTTCATATGCAAACAGCCATAGGTGTATTTTTATATGAGGGCTTTTATAAATAGGGAAAATAGTATCGGGTTTTGAATGATTAATTATTTTATATTTCTCTTATTCAAGCTTCTAGACCGCTTACAGAAAATGAGACCTTCGAGTTCTTGCAGTTAAGATTTCCTCATAACCTTGAGCACTGAAAGAAACTAAATCTTGATATTTCATGGAGTTTTTATCAAAACTCAATAATTTTGTAAAGAGAATATGATTGAAGAGCGGCAGTATAGCTGATCCATCATAAATTAACATTAACTAAGTACTCATGAGGGATTTGTGCTGTGTCTTTAATTCCTTCCAAAACAAATGACGACATTCTCAGCTTTGCATTGTCCTCTGATATAGCACTGACCTTGCTGTAATAGAATGCGTGTGTGTGTGTGTGTATATGTATGTGCTTATCTAACTCATAGACTGAGCATCTAAGATGAGTTTACCCAGCTTTCAGCACAGTGGTCGATAATCAGTGGTTAATCAGTGCTGAGCAAATGAATAGCTACACAGTCCAGCAATTGCTTGGATGTGGTTCTTTTAACGCAGGCAGCCCATATTCAGGCCAACTCTGTGAAAAGGCACTGGCTCCTCCCAGGGGTCCTGAAACATACTAGGGAAGCCATGGGGGGACCACACCGAGCTAAGACTCGCCAAATCCCTTCTCCAGAAACTGGAAACCATTCAATTAATAGCAATAGCTGACGTTTTCTGAGTTCTCATTTCATTTTATCCTTACAACAATCTTACAAGGCAGATTTTATTAATCCCATTTTACAGATGAAGAAACTGGGTCTTAAGGAGGCTAAATTTAAGTTGGGAGCCAGTTGGATTAGCCTTGTGCTTTAGCCCCAGACATTCTGGGTTCACAGCCTGTGCCTCACCTCCTACCGACTGTGTGACCTTGAGCAAATTCCTGTCATCTGCCAGTGCCTCAGTTTCTGTTTCTGTAGAATGAATAATAATAGCTGTTTTTAAAAATCTGCTGCAAGGATTAAATAAAATGACGTAAATGGAATATCTAGTATAATGTCTGAGACAGGGTAAACATTTAGTGTTTTTATTATAATTAATTATTGCTATTAGGCCCACAGGAATTCAGACACAGACCTGTCAGGCTCTGAAGGAGGTCTGTAAGCAAGACTTGGCAAGGTCAGGTCTGACTTCAGGAAGTGCACTGGGGTCACAGAGCAAAGGATGGCCTGGCTTGGGATAGCTATTGACTGTGAGAGAAGTGGGCACTTACCTAACAACTCCAGGCTGAGCTGGGTCTCCAGCAGTGGGATACCAAGTGGGGGTGGTGGAGTTGAACTTGAGATACCTTTCTGAAATAGAATTGACAAAATGTGTTATCAGTTAAAAATAGGGAATGAGAGACAGAGAAAAATTAATGACAAGGGAGCCTGAGGAAGGGAGGAGCTACCTTTAAGAAGCAGAATAAAGGAGAGAGAATTGTCAGGGTGAACGTGAGAGATGTTAATGTGTTGTTAATGTGTTTTGTATGGTAAAGGTATACACAGGGTTGTGTGTTACGTTCAGGTTAATGCGGACAGTGGGTTTGAAATGCCAACTGCAGCCCAGCTCCGAGGTCAGGGAATGCTTCTCGATGGAAATTGAACCCTGAGTATGTTTTCTAAGCACTCTGTTCATCACTTTCCTTCTCTGTAAAAATGTGGCTATTGGACAAGATCAGGTCCCTTCTAACTCTATGCTTTTTCTGGATTTTTTAACCTTTTGTTAATTATTTCAATGCAGTGGATCCCTTTTTAACTGGCATCACTGATGACAAACCCCTGAGCCTGGGGTTCAGAGCCCTCATCCCACGACTACATCTTACTTTTCATTCTCCTATCTTGTTGCCTCAGCCATCCTAATGTAGCTAACAGAGTGACTCACCATCCCCCAGATACACCCTCATGCTTTTTTTCCAGGTTCTGCTCACAATGCTGCCTCTACCTGGAGTGTCTTCCAGCTGTCTCTCCCCTGACAAGTTTGTTACACAGCAGGCACTACTCCCTGCAAGCTCCCTTCCATGCCAGACCCTGATTACCATTTGTTGAACCCCCCCTGCCCTGTGCCAATCCCATGCTTTACAAGTATCCTATCTAATGCCCTAATGGAAAGTCTTGCAAGACGGCAGACTTCTTATCTCCATTTTATGTGGGACCAAACTGAGTCTGACATGTTAAAAAGCTTGCTGAAGCCTCAGAGTTGAGATTCCATCTTGGCTCACTCTGATTCCAAATTCCAAGCCCTTTCTACTTCTTCAAGCTGCAGGCCTTGGGCCACTTGGTAAATCTTTCTTATGGCTTTTATCTAATGTTGACTTCTGCTTTAGTGGATTCAGCATAGTTTTATTGAGCATCTTCTGTATGCCAGACACCTGCACAAATGATAACTCATTTAAGGGTAGGTTTTATGTCTTACTTCTTATATTTTTCCAAGACTTAACAGAAAGATGGTACCAAGGTAGAAATTGAGTAAGTTTGTTGAGTTCAACTGAAATGAGTAGAGTCGCTCATCTAACATAGAGAGCTATCATCAAATTAGGAGTCAACAAACATACCCTCCCGTTAGCTGAATGATCTGGTTACCTGTAGGATGACTGCCAGCTTCATTGGGAACTCTGTTAAATAGATCAGTTGAAATTTATAAGAGGTGACTTGGGCTTTTTTTTTTTTTTTTTTAACTCTTTGTTCTTAAGGTTAGTAGCTGTTTTTTAGAACATACTTTAGATAATTGTTAGTGAAAGCAATTAAATGGTTCCTTAAAGGACAAGATGAATTTATGTCAAAATAAATTGACTTATCATTAATGGACATGTATTTTGACATAAATTCCTAAAATCATGGTGGGATTACTACTATCATCATCAAGATGTATTTAAGTTGAATTTGTACAAGCTTTTGTGTTAAGTGTATGAGAAAGAAAACTATAGAGAGACTTTATTTATCTCCTGTTGCAGGGGCAATGAAGCTTTCTTCATACCTAAATATTTGAGATAGCTGAAGCTTATGCTACCAAGCGCCAAGGCCTTTTATTTTAAACATAATTTATAAACATATTTCTTAGGCAAAATGTATGAGAGAAAAATTTTCTAATATTCATGCATTGTCATAAAATTCATGACGTGGAATGTGTTCAACAAACTGAGCCCACTTAGGATACTAAGTGATCTAAGTGCCAGGTGGTGATCTAAATTCCAAGGATAAGGCAATAAATGACACAGGTACTTGGTCTCATGGAACTTCATTCTAACAGGAGGAGCATGGAATCAACAAATAAGCAAACACAGTTGTCCCTCGGTATAGAGGAGATTGATTCTAGGATTACGCCCCTTATCAGGATACCAGAATACATGGATGCTCAAGTCCCTGATGTAAAATGGCAATAGTATTTGCATAAAACCTACATACATCCTCCTGTATGATTGAATCATCTCTAGATTACTTATAATACCTAAGGCAAGGTAGGTGCTTTGTAAGTAGTTGTTATACTATATTGCTTTTTATTTGTATTATTATTATTTTTTCAAATATATTTGATCCACGGTTGGTTGAATCTGTGAATGTAGAACCCATGGATATGGCAGGCAGGCTGTAAGTGAGAAAGGTAACCTCAGATATAGTGATCACAGCTAGGAAGAAACTACAACAGGATATTAGGACAGGGAATTATTTGCTTTGTACCAGGGGCAGGGGAAGAGGCCCCTTTAAGTAGAGTGGTCAGATAAGGACTCCTTGAGGAGGGACATTAAATCTGAAACTAGAAGAATGACCATCATGTGAAGAACTGGAGTAGAGCAAAGGTCCTGAGATGAGGGGAGCACAGTGCGTTCCAGTTTGAGCTAGTTTGTTGGGCCTGAAATGCTCATGAAACTTTCAAGAATATAGGTTGGGCAGGTCTATGACCATGGGAATCAGAAGCATGGGAGAATGATGGCATAGGAGTTAGGACTGGACAGTCCTCAGGTTCCTGGAGATAATTAAAACCATTGAACAGGATCATTGTTTACAAGAACTATTATGGAAGTTGCTTCCCTTCTCTGACGTATCTCTCAGTGACAGTAGTAAGTCCTGTGGGGAATTATTGTAAACATATTACAAATATTAACTCATTTAAACCTCAAAACAACCCTAGAAGGTAGGCGCTATTACTTTCCTTCCATTTTTCAGGTAAGGAAGCTGAGGCACAGAGATGTTCATTTTCCCAAGATCACGTTTATTTAGTGGTGGAGATTAGAGGCAAACCTAAGTAGTTTGGTTGAGGAGTCCATGATTTTAATTGTTATGTCCTGCAGCCTCATGCATTATCCATCAAGATGGGATAGATAAGACCTTAGAGAAATCAGAGATAAAGAATAAAGAAAACATCATGAGGAGATGGGAGGGGAGTTTAGTACAGTGATATATTCATTGTCTGCTGGGAAGTAGATAGGGTACCCATGTTTGAATTTGGTTCTCGTGAGTTTATCACTCCACGGTTGCATAACTGTTGTTCTCTCACATTCGCCATATGCTTTCCTGGACCAGTAGCTAGAATAAACTCATTGTTTATAATAACCTCTTCAACTAGCTAACAGAGGAATGTGCGTTAACAACAAACAAACCAGAAGCATGAAAGGAGCTGACAAAAATGAGCAACAGCAAAATCAAATGACCACCCAAAGCCATCTTTAGCAAAGAGGAAGAGCACTGGTTCCCCAGGCTGCTTTTGCGAAGCTTGCTTCAAGGGCTTTTTATGTATTTATTTTTATTTATTATCATTTTTGAGATGGAGTCTCTCTCTGTCACCTAGGCTGGAGTGTAGTGGTGTGATCTCAGCTCACTGCGACCTCCGCCTCCTGGGTTCAAGCAATTCTCCTGCCTCAGCCTCCCAAGTAGCTGGGACTACAGGCACATGCCACCATGCCCAGCTAATTTTTGTATTTTTAGCAGAGACGGGGTTTCACCATATTGGCCAGGCTGTTCTCAAACTCCTGACCTCGTGATCTGCCCGCCTCGGCCTCCCAGTTGCTGGGATTATAGGTGTGAACCACCGCTCCCAGCCCCAGGGCTTTTTATTTTTAAGAGGACACAAAGGCTGTTTGAAGTCCTGGTCATGGAAAAATCCCACCTTCTTTTCAACCAGAGCCTAGCACCCTAAATTTTGCCTATTGTACTTGGTAGAAGACACCAGTACTGCCCTCTCCTGTTATTTTCATCTCTTAACTCATCCTGGGGTTTGTTGTTGAGACAGAAGAGTTACTTGGTCCCCTTCACAGAACTTAGGACAGGGGTGTGGCTTGCTTACAAGGGGTGTGGTTCAAACCCCTTGTGGAAGGGGAGCACACAAGCAAGTGGGTGCCAGGGCTGGGGTGAGCACTTTTGGGCTCTGGCCCCACAGTAGCATCTAGGGTTTTGTTATTACAATTAATGCTCTTTTAGCAGTTGCTGTCTGTGGATGGCTAAGTGTTAACCAGCTCAGTAGAGGGTCAGGATGACAGCCTTTTACACCTTGCCCTGTTGGTCCCTGGGTCCTTGTCTGGCATCCAGGAAGAAGCAGGTCACGTGCACTTGAAGGATGGTGAATGCAGAGATTTTACTGAGTGATGGAGGTGGCTCTCAGTGGGATGGAGAGCTGGAAAGGGGATGGAGTGGGAAGATAATCTTCCCCTGGAGTTTGGGATAGCTGAACTCCTTTCCGTTCAGCTGCCTCTTTGACATTCAATTGTTTCTGTCTTCTCTCCTTCTCTGCCACACCACTCTGCTCCTCTGCCAGTGGAGTTTGGGGTTTTTATGGGTAGAAGATGTGGGGGGGTGGGTGGCACGTGGCAGGCCAGGGTGGTTTTGGAAAAAGCAACATTCAGGCAGGAAAACAGGGATGTGAAGTTCTCATTTATGGCCGCGGGCCCAGGCTTGTGAGTGGGGCTTTTGCGAAGGAACTGCCCTCTTCTGCCCAATATTTCTCTGCCTCCTGTCAGTATCACTGTGGCCACTCTGTGATGGCTTCTGTAGAATGTCTCTAGATGACCCTTTCTGGTCCTTTACACAACTCTGAGTTTGCAAAGGAGAAAGTGTCAAAAGAAGGACTTCCTCCTGTTCTGCTCAGTTCTCCTTGTCCCCAGAAGGAGCCTGGTTGTATTCAAATTAGGAGATTCCAGTTTATGTTATGCCTGGAGGAGTAGCACTGCCCTTTCTTGGGAGAGTTAAGGAAGTTTCCCTGGTTTGCCTTTGACCTGGAAATCCCTCATTGTGATTGCTGTCACTCTGCCTTGGTGTACTCACTTACTTTCAGTGTATTCTTTGGTGACCACCTAGAGTTCCTATGGCCTCCACTATTGTGGCAGTGCCAGGAAATTTTAATAATTATTAAAACCTTTAAAGTGAAATGTGAAAGAGGCTGCAAATTCTTCTGTCACAGCTTCAATTCCCCTGTTAGTTGTTAGCACCGCTGAGCGTGTGACCTTGTTTTTAATAGCATGGTTATTTTCCTTTGTTACTTTCATACTCTATTTCTTTCCATATTTAACTTTGCTCTTCTATGATCTGTTCTAAATTATGGTTGCATTGTGTATTGTGTATTGCTCCTTAATTATAAATCCTGGTGTCACACTTTCTCCTGTTTTTCCCCCATTTGCTTTCTGATTATCTAATTTCTCCTCTTTGACTGGATTTATGCTCATTGAATGAACCATTTATTTTCTACTATCTCTTTATGTATCAAAGAAGTAAGATTCTTCAGAAAATGTGATCAAAACTTTAGGAATAATTTTATTAAGTAAGAATAGTTAACACCTGCAGTGTTTACATGGTGCTAGACTCTTTAATAACTCATTTAATCCAAACAGTCAGGCTTTGCAATCATCTTCTCCATTGGGAAACTGAGGCCCAGAAAGTTATATAACTTAACAAATTTGGCCTTGCTATTTCCCAAGATGTGCTTCCCCAATGATGTGTATTATTTTATGACATAAATAAGTTGATTTTCAAACATGGTATTTCTTCTTTGTTTGCATACATTAGGCTATTTACATGATGTTCTGTTAGTTTTTTCTACAAATTGATTAAGAATACTGTTATGTTTGTTTTTATTTTCCCCTAAGTATGGGTTAATACCTGATTAACAAAATGAAAGAAAATGTGATTGTTTACTAATTCTGCAAACTCATTATTTGTTCAGAAGATTGTAATAAACTCTACCCTTGTATAATGTCGAGAATAATCATTACATTTTTTAGTCATCTGAAAAAGTTCTTTAGGATTATTATTTCATCCATATTTAAGTTTTCAGGAGGATTTTTTAATGAAATATAAGTTGTAAATGTGTTAAGGATTGTCTTACAGAAAAAAATGGAGGTTATAATCCACAGGAGGACACACCTGTGCACAAATGCTTTCACACACTATGCACATGTACTAGAAGCATGGTTGAACTATTACAGCTACAAAGGCAGTTGACCATTTCACTCCATAGGAAACTTGAAATCAAATTTGCTGCAGACAGTGAGGTGAGGGTTGAGTGTCTTTAATCAGTATTTTTTTCTGGCCTAAGCACTAGTCTTGCAATTCCTTTAGCTGGCATGGAGGCTATGGAGGTGACATTTATCCCAGCCATTGTCAGATTGGAAGCCACTACTGGGATTACTGGCTCTTGGGCATATTGATATGCCAGGTGGACTTCTCATAGATATCTGTACCTGTTTGCAACTTGGTATTTAATATTTACTTACTTACTTTCTTTGAATGATTAAAAAGATTAAAAAGGAACTGAAGAGTTTAAACGTGAGCAACGTAGACCATTATTCTACTATTGCACTAAAAGGAGCCATGGAAAGCTGACCATAGATTAGCAGTTCCATGGGAATGTGAAAGGGACACCTAGGATTTTTTGGAGAAACATCTTTAAGACAAGGTGAGCTTGTAAATCTTTTAATTCTCATTCCAGACTTTGGAAACAGTTAGAATCTGAGTTACTTCCTTTGTTCCCTCATAAGAACAAAAACATACTTGCTTGATTATTAGACACAAAATAAACTGGGTGACATTTAGATTATGAAATTTGGTTACAGACATGTTTCTGCGTGTTTGTGATTAGGTAGAAGGTGCAGAGCATTGCATTCTCTGGTTAAGTACAGGATAGTGTTAAGGAAACATGAGTAGATAGGGACTGGTTGATAAACACATGCAATTAATGAAACTTTGACATCATAGCACTTTGGCTGTTGTCAGTGAGCTTGCTGGCCTCTGGTTTCTGTTCATTATTTATTCTATTTCCCTAGTTGAATCATTCCTCCACCCTCACACAGGCAACATTATTAAAGCATGGATTAAAATGGAGTCCAAATTGATAAGAAGTAGTTATCCAGTGTTTCTGGATGAGTTTGTGACTTGAAAAAAGTTTCAAGCTAAATGGAGTGATTTGAAATGTAAATGGATTCCTTTTCCTTTTTGTAGATAATTGTACTAAATGCTAATTTGTGGGCAGCTAATGTGTCCTTGTGTTCACTGATAAGCTGTGTGGCTTGAAACAAATTTATAAAAGGGGACAAGTTGTTTGTCAGCAAAAACTCTCAACCCAGTCAACTCTGTATGTGTGATACTTTTTGTGCTTCTGTGAACAGGTATCCCATCTACGTTACCTGCCTCCACACGTGCAGAACTCCCCACTCACCTCCCCAGTGATAATGGGTGGGTTATCACTGGCTCTCTTTCTTTGAGATCCATTTTAAAGATTTGGGATGAAATGTCCACTTAGGATAGGCTAGACAAGGGGTCCCCAAAGTTTATCTGTGAAGGGCTTGATAACAATTCATTTTGTCTTTGCAGGCCATATGGTCTCTGCCACAGCTGCTCAACTGTGCCTTTATAGCCCTGAAGTAACCGTGGGCGATATGCAAATGAAGGGGCAGGGGTGTGTTCCAATAAACTTTCATTTAGAGGCACTAAAATTAGATTTTTATGTGATTTTCATAAATCATGAATTATTGTTCTTCTTTTGACTTTCTTCCAATAATTTAAATATTTTTTCCAATAATTTAATTTTCTTGTAGCTACAGGGCCTTACAAAAACAGGCAGTGGGCAGATTCAGCTGGGAAACCCTGGGTTGGATGCGTCGTTTCTGCTGTGAGTGTCCAAGTCCCCTTCTGATCTCTTCTCTTTTTAGCTTTCTAAACTTATCCCAGTACTGCCTCCAGGATCTTTGGGTTTTGTGGCTTTGCATGGAAGCCCTGACTAGTTTTCGTTTTGTTCTGTTTCTCCTGTTGGAGAACAGGTGAAGAGGAGGTGGGGTGGGGGGGGGGGCGGGGTGGTGGTGGCGGTGCAGGGGAAGGGAACAGGCAAAGCTTTTTTTGTTTACAGGAGTGAAGAGAAGAGTAACAGTGATTTATACTGCCCTACTACAAGGGTGAAGAGTTTAGACATATAGCATCTGAGGCTGCTTCTGAGGCTTTTTTTTTTCTATTACAAGAAATTTAGATGCAATAATTTAGTTCATGAAAAAGATCATGATGAAATATGTGTGAATGAGTATAATGCATTTGAAACTTATCTATTTGTTATTGCTTTTGTATTCCTTAAAAAAACACGCAGATCCAATTGTGAAAAGACAACCAGGATTGACTGCAGTGTTATTGGGCTCTGGCTGCCTTTCAGCTTGAAGTCCTTTCTAATGAGAGCAAAGCTGAATCGGGGGTAATCACTCGCTGTCCTCAGGCACTAGTTAGCAAACCACCTCTGGTAATTTGAACGATGCAAAACATTTTTTTGTCCTACATAGCCTTATAATTACTGATCTTTTGAACCTGTCGCTTTGGAATAAATTGGGTCTTATGCAGCTGAGTCCTGTAATATTATTTTACTTGAGGGTGAAGAAGTTAATGTATAACCTCTTTGGCTAGCACTTCAGATACTTCGAAAATGCCTTTGATATTTAATCAACATAAAAACAAAGTAAATTTTAACTGTATGTCCTTTCCTAGGAATATTTTAATCAAATAGGCTGTGACTCTTTTATTAACTTCTCTGTTTATTTGAATCCTCTCTTTTCATTTGAATGAGGTGGTGTCACAGTCGAAGGGAACATTAATAAAAACCTGATTTGCCTATTGATCTGCTTCAGGCATTAGAGAGTACATGTTGAGGTCATTTGAGAAACACGTCAAAGTTTGGCTCAAACATCTCTTTGCACTTCATGTTGGAGGAAACAGTGCTGGATTTTGGAGGCTTGTGGGTGGGATGTACAAGTTTTGCTCATCCTTGGCTATGTGCAGTTGAGGTTGGCAGGTCTGTGGGACCCCAGTAGCAGATGGAGGAAGCCCAGAGAGTTCTGCTGTGCAGCAAGACTGGCCCAGGAAGGGCATGGACCTCACCTTGCACTCCCTTATCTGGCTTGTTCATTTCTGTATCCTGCTCTATCACAATTCTTACCATTAAGACCTTTCCTTTCATTGGCATAACATAACATATTTCTTTCTTTGTCAAAGAAAGATTGTGATTTTCATAAAAAATGAGATGCTTGACATACAGCCAAGCAAAAACGTGTACACAAATTTCATAGCAGCGTTACTCACAGTAGCTGAGAAATGGAAATCAAACAAATGTTCATCAACTAATGAATGGACAAATCAAAGATATATATATTCGTACATTGAATATCATTATTCAGGCATAAAAAGGAATGAAGTACAGATATCTTGCTACATGGATAAATGTTGAAAACATTATGCTAAGTGAAAGAAGCCAGATAAAAATGACCACATAGTGTATGATTCCATTTATATGAGATGTCCATAATAGGCTACTCTACAGACAAGAAGTAATATATTAATTGTTGCCAGAAGCTAGGCAGGGAGAATAGGGAGTGGCTGCTAAGAGGTGTGTTATGGGATGATGAAAATGTTCTAAAATTAGTGGCGCTGGTTGCCCAACTCTGTGAATATATTAAAAGCCACTAATCTTTAAAAGGCTGAATCATTTGAGAGATGTGTATTCTATTTCAGTAAAGCTGTTATAAAATGATGAGTTTGAAAAATAGAAAAATTATGTTAATATCGTTTTGTCATCACCAAAAACTAATTAGTTTTTTGTATAACCAGTTACACAATTTGTGACATATATTTTAAAATAATTCATTTATTTACTTTTTATTTGACTAATTGGTATAGTAGTCAACTACCAAACAAATATTATCTGAAAAAAAACAAGTCCTGTCTTATGGATGAAATATTAAGTTTATTATTCAGCATATTGTGATTTCAGTAATTTCTAAATATTACCAGGTCTCATTTATGTGATGAGTACGTTGTGGTGGCAAAGTACTCAAATGTGAAAGAAAATATTTGGTTAGAGATCCGAATTCTTTTTTTCTATAACAACAAACATCTTAACTCAGTAAACTTCTGAGTTCGTGGCATTATGGTTCAAAATATAGCCAACACAGTTTGTGGTTTGTATACATTTTCCTTTCTGGGGAGTCTAACAGTTGATGACATAAAATGGGCAGTTTCGTGAGACATCCTACATAGGGTGGCTCTTGTATTTGCTGAAGAAGAAGATAAAAAACAGTTGAGTTGTCTCCCATCTTGATTTTCCTTTATTGTGACAGCTGAAGATAAAAAGTCCATTATATACCAAATATTATCATCTGGTATATCTGCTTCCACTAAGACAAAACAAAGATCAGGTGGCCTATAAGATTTCTTCAGCCAAAACACAAACGGACATTGTGGTTTCAGATAAACTGAACCGTGGCTCTTGGAATGGGAAGAATGCTCTCTAGGCCCACTAAGGGGGTTATTATAGGAGCAGCAGCAGTTGTTTGTGGCAGGAGAAATTATTCAGAAGATTGCTATTTCTGCAATTCTGGGATGCTCCAGCTGCATAGGTTGGAACTGATAATACCAAGTCAGTAGCCCATCTGTTTCTAAAAAAGCCCAGAGAGAAATGTAAAAATGGCAGTCAGAACAGAGGCAGTTATGTGGTGTGGACTAAGACACACAGTCAACAGTTGCTTGTGGTCTCTCCTCCTCGATTTTCTAAGTGATGGAATTGGAATCGGAATTTTATCTATTTGTTTCACACAATGATTTCTGTTACAATATTTGCAACTTTCAATTCAGTTTAGTGAATATTTAATGATGAAGATGAGGATTAAGAATAGGATTACATCTTGAAAAGAGACTGGATGGCTTCAACCATTTAAGCTCAGACCAGTAGAAGACAGAAATACTTGGGAGAGTGTGGTTATATGGTGTAGTTGAGAAAGTTTGGGTTTTAAAGTTAGAAATACTGGGGTTCTTGTTCCTGCTCTACCTCTTCCTAGCTGTGTGCTTGTAGGCAAGACACTTAACATCTCTGTATAGTCTCTGAAGGTTCTCAAGGGGTTGAAATACTAATTTTATTAGGTGATGAGAATTAAATGAAATAATATGTGCAAAGCGCCAGGCTTTTCGAGTAAGTATTCCATAAATGCTTTTGAGATTTAACATGAAGAAAGAAAAGACTACTACTGGAAATGTTATGCCCCTCGTATTATCCCTTTTCATGCTGGTGATAAAGACATACCTGAGACTGGGTACTTTATAAAGAAAAAGATTTAACGGAGTCACAGTTCTAAGTGTCTGGGGAGACCTCACAATCATGGTGGAAGGGGAAAGGCATTTCTTATGTGCTGACAGGCAAGAGAGAGAATGAGAACCAAGAGAAAGGGGTTTCCCCTTATAAAACCATCAGATCTCGTGAGACTTTCATTACCACGAGGACAGTATGGAGGAAACGGCCCCCACAATTCAATTATCTCCCACTGGGTCCCTCCCACAATATGTGGGAATTATGGGAGCTACAATTAAAGATGAGATTTGGGTGGGGACACAGCCAAACCATATTACCCCTAGTGTTGACCAAATGGCATAAATTAAGGGAGTGTAGTCCTCTGCAGTAATTCTAGGACATAACCCAGCAGAAGTCCACAAGCAAACTGCAACTTCTGTGTTATTAAACCTGCATTATCCTTTTGTCAGAGATTATTATTGTTAACTCCTAGGTCAAGTTAGAATTTCCTGGAAATTTTATGGTCATTTGGAGATAAGTTCCCCCAAGCTCCTTAGCAGTTAGAAAATGGGTTGTATTCCTTGAGTCAATTGAAGATGAATTAAACCAACGTTGCCCATAAGTCCCCAAATTTTAATATTGGACTTTAAAGATTAACTTATAGGAATTTGGCTCTGGCTTGAGGAATTTTTTTTATGGACCCTAGTGTATGCATAACTTTTAATAATACAAGCCTTAATATTTTCATCTGTAAAATGGGCTTAATTTACCTTGTGTGAGGGCGAGGTAAGCAAAGGCATGCAAAGCCACACATCAGGAAATCAGTGAATGTTAATTATCTCTGAGCAGGGTGCTGGAGTGTGCTGTATCTTTGTTCTCCTAACTTTTAAATTTTTGAAACTTTGAAAAAGACAAGAGATGCCAAATTAGAATGAATATTGTTCAAAGCTCTCTGACTTTCGGGTAATTGCTTTCCCAGATTTAGAGAGGAAGATACCTCTCCATACTTGATTTGCATATTCTTTCTTGACTAATCTCTTATGCAGATTGTTTAATTGATTAAAATGTGTAAGTTAGCTGTGATTCCTGAGAAGACTAGGGTATTGGTGTCTGGACAAAAAGTTCTTTGTTAACCTGAAAGCATATGGCAGACATATCCTTTCTTCATATGCTCATAAATCCCAATCTAAGCACTTTGTACTATCTGAAATAAGTTTCTTCTTTAACTTGATACTCAATTGCTTTTTATTTTTTTAATGGGGTAGGGTCCAGAGATGCTATGAAGTATATGATACATCCCTTGAAGGTTTTTTTTTGTTTTTTTTTTTTGAGACAGAGTCTCACCCTGTCGCCCAGGCTAGAGTGCAGTGGCGCGATCTTGGCTCACTGCAACCTCCGCCTCCCAGATTCAAGCAATTCTCCTGCCTCAGCCTCCCAAGTAGCTGGTATTTTTAGTAGAGGTGGGGTTTCACCATGTTGGCCAGCCTGGTTTCGAACTCCTGACCACCTGCCTTGGCCTCCCAAAGTGCTGGGATTACAGGCTTGGGCCACCGGGCCTGGCTCCTTGAAGTATTTTAACAAGGTTTTAAGAGGAGTGAGGAGGCCGGGTGCGGTGGCTCATGCCTGTAATCCCAGCACTTTGGGAGGCCAAGGCTGGTGGATCACCTGAGGTCAGGAGTTCGAGACCAGCCTGGCCAACATAGTGAAACCCTGTCTCTACTAAAAATACAAAAATTAACCGGGCGTGGTGGCATGCACCTGTAGTCCCAGCTACTCAGGAGGCTGAGGCATGAGAATTGCTTAAACCCGGGAGGCGGAGGTTGCAGTGAGCCAAGACAGTGCCACTGTACTCCAGCCTGGGTGACAGAGCGAGACTCTGTCTCAAAAAAAAGAAAAAAAAACAGAGGAGGGAGGAATTGTCAGGAATTGGAGATTAGAATATTGCCAAAGACATATTCCTGAGTCATGTATTCTGGCCTGTGCAGCTAGTGCTATGTGATGAGAGCAAAAATTGATGATTGTATTAAAATGGAATCAAATATTCATTTATTTCATTCTGAAAATGTATATTAATCCCCAATTTTGGACAAAGTGCTATCTAAGCTAGGCACTGGGGACAGGGAGATTACACATAAGAATTGTCCATGGGCTGTGCTTTCAAGGAACTGTTTGTTTTGTTGTTCAGAGAAGATGTATATAAATAATGAATCCAAGGTAGAAAAGAGAAAATTACTGTTTCTAGTGCAGGGAAACTGGGAAGAACTTGATGAAAAAGTGACTTTTGTGCTGCATCTTGAATGGGGAGGTGTGATCTTGAATGTGGATCTTGAATGTGGAGATGATGAGCTTTTTAGTCAAAGGGACCATCTCATGCTGTTCCGGAGGCATCAGATAGTGTGGACCTGATGTTTGGGAGATCATTCCTTGGCCCCTGAGATTTCTCAGTAATGTATGATCCGTGAACATTTTACATACATACATATATACATACATATATACATGCATACATATACAGGGAGATATACATGAATGTGTGTATATATGAATTAACTGTAATTCATATGTGGTTGTAATTTGTTTTTTGGCCAAAGTGCATGGAGCTAATAGTCGTGTTTTTAATATATGTATATATTTGGCCAAAGATGGCAGGCATATTTTTAATTCAGTTGCCATTTATTATAAAAATCCTGGATCAGTTCAGTGAATTATGAACTTGTCTCAAGGATGAGGATTAGATGTTCTATTTTAATCAAAACATTTGGGAGCTTCCCAGCAGAGACAGATAGACTTACTCACTTCCTGGCATGTATTATGGCCTTGGGAAGATAAAGGTGGATCATATTTGTTTTTTCATAAACTCATTTCACCCCAGAATCTCTGACAACTGAAAACCTGGCAGAGATGAACATCTATGATTGCTTGGCCTCTTTATGCACTGATCTTAAATGTTATGCTCTGGTTTAAATTTGGCTAGCTTTATAATTGATTATCCTCATCTCCCCTAAATTCATGCCCTATTGTGGTATGAATAAAGGTTATAGGGTTTGGGTCATTCATATAGGGGGAGAGGAGAGTTAGACAAATACAAATGTATATTTTCACTAAAGGATCGCTGGGTTCTAAATAGTAAGAAAATATTGATTAAAGTTATAAGGGTGGCTGGTGTTTACTATTAATATTCCCAAGGTAATGATTTCACTGAGAAATCATAACAAAACACTAAGAACTTTATTGTGAAGAAGCAGAAGTTTTAAATTTTCTAAAACGAAATGTCTTGAATTTAGTTTTGAGATTTAAAAGTAAGCTTGTGGCCTGGTTCCATGCCCCTGACATCACTTCCCTCTGCCTATAGAGGCAGAGAGTCCTTTCCTATTGGGATAGGTCCTTTCCTATTGGGATACCTCCCAAAGCCTCAGTAATGGTAGTACTAAGAATAGCCAAATAAATAATATACACAATTCTAGTGCTAAATTTTACCAGGTCCCAGTGACCTAATGCACATCCTCATCTAATCCCTATAATGACTTTGCGAGATGGGCACTATTTTAACCCCTAGTTTAAATATGAGGACATCGAATCTAAAAGATGATAAATAACCTGCCCAGTGTCACACAACTCATAGCACAGCTGGGAGGTTTGCCTTGCTGTAGCTGATTGTCCATTACCTTTCAAGGTTTGGGTGAAGTAATATTCCACAATTTAAATATCATACACAGCATTTGTGTGTGATATTTAAACAAAGCATTTGTTTTCATCTGTGCTTTCATGGCTTTATCTACTTCCATAATGGCCTGTCACAATTAATTAAATTTTTACCTTTGTTTTTCTAAATTGCAAAAGTAATTATGTTTGTAGTAAAAAATTAGAAAATATAGATGAGCAAGATAACAAGAATAAAGAAATCATCATGATCTATAATCCCTATTCTAGGAAAAAAAAAGTGCTAATCAAAAGAATATTTACTGTCTGATTCCGTATGTATGATGTTTGAGAATAAGCAATACTACAAGGAAAGAAAACAGATCAGCAGCGTCAGGACCTGGGGTGGGAGGTCTGGACCACAGGAGGACACACAGGAACTGTTTTAGAGTAATGGAAGCGTTCTGTATCTTGATTGTCGTGTGGTTATATGACTGTATACATTTGTTGAAACTCAGGATTGTATACAAAATAGGGAATTTTACTGTATGTAAATTATTCCTCAGTAAACGTGACTGAAAATATAAGCCGATGTTAACACCTTGTTGTGTATCCCTCCACACATTTTTCTATGAATATCCATTACAAATATGTATCACATATATATATGTCTTTAAAAGAGAGACTCTGTCTTGTAACCTATTTTTTCACTCAAAAATGTATCAAAAGCATTTCTGATCAGTAATCATTCATCTCTATCATTAAAAATGAGCATGATTATTTGAATAAACGTATTCATTATTCAAATTAGCTGTTGTCTGGATTTTCTCATCGCAGATCTTATTTTTAAGCTTTATTGGCACATGTTTACTATGCGAAAAAGAAAATCTTTCTCCCAGAACATGGTTGCTTTAACTGAAAAATAATGAAGGTGGTCGGTTGCCTAAGGTAATGTCTTTGTGAACATTCTGTCTGTTGTTAGCCTGCTAGTGATTAGGTAGCTGAAGACTCCTTTTCAGTACATTTTCTTTGACCTTGAATTAGATGTAGGGCTAAGGCAGGACCAACCTGTGTAAGTGAGCAGTCACAAGAAGTTCTTTTTACCTGATGTTAGTCTTTTGTAATCTCACTTTTAAAAACAAACTTCTCTTTCTTATGTTTTGCCAGTGGAAATATTTACCATTCGAAACTTACTCTTTGGGAGTCTAATGAATGTTATTTCCTTTAAAAGGCACAATAAATATTTTCCTTCTGACCTCTAAAAGTAGATGGCAGAAAATAAAATTGATTGTTTTCCTCATAAATTTGAATAGACATATTACCTCTGTTTCAAAAATGACATCAGCTAGATGACTTCCCAGGCTAATGACAGTTTTCCTGCCAGACAGAACACTTGATTTACCATTGTCATGAAGTCACCGTGCCACCGTGTTTCCCATTCCCATTGCATGCTTGAAGAATTGTGATACTTAAGGTTTCCTATAATGAAAAATAAGAAAAAACTGGACAGGGCTCATTGTTCACCATTATGTAGAGAAAGATCTCTCCACAGCAAACATTATGAGAGTGTCTTCATTGGTCTTGCTGAACGTGGCCAGCCTTCTCTGTTCCCCACCCTGTTAACACATTCTCTGCCTCTTCTATGTGGATTTTTTTTAAGTACATATTAGTTTCATGAAGGTCTTTCTGCCTGGAGAAGTGGAATCCCCCAACTTTTGGAAAGCCTTTTAAAGTCTCCATGAGTCCAGCCAGGTGTGGTGTCTCACACCCGTAATCCCAGCACTTTGGGAGGCCGAGACAAGTGGATCATTTGAGGTCAGGAGTTCCAGACCAGCCTGGCCAACATGGTGAAACCCCGTCTCTACTAAAAATACAAAAATTAGACAGGCATGGGGGTGTGCACCTGTAATCCCAGCTACTCAGGAGACTGAGGCAGGAGAATTGCTTGAACCCAGGAGACAGAGGTTGCAGTGAGCCGATATCGCACCACACTGCATTCCAGCCTGGGGGACAGACCAAGACTCCGTCTCAAAAAAATTAAATAAAATAAAGTCTGCATGAGTCCAATTAGCTACCGTGTTTCATATCTTTTCTGTATCTAAAATTGTTATCCTCTGACCTAGTAGAAAGGGTCTAAACCTCTGCTTTCTTTTTAGATAAACCCATAGATTATTTTGGGGGGTGGTTGTGAGGTTTTTTTGCAAATTAGATGATCAGTAAGTCCCTAGCGCCATAGACTGGGCCAGATGCACTGGGCAATGTAAAGAAATAAGCAATGTCCTGCCCTATAGGAACTTGCCATTGTTCATTTGAATTTGTTGACTTTGTTTCTCTCTGGAATTATATATAATTTCCTGTTTGCTATGATCCTTACCTTAAAATAAACCTGCAGTATTATCCCATTCACTCCTTGGAATGTTCTGATTTATGACTATTCAGCAGTTCTGTCCCATCAATAGGCTCTCAGGAATGTCCTAAATTGGCAATCTGTGGACTGGTGGGTTCCATCTAGAGCCTGATAGGGTGGAACCACTAGACAAATGGAGAGTGTCTTTTGTTGTCGTTGCTTGTTTCAGCATCCCTGGAAGGATAATTTACTTTCCAAAGCTTCATTAGCTAAATGAAACTCAAGTCTTGCCTCTTTAGTTTAAGACAGGTTCTTTTAAAAAAAAAAAAATCTTGATGTGTCTTAGATAGATATTCTCTTGGATTATCTTCCCTTTTACATGATACAGGGCTTTAAAATCAACCTTGTGTTTGACACGATCAATGGATGGAGATCCAGGAAGAGGACTGGTGCTTTAGGATTTCACTTCACATTGCTGTCCTCTGCAGAGCCTTCTCTTCCAGTTGACATGCTGAGGGACTTGGAAAGGGCTAACAATCTGCTTTTAAACTAGCGATGTATTCTGATGCCCAGTGCTTCAAGCTGTTTCCCTTTTTAGGCTTAAGTTTGCCTGGAGAGGAAAGTGGAGACCTTGAATATTAAACTCTTTTTGCCTTGTGTGATTTGATGGTGGTTTTGTGGAGAATTATTTGTCCTTAGGTGGACTCTCAGCCCAGTTTGGAATGAAGTCATCATAGCCACTTGTGCCAGGCCCCAAACAACCCATATAGCTGATCTTTTCCCCGGAGTCAGAGACACAAATAGAACTGTTTCAGAGCATTGCAGAGGGGAACTCTAGAGAGGTTTGGCCGTGGCCACTCTCCTTTCTGCTTTTAAGATGAGGTGCATTGTGCTTGGACTGACTCCACATTGGTAACCAGGAGACAAGCAGCTCTAGAAGATGTTGCTCCTAGGGCATGGGGCTTCTCTGCCTAAGAAGCCTTAGGACATTTAAGCAGCAGGAAAAGAAAGGTCTGTTTTGGCTTTATCTAGCCATGTCACTGAGTATAATGACCCCACGATTTCTTCTTCTTCACATTCATTTTGATGCCAATTCTTTTTTGCTGTGCTTGGGGATTTTTGTTTTTCCTCTTCAGGCACTTCCCAGGGTTCTGCACAAGTGTCCTCTGCAGTGGGGTGGCATCCCTGCTCCCTCTGGTGGAAGGCCTGAGCCACAGTGCTCTGAGAGCACCTCACTCACTGCAGTGAAGCAAAAAATCCTGCCTAGCCTGTGTGGCGCAGCTTTCTATTTTGCAGTCATAACCTTTTACTCAGCTAGTCAACAACAGGTATTCTGTGACTGCCCAAGGCTGGAGAATCAACAGTTCCTATCTCATGGAGCTTGTATTGTAGACATGCATCAAAATTTTGTATCTGAAGTGCAAATACCAGAAATATATAAATTAAGACGAGCTCTCCTCTCCCCCACTGAAAATAAAGGAAGTCTTACTCAATTCTTGGGGGGAATTGCACCCAACTCACCAATGTTTTGTAGTAGGAAATTCAAAAATTCAGAAAAGACCGTTATAAATCTTAGGTTATTTTTCAAGAGACATAACTAATAAATAGTACCTGGGGAGGCCCCTGGACAGTCAGCACCCCCCAGCTGGTAGCATCCTGGGAGCAAGGTGGCTGTGCCTTTTGAGTTCCTGAGTTGCTGTTACTTTAGCACTTTACACATTGCCCCACCAACCAGCTGAAGTGCAGAAGGAGTGCAAAAAAAGTTACTTTAACCCAGATGTCCATCATAAAACGTACAAAACAGCTTGGAAATAGGTACTGTGTCAAGGAAGCTTTATTATGATAATATTACTAATGGAAAGACAAAAGTTGAACCAAGATATATTGCCTCCACATTCCTGGTAAAGGTTCAAAACATAAGCACAGAGTTACTAATGTGTGAGCTGTCTTTTCCCCAATTCTGTGCTAAGGAAGTGAAATTGCCATCAGTTTTAGTTTTTATAATTTCTGAGCATCCACATGAAATAGCAAGAAAGAAAATACCCTACCCTCCACCTCACTGGCAAGGGTGCCAGCAGTGTCTTTTAGATTCTGTAAGGGACACGGTGACCAGAAAGTCAGGACAAATGGATTCTACCATTAGCCAACCAACAAAATGAATTTTCAGATTGTTCTAGACATGAGAACAAAAGATCAGAGAAGCCACAACAATGAGATACCTGTTACACATGTATTCTTGGATCTCCTTCTTCCACTCTGTGGATGCTCTGAAGGAGGCTTTATTTACATGCACTAGTCGAGAAACAGTTTTTGTTGAAAACAGATAACAGTTACGAGAATCTGGCCAAGCTTAGACTCACAGATTCTGCCCAGCTAAATGGTGGGATGTCTCTTTCTTAGTTTTTAATTGTGGGAAAATACACATGACATAAAACTTGCCATCTTAACCATTTTTAACTGTAGAGTTTAGAATATGGATCTCCTTTAAGGAGGAATTAGGCTACTAACAGAATAAAAAGTTTAATTCTTTCTCTCATAAGTTTAAACTGACTTCTCTAATTCCCAAATAGACACAGGTTTACGGCAAATACAAAAATCTAGGCTTAAGGTGACAAAGCAGAAATAGATTATGCAAAAATTCATGGGAATAATAAAGGTATTCTTGTATGTAGTTGATATCTGATCACCTCCTTCGCCTAAGTGGTGAGCTTTTGACAGTAAGGGCTGTCTCATACTAATTCATATATTTGTAGCACTTAGCACAATGCGTTACTCAAAAGTACTCTAAAACTATTTGTTGCTTGAGTACTATCTATTTTTCAGTAAATAATCTTTTGTCCATTCAGGCAACTGCCCTGAAATTTTGCTGTGTTATGCCTTCATTATAGAAGGGAAAGAGAAGGGTGGTGGACTGGTAGTGCCAGGGCTCTGAGGCTGCAGTGCTTTCTCCAAGGGACCATCACAACACTGCAAAGCCGCTAGAGAAATGACAGCCCAACAGACCTGGTGGACTTTAAACAAGAGCTAAGCTAGTTCAGCTGGCACATATTTTCAAGTGACTCCAAAATAAAATGCGTATTTGCATCAAACAACTGGAATCATTTTAGCTTTGGAGTTATTTAAATTTATCGACAGGGAGAAGAGCTTCTGGCTTTTTCTATGGGTTTGTCCTGTCAAACATTAGTCTGCTCATTTCAAAGAGCAAGACTGATCAATAAGGTGCCCAAAAAGCTGCCTCCAGACAAGGCTGGCAAAGAGAGTGGTACCTCTTGTGGTTTCTGCGTGGAACCCATTGGCATTGCACATTGACATTCTTCAAGAGGCTCTTTCTATGTCCTTTCTGGCCTTTTGAAAAGGTGCCACTGTGTTTTGGGAAAGGGTCCAAAGAGTAGAATAAGATCTAGTATTATGACTGTAACCTTTTTAACAAGGTGAGATTTCATAGAAAAATGTTTATTAAAATATGCCTCTTTATGAATATCGAAGATTAAATGTTCTGTAGTTGGTGAGCTCAAGTGGGCACTCCCAGTCAAATGAATTCTATATTTTCCACCTCAAATCCTTTTGAATAAGACTGGAGTAGACATAAATTACATGTTTCTCTTTGCAAATTGGCCTTCAATATTTCATGTGCCAAGAATATGTTACAAAATTGGGGCAGCATTAATATCTTTTTCCTAATGCTCTCTAAACAGACTTTTTTTGGTATTTCATCTCATCTGCATAAGCCATTTAGTGGCCAGCAAAAACTGTTATGAGGGAGCAAACTAATACATCAGAAGCAAAACCCAAGATATATTTAGTGCTCAGATCTAAGTTATTCACAATTTAGTGTCCTTTCCACTGCAGGGGTCTTCAGACAGTGTTCTAGGAAACATGGTTTAATAATGTCATGTCCTGCCTTCAGGTAAGTTACACTGTTGTTAGTGAACAACGCCTTCCCCTCTTCTCAGCATTCAGCCTGGGGTACACAGAACCTGAATCTTCAAACTCCTACCTTCCCGTCCCCCACTAATCCCCGCAGCTCAGACCAACTATTTGTGTTGTGAAAGGTCTTATTGGCGTTTTTGCTTTAAACCTAACCAAAATGACTACAAAAATTTTGGTGACCATCCAGAAATGTCTTTGGATTGTAGACTTCAGGGATAATGAAAATTATTGATTTACTCAGCAACTTTGTACAGCTGTGTTGAGGGAAAACGAAATTGTGTATGAGAATTTAAATTGGCAAAACAACCTAAATCCTTATAAATTTCATACCACTTATAAATCTGTGAGACTTCTTAGCCTTCTTAGCCTTTTAGTTTAAAGCCAGAACAGAATATGAAGACACTGACCTATGAAAGTCAAGTAAACATGCATCTTTTTATCATCACAGCAAACTGCTTGACATTGTCTGAAATTTTGAGGGGAGGAGGAAAAAGGAAGACAGATTTTTAAATACACAAATTATTACAAACTGGCATCTCAGGCAGTCATTTGGTCTCCATTTGTAAGACCATCCTGGGCCATTTAGACCTGAGAGTGAAGTGATTAATAGCACGGATTGAAAGAAGTTATTTTAAAAAGTGCATTATCACCTTTTATTTTCATGAGGTTTAGGGATCAGGAGGTTACCATGATACTTAGTTTTATTATTTAAATAACCCACTATAAATAAGGATTTGTCATATTTTTCCACTTGAATCATTTTTTTTCTCTGAGGTTTCTTTTTTTAATCATAGTATCTAGGTACTTAGAATCTAAAAATAAGATGTTAAATCTTTTTACTCTTTTGTGCTCTCAGAGGACATTCATAAGCATTTGTTCTTCAGCTGTGTCTGTCTTGGAGAGGAGTCCTGCTTCTGTTCAGCTGTTCTTTTAGCCTGACAGGGAGATAAGCCCAAATGAGATGCATGTAATTGACAATGATACCTACTAATGATATCTCAGAAAAGGGCCCTGCCTTTATTGGGGAAGATTTTCTTGGACTTAAGAAGTTTTAGCTGGGCCAGTTTCTGTGGCCTAAAAGCACCTGCCTCATTCACAGCCCTCGGTGCTTTTGAGAATGAAAAGGGGAGCCTGGACCATTGCAGGGCCTTCTTCATCTCTGATTATTTTGTGTATTTATTGTTCACTTATTTATTGTCTGTCTCCCCTTCTGGTATGCTTGTGTCATGAAACAATGAATTCCCCAGTGCCTGGCCCGATTCGTGGCCTCTAGAGGTGTCCAGAAAAAAAGTTTCGGTGAATAGAATTGACGAATGGGTTCAGAATTGAAACCTGTGAGTCTATGGAAGACAAACGAATCTATACAGAAAAAAATTCAGAAGCTGGACTACTGAATTTTAGTATTCATTTGAGGCATAGAGAATGAAAATGAGCCATTAAAAGACAGAAACACAAGGAAAGAAAAGACCTTTATATTCAAAACAAGTCAAGGATAGTGTTTCAAATACCAAAATCAAATGATTACAGGGCACAGACAAACAAAAATCAATTGTGTTTAATTCCTTTAAAAATGTTTTTGGAAAGAAATAAGAAATATTTAAATTACCTTCAAATTAATAGAAGAACATTAAAAGATTTCTCTTTATGGCTAGTTTTAAAAGAAGGCAAATGGGAGGAAGGGGAAGAATTGGAAGACAAAGCAAAAGAGGGGAATGGGGAGGAAGGATAAAAAAGGATATAAAAGGAAGTAGAGGTGACATTAGACAGGAAGGGAGAGAAAGACGCTCTGAAAACTCAGGCCACTTAGAGGGTTGGGGAGTTCTCCCTGCCCTGTGAAATGCTATTAGTTGAGTCATCACAGTTTAGAGCCCTAGACCTGCCACATGGGAGGGAAAACTGCTTTCAGAGCTGCAGAACTACTGTCTGGAACAATAGCCGATGATATCCATGGAGCAGATGAAATAAAGCCAGAAGTCAGACTTGGCCAAAGGGATAGAGGTTTCACACACTGTTTTATCAGCCACTGGTTCTATGATCTGGAAGCCCTCATGTCATCTGCACAGTGGCGTGGAAAATGGCACCATTCACAGTGAATTGTCTTGTTTTTGTTGGAATGGCTGGTAGCAGTGCCCCTAGACCCTGGGACTGACCTAGGGGCCATCGTGATGGAATTTTGGGACGTGCAAAATTTGCTTGCTGAGACTAATACAGGTTCCAACCTTGGTGGAGGAAGTGATATTTAATATCACATAAAACCAAAATAAATTATTCTCTAGGGAGTTGTCTGGTTGGCATTTCTTTCCTATTTTTCTTCCTTCCCAGGCCAGCTCAATTCTATTAAAAATTCTGTTAGCTAAATGTCAATGGGTTCAGCATGTCTCCTCTCTGTGCCTACACGTTGAAATTTTCCTATAAAATACTATTTTAATGTATTAGAGATAAACAGAATTTTATTAATGTCAGCCCCATAGATCTACACACAACCCAGCACCCTGTCTGGGGTTACATTTACCAGGGCTAGTTTATTATTATTCTCAATTCATGATGACAAAATACTTATTTGGAACACAGAAAAATGAAAGTGGCTTTGCTACTTAAACTAAATTGCTGGAGGATGAAGATTTGCATTGAGTACTCTAGCTGTTAGACTTAATTAGGCTCCACAGTTTTCTAAAAGAATTGAATATAGAGTGTTCTCTCAGTTGTCTAAGAAGAATTAGCCAGCCTTGACTGTGCCAGGTTGGAAAATTTACTGGTTTATGAAGAAAAGGCATTTTACAGAAACCACGCCAAAGGGTTTTAAGCTATGCTGGCACTTTTGTTTTGTTTAAGAATTGGTAGTGTTAATGTTTGCTCTGAGGAACTTCCCTGGGCCATTAGCACCCTGTGGGCTGACATTATCCAAGGGTAGTGTTAAAAGTGAACTCATTTTGCAAAGTTGGAAGGTTTCCGGTAGAAGTATCCTTATCTTTTTTAGCACTCAGCCATTTAAAAGTAACAACCACCATCTATATCCCTCTACCTTATAAACAGCCAACAGCCTAGCCTTAATGAAGGACCTTTAGCTGTATTCAGATATAATCATCTGACACTAAATAAAATTGTGACCCAGGCTCATTAGGAATACCACAGGCCCCTCACAGTGCTGCTGTGGCCACGCTTTGCACTGATTCATGCCTCAGATTGATTTTATTATCCGAGGATATAAGGCTTGGCTTGGATGGAATCAGTGAAAGAGGCAAACACCATGGCTACAGAAAGGGGGTGATCTCCTTTCTCCTCATCATAAGGGATCACAGCTGACACCCTTGTAACAAAAGACAGGTTAACAAGAGAAAAGAATAACAAATGGATTGCATGCACATATGTGCACAGGAATCATACAAAATACGAAAACTCGAAGAAAATGCCAGAGGGTTGATACTTAAATCCCTTAAATGCCCTCTTCATTGGGGAGAGGGAAGGAGGGCAGCGAGGGCTGTAAATGAATGAGGCTGAAGACCAGTCAATGGTTTGTACATGATGCTGTTTGGGAATTGAATGGGACCTGAGAACAGAGGATGGTTTGGGATGATTAGCTAGGCTCTAGGTGTGATGTTTAATTTTCAGTCTCTTCCTCTGTGATATGAGTTTTCATCTTTCCTGGTTAATGAAATTTCAGGGAAGCGATTGAAGGCAATTGTGTCTTTAGGGGTCCAGTTTCTGGGTAGATAAGGAAACTTCAAAGAACTGTGTGATCCTGTGCTTTGGGAGAGACAGAGGATTAGGGGGGTGGCCTCCTTAGTTCAGCATGTTAAAGTGCCATATTTTGGGATATCATTTTCTGAGCTCCAACAACACCAATCTTTTTTTTTTTTTTTGAGACAGTCTTGTTCTGTCACCCAGGCTGGAGTGCAGTGATATGAGCTCGGCTTACTGCAACCTCTGCCCCCCAGGTTCAAGTGATTCTCATGCCTCAGTCTCCCAAGTAGCTGGGACTGCAGGTGCATGCCACTACACCCCGCTAATTTTTGAATTTTTGGTAAAGATGGGATTTCACCATGTTGGCTAGGCTGGTCTCGAACTCCTGACCTCAGGTGATCCCCCTGCCTCGTCCTCCCAAAGTGTTAAGATTACAGGCATGAGCCACTGTGCCTGGCCAACACCACCAATCTTACAAAAAAAAAAAAAAAAAAAAAGGCACTGTACTCCAGAAAGGGGCTTTTGAGAAGAATAACAATGATCCCCCTCAAAAAGGAGACAGGAGTAGAATTTACTGTGGATTTCGGAGTTATTATCCCCAACACTCCAGAGGCTCCTTCTTATCTTGGTCAGACTTCATGAGTTTCAAGATCCTTCTCCAGGAAAATAGAATCAACTCAGAAACTAGGAATGGAGACAAAATCCATTCCTTTGGGTGCCTATCCAGAGATTTTTGAGTTGTCTGTAAATGTGGACCTATTTACTGTGTAATGTCTTTTTCTCTACAAGCAACTATTTAGAAAACATGGCAGTGCTTCCATTGGCAAATGTAAAGCAGATCTTAAATTCTTATCTGGTCCACATCACAGCTGTGGTCTTGCTTTGCACTGATTCCTGTCTCAGGTTGATTTTATTATACTGAGGAGATAAGGCTCGGTGTGGATGGAATCAGTGAAGAAAGCAAACACCATGGAGGCAGAAAGGGGGTAATCTAGTCTATTTCAGTCTATTCCAAGTGCCCTTACACATCTCTCTAAGCCCATAACAGTTGCCTGGTGTCATCAGCTTGCCTTCAGATCCCATCCCCTCCTGTTCAATCTCTAGGTCCTTTTGCAGAACTCAGTGTTTTTGTGAGAGCAAAACTTTCAGAAAGAAGTTATTTAATCTTTGAAAGCTGTTGAAACTGGTTTATCGACTAGTCTGAACCCAGTAGAAGTTCAGTAGTTTTATTTTTCTCCACTCAGTGTATTAACTGCACTGTATTAAATCTCTCTTCTCCATAAGTAACAGGAAGGCTGGGATCTTTGTTTCATTCATTAGTGTCATTGTCACTCAAGTGCCTAAAATGGTGACTGACACATGGTGGATCCTCAAAAAAGATGTATTAAATTGAACATTTTTGGTGGAACCTCACTTGTTTTCATTAATTAAAAAGAAACTCGCCGGGCATGGTGGCTCATGCCTGTAATCCCAGCACTTTGGGAGGCCGAGGCAGGCGGATCACCTGAGGTCGGGAGTTTGAGACCAGCCTAACTAACGTGTAGAAACCCCATCTCTACTAAAATACAAAAAATTAGCCAGGCATGGTAGTGCATGTCTGTAATCCCAGCTATTCGGGAGGCTGAGGCAAGGGAATTGCTTGGACCCAGGAGGCAGTGGTTACAGTGAGCCGAGATTGCACCGTTGCACTCCAGCCTGGGCAACAAGAGCGAAACTCCGTCTCAAAAAAATAATAATAATAAAAAGGAACTCAGGGTTGTCTAGTTTAAAGCACCATTCTCATATTCTTTGTAAATCTCATCTTTTCCATTCCCTCCAGCACCTGCCTTCTTTAGTTTTAAAAGGACTTGGATGGACCTGGAGGTCATTCTGTTAAGTGAAGTAAGTCAGGGACAGAAAGACAAATATTGTATGTTCTCACTCATATGTGGGAGCTAAAAAATGTTGATCTCAAGGAGGTAGAGAGTAGAATGATGGTTACCAGAGGCAGGGAAGGGTGTGTGTAGGTGGAGGAAGGAAGAGGGGAAGAATAGGTTGGTTAATGGATACAAACATACAGTTAGGTAGAAGCAATAAATGTTAGTTTTGGGTAGCACAGTAGGGTGATGACAGTTAGCAACAATATATATTTCAAAATAGTTAGAAGATTTGAAATATTCCCAACACAAAGAAATGATAAACGTTCCTGGCGATGGATAATCTAAACACCCTGGTTTGATCATTACATATTGTATGTATGCATCAAAATATCACATGTACCCCATACATATGTACAAATATTAATGTATCAATTTCAAAATAAAAATAAAAGACTTGGATTGGGGAGGGGGTGCTTACTCTTTCCATCTTCCTCCCCTTCCCTTGCCTTGGAAAAGGGTAAAGGAATTTGATTTAGTTCTGGGACACTCTTACTCTGTTCTTCTTCTCATTCTCCTTCCCTTCCTGTATTTTAGGGTGGGGCGGAGATAGTGTCTCTCACACCACTGACCATGGCTGCCATCCTCTCTCTGGAGATGTGCCTGCTTCTGTGGTACCCCTGACTGGTGGTGGGTGCCTGCCAGGTGGGAGACATCCAAATACTGGCCTTTTCATGGTACTCAAGGGAGGTCTCCTTAGAGCCCCTTCAGGGGACTCCCTGTCCTGTGTTTCCTGGCTGTAGGAGATACAATGTCAACCCGGCTTTATCAAGCCACCCCTCAGCTCCGCTCCTGGTGGTACAGCCCACAGCCTTTCCTTCCTGAGCTCCCTTGACATGCAGGCTGCCCCCTTGAGTAGGACCCTGGCAAAGGGATGTAGACCCACTGGTGCTTGGGAAGCTCGCTCATCCTAGCCTTTGCTAGATGGTTCCTGACCCCTCTTGCCCTACCATTTCTCTCCAATTCACTTTTTGCCTGCTCAGGGTGGTTGGGGGACTCAGGGCTGATCAGCAAAGCGGCTGACCCTGCAGTCATCCAGCTGGGAAGCAGGATGCCAGGTTCTCCTTCAAGCTGGCTCCTCCAAAGTAATTCTCTTAGATAGTCACCTTTCTCTTGCTTTAGTTGAAAGAAAGGATAACAATGCTAGGGAAAGAAGAAGGGAAAGCTGTAGCTACTCTCACTAGGCAGAAGACCCGGAGCTAATTCCACCTGCTGTCTTCTTTGTCTTCTCTAGACTGAGAAGGAGGAAGGAGGGGCAAGTGGGGAGTGTGGTGTCGCAGGACTATTCTACCATCTCCCTAAGCTTTTCCGGAGGTGTCTTTTCTCAATCATTAGTACTCTGTAGACTGCAGTGCACTTGCCCATCTCTTTGACCTTAGCTTTGCTTCCTTGGTCACCAACATAGGGCAACAGAACAAGTCCTACTCAGGACTCTGCTGCACAGCTAAAGAAACAGATCTCCACCTCTCTTTTCTGACACTTTTAAATCCAGCCAAGCAGGGGCTGACAGCGCCATAGCTAAGTCCCTCTCTGTACAGTAGAGTGGCTGCTGTGTGTTTACAGTCACAAGATATTTCTGAATTCTTTGCTTTTAGTCTTGCGGTTCATTACATATGGGAAACTGAGGTGTATTTCATTCTTTGGCATAGCTCCTGATGATAACTATTTATTTTGGAAGGGCTTTCCTTGGATTATAACTTATCAAAAGATACCAGAGCAATAAGGTATAATACGTCAAGGAAAAAAGAATTCCCATTTTTCCTGTGTGTGTTCATTGGGCTCTCACTACAGCATTCAAGTCAGTATAAGACACGTTTACTGACAGCTGGATTACTCCGGGTCTGGCAAAAGAGCTTGAATCGACACTTCTGCTAAATTTCTCAGCAGTACATTGAATGTATATTTAACGTGTGTCATAAAGATGTGTGCAGATTGCTTGAGGCCGTCCGTCATTAAAGGCCTGAATGTATACCATTAGCCATCACACTGGTGGTACCTCCAATATAATTGAAAAAGGTTTAGCAATATATGAGCATATGTAATGTTTGTCATTTCTATTAGTACTCTAATTAAATCAGCCTTCTAATCAGACAACTTATAAAATCGTAAGTAATATGATTAGAGCAATATAGGATGCCACCCTCGTATTCTGAAGCACAGTTGGGTAGTAACTTTTTGATATTGTTTTGATGAATGGATGGCTTTGCTCAGTAAGCAGGTAGTCCAGTGTTGAGATTCTGACAAAGCTGGCTTTCTCTGAGTCCTCTAAAGATTCCAGGCAAGGCGGTTTCCACTGTTACACCTATTAAGGAATGGACCACGTTTCCTCTGTAATGATTGCAGCAGTATCTTAGAAATTCTAAACCCTAACACCATTTCCTCCAGAAAAATACCAGCATATTTCATTTATAAGAAAAATGGTTGTAGATAAATCAATAGAAATCTCAATTATATTTATTAATGAACAGGATTAAGTTGGATTAACATTTATCGCCCTTACGTTTTGATTATATCAAAACTGCAGCAGAGATTGCAGCTTGGGTTGATCCAAGAGTGGCCCTTTACACGCTATTGGCTTTCAGCAGACAAAATTGTTCAGCAGCAGTGGCTTATACTACATTAGTCTAGAAACCACTGTTTGAGTCAGCCAAAGGTGGGCGGTCTGCTCAGAGCCCGCTGGGCAGAGTGCAGGATGCCAGGTCACCAGGTTGGACGTGAGGGCAGACTTTCAAAGGCTCCAGGCCACCCTTTGGAATTAAAATATTGATTAAGTTCATCATCTGTGGAATCTGTGCAGCTGGCTTTTGTCCCACATTGCAAAGTGTGATCCTAAATCTTTGAGTCTTTCCTTTCCTACCCTTAACAACAATAACAACAAAAAATAATAATAAAACCTGGCTGGGTGTGGTGGCTCACACCTGTAATCCTAGCACTTTGGGAGACTAAGTTGGGCAGATCACTTAAGGTCAGGAGTTCAAGACCAGCCTGGCCAACACGCTGAAACTCCATCTCTACCAAAAAATACAAAAATTAGCCAGGTGTGGTGGTGCATGCCTGTAGTCCCAGCTGCTTGAGAGGCTGAGGTGGGAGAATCTCATGAGCCTGGGAGGCAGAGATTGCAGGGAGCCAAGATCATACCACTGCACTTCAGCTGGGTGACAGAGTGATACCCTTTCTCAAAAAAAAAAAAAAATAGTAAGAATAAAACCCTCCCCTACCCTTAACAACAACAAATAATAATAATAATATACAGTAATATAATAAAAACAGTAAATAGCTGCCATTTATTCAGTGCCTCCCATGTGGCAGGCCCTGTGCTGTGTGCTTTCCAGTATCAGCTCTGGTCTCTGTGCCACTCAGAGAGGATTGGGCTCAGTGAGTGTTTACAGCTTGCTCAAGGTCATACAACTCATCCAATGGTAAAGTCAGGACTTGAACCCAAGGTACAGAGTTCTCCACGTTGCCTCCATCCCAGGGTGGGCCTACCCCATGTGCTCATGAAACAGACTCAGATGTGTTTATAGCCACAGTTTCCGATGCTTATCACCCTGCTCTTTTATTGCTTAGTCTTTAAGCAACACAAAAAGATCTATTATATCATTACAGTTCATTTTTCTCATAATTGTATTCTCAGCGGATGCAATTGACAAATTATCGAGTTTCTCTTGTCTCCCTGACATTCTTACTTAGTTTTGAAATTCTTTTACATGAACGGTTCTCATAAAAAGAAACATTGTTACTTTTCAATAGGAATCCACTCAAGTCCCCAACGCCCACTGCAAACACAATGCAAATTTGCCCACAACACAGACAGAGAATAAGCAAATTCACAGCAGAAAAACTCATCCACTTTACAGGCCAGACTTAGGTAGAACTGCCATAGTGCCCATTTATCCCAGGATATCCACCACACCTCCTAACAGTGTGCAATTTCAGACCAGCCAGACAGACCTTGGTGCAAGGGACATGTCCAGGTTTAAACTTTCTCTAGAGGATAAATCCTCCCTCCTGTTTGTTTTCTGTGCCTCTTTCCTGCCTACCACAGTGGCAGCCTATATTCCAACATGGAACTCAGAGAAGATAGTGATGTTTGCTGATTGTCTGAACAACACATTGTCCCTGTTCTACTACCTCTTATGTATTAGAATTGTGATTCCCAAGCTTGATCCTGTAACAGACTCATTTGGGAGCTTGTTAAATACACATTCCAGGGCTCTACCCCAGAATCTCCAGGAGTGGGGTTTAGAAAGCATTTTTACAAAAGCTCTCCAGGTAATTCTTTTGGACAGACACTGCCGTAGAATAATAAATGGAATTTAAAATAAACAAGAGCTTATCAGAGCTCTGCAAAACCTCCGTGTCCACTCCTGCCTGCCATAGGGAGCTAGAAGACTGTGTACAGAAAACTGTTTCAGGAGTTACCAGTGCTTTTGTCTCTTTTCTTCCGGAAGCCATTTAAAATAAAGCTTGCATCGTACTATTACTGGTCTAATTGCTCCTGTAAAAAGAAAGGAATGAAGATTATAATGGAAGTATAAATGCAACACCTTTTAAGGCAGGAACTATCTTTTAGGGATAGTATTTTTAAACCCCCATTGCTTTTAGCAAAATTGGTGATGGTTAAGTAGTGGTGAGAGGATAGAAATTTTTAAAAATTGATATTAAGAGTTGCAAGGCATTGAAAATTGGTAATTCAATCTCCACTAAAAGAAAAAGGAATTATAACAATAAAAAGCTTAAGTGATTAGTGCCCAGTAACAAAAATCAGACAGCTGCTCAGCAGCGTCCCTTCCTACAAGAGACAGAAATAGTCCGGTGGTTCTCAATTGAAAGATGGGCTGCCTTTCAGCAGGTGGGTTGTATGTTGGGTATGTGGAACTCAGAACATATTTGCCCTTAGATACAAAGTAGCCTCACTGTGCTGGGTACCTGTCCCACAAAGGACTGGGCACAGGAGATTTTGGGAGGGCGGCTGCTTATCACATGGGGCGTGGCTGAGTAATCATTTTGACCAAATACTCCCTGTGGCATGCTCACCAGACTGCTGGGGCCGACAGTGTGGTCCCTCTGTCTATAGTCTTGGCCTGGTCTTATATTTTTCCTTGGCTGGTGTCTGTTTTATTACTTAATCCGTGCACCATTCACCCCAATCACTTTTGGCAACCACACTTTCTTTCCAACAGCATCTAATACGCTCAGCATCGCCCATTTGCTCAGTAGCTCTTCACTGCTCGGGCCTTGCGTGCATCACAGAACGGTTTGGGAGCAGGCAGACCTAGCTTTGCATCTCAGATGTGTCACTTATTAGCTCCATGAGCTTGGGTATGCAACCTCACATCTCCAGGCCTCTGTTCTTATGTGAAAGGGGAATAAAAGTACTCTGTGACTTATTAATCAGTGCACTCAGGTATTAGAAAGTGTCCTGCACATACACTTCTTCTCCAGGAGCTTTGGATACAAGAGTCTGTGGTAAATGGTTCCTCCCCTCCATGTTCACAGTCTAGTGAATGAATGAGACATTTGTTTAAGAAGAAAAGTCACGATAAGGGGTATATACTCCATGGTGACAATGGTGACAACGAACTCTGCTTTTATCCCTTCCCACAGCAGCGTCCTTTCCCTCTGCCCCCTTCATAGGCATGCCCCCTCCTTTAGTCCTCTTTATTCTTGGGATGACTTACTCACATCTCTGTGCTTGGCTTAGAAGTTGAAAAATAGGCCTCGTATTTCTCATTTTATTGGAGACTCTTTTTAGCAGGGTCAACTTGGATTCCAAAGAGGAAGGAATGAGTGGAGAGATAGGGAGGAGAAGCTGCCAAGTGGGCATGGGCGTGGGGGTACAGGCCGTGTTTGTCACTGGGGACAGCTGGAATTATTGACATTCATGACCTGCAATTGGAGAGTAACTAAAATACTTCAAGTTGTGAGGGTGTGTGTGTGTGTGTGTGTGTGTGTGTGTGTGTGTGTGTGTGCATGCGTGCAGGCACACATGATATATTAAAAATTAATCCTTGGGGGAGATTATATAGAGCAAAAAACGAGAGCAGAAACATTAAACCCATCTTTATTTTTTCTGGGAGCTGTACAGTTTAAGGGAGGCTTTTTGCCTTCTCATTGGACAAAACCTGATAGGTGAAGTCTGGGAAGAGCCACCAGAATAACAGCTTTCTCCTTTCACTTCTGGATTGGAGAAGTGTAGGGCCAAGTCTCCTTTGAATTTCACATGGGGCCTCTCATTTCCCTAAGAGGACCCTTTGGGTCTGACAAATGAAGATATTTTCAATAAAAATCTCTCATTAGCTTGGTATCTTAGGGCCAAGTTTTGCTTTTGAAGATTAAACTGTTGTCCTGGCAGATTGGTTTCTACATAATTTTCTGTGCATGCGGAGCTGGAGCTGTACGTCTCCACTGGCTACATCTTCACTATAATGAGATTCTTTTTGGGTGTGTTTCCTAGGGACTCTATAGACAAGGACCTGTATTTTTTTTATGCCAGTAACAGTGACTAAGACATATGAGCATCCATCATTTGCTCTCTAAAATGGCTGCTCAGTCACAGCTGTGAGATGAACACAGGGATGAACTTGGTCAGGAAGACTAAATCCTGTTCATTTCATCCACTGATTAAATATGGCGTTATTCTGGAAAAACTCCTTAGAACTGATCTTTCTCTACTCATGCCATAGGAGCCCAAAAATGTCAAATGAATACACTGGCACCAAGATTCCTAGGAGAGAGGCAGGAATGTGGATTTCAAGATTTCTTATGAGACTGCGCAGCATTGTGAACATCCTGAATAAAGAAGATATGTGTTCAGTGACAAGGGTGAACAGCCTCAATTCATCCTGCCCTTGAGGTTCTTTTCAGCCCATTGCTAGTTAAGTAAATAGGCCAGCAATTTAGCATAATGCTCTGGTAGCTTCAGGTTTTGCTGTGTTAGACACTCATTTCATGTAGGACACACAGGCTTGCCCTTTTTAATGTTATTATCACGTTTTTTAACAGCACTAACAGCACTTATGGCCCTCTGGATGTACACGTGGGTGTCTAAGGGCCCCCTTTTTGGTGATACCATTAATTCAAATAAGAAGATGGCCACATAGAAGACAGGCTTTGCCCACTACATCTTCCAAATGTCAGTGTCTTGTGTTTGACAGTAGAGATCCTTATAAATTTGAAGCCTCGTTCAGTATTCACATTGGCGAGCAGGCTCTAGCTATTGTTGGCAGAGTGTCTGCAAACAATATTTTTAGGAGCATTGGAATTAACTTTTTTAAAAATTAATTTCTGGTTTTAGAAGCTTGTCATGGTTTTCCTTTGCTTGACAGATATTTATTGTGCATCTTCTATGTGCCTAGCACTGTGCAAGACACTGGGGCACAACACTGAACAAAACAGAGAAAATCCCTGCCTTCATTAAGCTTATTAAATACATTCAATGAGTCAATTAAACAGTATGCCACAAAGTGATGTATATTAATAGGGAAACAAATCAAACAACTAGGGCAACTAGGATTGGGAGTGCCAAGGAACAGTGGTGTTGGCAAATTAGGTGAGTTTGAAAAGAAATTTGGATACAAATAATAGGCTGAATTCTGCCCAATGACTGGGCTGTAGATACCTTTGTGACATCATTTGTACCATTGTCTTGTTATTTTATTTGATCTTTCATGCTATGTCCTGCTTCTGTTAGTAGTTTGTAAGCAACTTGAAGACAGGAATGATAAATCATAAGTCCTGGCTTCCCCTAGTAGTACACATTGCAACTGCTCCCCACCTGTGGATTGGATTAAATGCATTTATACCTCCCCATCAGCAAAAGATAAGTGTGACCTTGTGCGTGGCTATTTCCTAAACCTGTATCAAGTGTGTGATGGGGGTGTGTGTGATATTTAGGATATTCTTCCTAAGGTAGAATGGTGGTATTGTTGCAGTCCTTCGTCGAATTGTTCATAGTAACTCTCTCCTTGCAGCACTGGTTGGACTATGAGGAAAACTACTAGAGACCTTTTCTTTTCTATTCCTCCTCTGGAAAAATTTGCTTCCTTAGCCTAAAAGTCACAGGACAGACGGTTAGTAACGGCTTGACCTAAACCAACTGGGAACAGTTGCCTCCGTATTCATATTTAGCTCTGAAGAGCTTCAGACCTTGTGGTCTGATCCAAGATATTCCAGCTGCTGTCAGGAAATTCTTTTTTATGTTCTTTCTAAATTTAATTGAAGTCTATTTGTCTTTTTTCGAGGTAGGCTGTGGAAGAGGCAAACTAGTTGATGTGATTAGCAGTGAGCCCTGTCATGGCCTGTCAGGAGCCTTTCTCTTGATGCTTTCCACCCTCTGGGCTGTGTGAGGGATGACACAAAACCACCTGTCCCACCCCAAAAGATAGTCTGCTGTGCCTCCTCACTGGGCTTCCAGGACATTTTCTCCAAGCCCATTTTACTCAGGGATTCATTGATTGTAAGGAACAACACACATGCAGAAGAGCTTAAAAGAGAAAGAGGGATGTGTTGGAAGCACACAGATGTATCTAATGGAAGCTAAACCTGGCAGTGCGCCACCCTTGCAAGGGGTATGTAAGTGAAGTCATCATAACAGATGAAGCCTCAGACCTCAGTGGCTCAGGACAGCAGGGGTTGATGTCTCGTGCTCAGAAACTCCCACAGCTGGGTGAGGCAGGCTGTGCTCCACACAGTCATTCAGGGGTCCAGGATGTCAAATCTCTGCTGTCTTCCCCCAGACGTCCCCAGCCAGGCAGCTGATAGGAGAGATGAGTGGAAGATCGAGCAGGTGGTTTTAGGGGCCAGTCACAAAAGTGGCATAAATGATTTCCACCCATAATCCCCTGGCCAGAACCCAGCCACGTGGTTATGGCTTACTGGTCGGGAGATGAGGAAATGAAGTCTAGCTGTATGCCCATTGGTAAAGGGAAGTAGGTTTGGAGGACAGTTAGCCATCTCTGCCATAACCAGGAACTTGAAGTCCGTCTGGAGCTAGGTGAGCCACTTCCTTTGCCCTGCCAGAAAACTGTGTGTCTTCTGTGCTTGTTTCTGTTCAGATGAGGAGAGGGACAGAGATGGTTTTTAGTGAGTAAAGAAACGCACATCCTCTCCCTCCTCCATGACTTTGCAGTCCTCTGTGTGGACACTGTTTTAGCTTGCTGGAACACCATGCTGGGCTTCGGTAAGGCCCTTCATCGCCCCTTGCTCTTGGCCAGGGGTCAAAGGTCAGCTGAGTTGTTAGCATATTCTGTGCAGGCTCATCTCAGACAGCTAACAACAGGCACTGAAATAATGTCTGTAAAATATGTGAGCAAAGACAGTTCTCCCAGGAGACTCTGACCTAAATTTTGAGCCAGGCTCTGCAAATTTGCCTCTTTAACTAGGAAAAGATGAAACAAAGGACAGGTTCCTTCAATTCACATCTGTTCAGTCCTGCCTCAGCTCTAGATAATGTGTGTTCCTTAATGCCCCCAAGGGAGAGGGGGCTTTACCTTCTCTCCTTTCGGGGTTTCTACACTGTATCTTCTCCCCAGTATAGCAGTCAACACAACTCCCAGCTCCTAGGCTCAGCCGCACAGCTTTAAGGGGGTTCAGATGAGTTTGGGATCAGGCATATATTAGGAAGCATGTGTGTGTGTGTGTGTGTGTGTGTGTGTGTGTGTGTGTGTGTGTGTCAGAGCGGGGGTGGGGGAGCTGGAGAGAGAGAGAGAGCGTGTTTAGGAACCGCTGGGGAACACTGCAGTTCCCCAGTGAACACTGTCCATTTCCCCTGTTTAGTGTTTGAGGCAGCAAAGCTATTACAGGAATAGGAAGGACAGTTGGCCTGACCCACCCCATAGAGGTCTGTCCTACCCCTATTGAGACTGGAGAATTGTCACCACCTTCCCACACCAGAGGCCTCTTCCACAGGGCCATGTATACTGTCTGTTTTATAAGCCACATCTCAGAAATGTTAGGGAGTATGGAAATGTTGGGGCCAGTGCCATGGTTGTATGTTGAGGGAGTGAAACTCTCTTCTCAGGTTCAGGAGAAGGTATTACAAGAAGAGGAACCCATACCCAGACAGCCCTGCTGTTGTCCTGCATTGTTGAGGGAGGAATTATGTCCTATGTGTTTGTAGTAACAGAATCCACAGCTAAGAAAAGACAAGCTCAGGAGGGAAGTCCTTGGGTAGATGCTAAAGAGCCTTCTCTTTGTTCTTTGTGCCAGAAGCTATAGGTTTCTAATTATGATGGCAGGAGAAGTGTCCTTATGAAGTGTGTCGCTGTGTATAAAAATATCTCTATGTTTTGTTATTGCTGTGTTCTTTGTGTGATAGATGTTATTAGGAGCACACTCTGTCCTTTCCAAGGACGTAATCTGACTGTTTTCTGTTTCCTCTTCTTTTTTGCTTTGCTTTCCAACCTGATGATGTGCTGCTGTGTTCTGTTGCAATGAAATTCCTTCATCTGTTTCACATCGCAACAAAAAGGTAAGGAACTGCAAACCGTATTAACATGCTGAAACAGCACCAACTTATATAACATGCAAAAGGAGATGCATTTTAATCACTGGGAATTTTTTTACTTTAAGAGAAAAAGTGATGGATTGTGAGGACCTCAATTCTCGTATTGGTGTTTGGCTGATGGATTTCACATCTCCTGGGGCCTGGTGTTGAATAAGACTCAGGTTTATGTGTGTGATGGGGGAGGAAGTCAGGGGGGAATCTTTGTGTTTATGAGTTTTTGTCAGCAGCTCACAAACTTGGAGAAACATTCACAGACATTTCACAGTTAAGCTGTGTAAAGACAAAAATATTAAATAAAAAGGTGAGAGGGATGTTAATATTGCTTTGGCTCCAGACTTTGAAGCAAAAGTAATTCAACTAATAATGAGTTCATTAAATATGTGTCATGATAGGGGAGAGGCCATTTAGGTTCTTTGCCAAATGAGAAAATTTGTAATTTTGTATCTGCTAATCACATCCACCTACCATATATTCTTTTTTCTCTCTTTGCCTATTTTCGGTGGCAAAAAAAAAACATATAAAATTGACCATGTTAATCATTTTTAAGTATACCCTTCAGTAGCGTTAAGTATTTTAACAATGTTGTGAAATAGATCTCCAGAAGTTTTTCATCTTGTAAAACTGCAAGTCTATACCCATTAAAGAACTTTCCTTTTCCTTTCCACCTCAGGCCCTGGCAAACACTCTTCTACTTTCTGTTTGTAAGAATTAAACTACTTTACATACTTCGCGTAGGTGGACTCACATAGTATTTGTCTTTTTATGACTGCATTATTTTACGTAGCATAATAGCCTCATGGCTCATCCATATTTTCGCATGTAACCGGATTTTTTTTCGTTTTTTAAGTCTGAATAATATTTCATTGTAGATATAGACCACATTTTGTTTATCCATTCACCCACTGATGGACATCTGGGCTGCTTTCACTTCTTTGCTACTGGGTCGCCGTGAACATGTGTACAACTTTCCCACTGTATCTTTTGATTGGATGAATGGATGGATGTGTATATCCATTCCAAAAGTCAATTTTCACTGTCTCTTGTATTATTAAATTTTCAACACAGCCAAGCCAAGCATTAGTGGCTCCTTAAGGCTGAACACTCATCTTGAGGCTTAGTGGCTGTCAGGTTCCTATTCCCTGTCCTATAACCCAGCATCCTTTCTCTTCCCTACTTCTCTTTCCTACAAATTCAGGGCAGAAGGCTGTGGAAGCACATGTTCCCCCTGCAGTCCCCATCACCCTCACACTGGAATGATTGTCCTTTGTGGCACACGTTGTTGCAAGTATTTTCGTAATGTGTATCATTTCATGTAAATGATGTGAGCTCAAGATTAGTCATGAATTCAAATCGTGTTGCTTTGTTGCTTGGAAGAAGCTCATTTTATTGCAGTAATCCATACCAAGAAGAAGAAAGCACCCTATGATCCTGAGTAGCAGACGGTTCCTGTTTTTCCTCCCACTCATCACTGGGGCACACTGGATCAGGCAAGGGAGAACAGTACCTGAGCTACAGGGCTATGGGAACAAGACCTTACCCGTCATTGAGTTGAGGTTCTGATGGTGAAAAAGGGCTGTTTTCCCAAAGTTCTCTTGGGTGCTGCTAACTGTGTGAGAATAGTGGAAAGGGTGGGAGCTAAGGAGGTGAGTGGGTAGGGAGATTTTGGTAACGCTGGAGCTTGTGGCAACCCATGTGCCTTCACTGCAGTCCCAGATTTTCTCTGGGAACAGCTTCTATAGGCAGAGTTGGGGTTCACCTTCAGATAGCCAAGTTAAGAAAAAAGTAACAACCATTCTCTGATGTTTTTTTAAATGTCATCTGTAAAAAAGCATCAAGAATGTGCTTCTTAAGTGGTAATATTAGCAGATTTGAGAGTATGTCCTAGACTGGGGACTTGACACAGAAAACAGACTTGGGCAACAGGGTCTGCAGAGATTGAGCATGGGAAGTGCGATGTGTTGAGCCCTTGTGAGGCTCCAGAGCAAGATAAAGATGCGCCCACTGTTCAGCTTCTTAAAATACGCCAGCTGGGTGGTGTATTCCCTGGGTAGGCAGGGAATTTGCTCCTTAGATAGGCCCCCTGATTCAGGATGTTTAGTGTTAGTGGCAGTTTAAGCCTTCGAGAGCTGTTTGGGAGCTATTTTGCTTACCAGTGCTTTTGTGTACATTCCTCTGTGTTCTGCGTGGGAAATCAAGGACGTGCTGGACTATGCAACTGCCAGAGCCACCTGCAATGCCATGGAGGCAAGGTGATTTAACACCCAGAGTTCCACTTACCGATTAGACTGTTTGCTGAGAAAGCGAGGGCCAGCTATTTCTTGAAGATCAGTAATGGGGAGATTGGATAACAGGTTTTCTGGCATGTTATATGGGTCTAGGGAGTACCTCTTTTTGTATGTGCCCCAAAATTAGTATCATTGATAAAATGCAAGGAATCTCCCTTGTGGTTTCATTTACTTTTACATTAATTTGCAGGCACAGGTGGACACTGGACACTTAACTTGCTCAGGATTTTTATTTTAGTGCACTTTAAATTGAAATTAAAAAGTAATACTGGGCGTGGTGACATGTGCCTGCAGTCCCAGCTACTTGGGAGGCTGAGGAGACAGGTTCGCCTGAGCCCAGGAGTTCAAGGCCAGCCTGGGCAACAAAACGAGATCCTGTCTGTAATTTTTAAAAAGTAATACATAGCATGAGTGGCAAGAATGGGACTGCTGAGAAAGGAGACAGTTTGAGACATGGTAGTCTTCGGAAGTCCATCACTGCAAAACATGCAAGTAGAAAGAAATACACAGCTGCCTTGGGTTTTGGCTAGAGATGTTATTCATATTGGGAATTATAAATGAGTTATGGGAGGGGAAAAGGAACAGGTGTGTTGGGCTGTGGGGTGGGCGAGAGGCAGTGAAGGGACCCTGGCTGGGTCCACACTCTCCAGAGGGCTCTCCTTCGCATGGTGCAGGAGCAAGGCCCCCCAGTGAGACAGGGCTGGGAACTAAGGAGAACTTAAGCAGACTGGGAAACAGAATAGTTCCTGTGGGGTCTGGGTCAGGAAGACGAGGAGGCATGCGTGAAGCGTGTCTGAGCACCATCCATGCTTCTCAAAGTTGGTGGTGTTTGAATCAGTAATAAGGCAGCTTCACAAAGATTTGTCTTCTCTCCGTCTCAGTGATCTGTGACCCAGGCAGAGGAATGGATAGAGTGGATGGTGGGAATGGTCTGAGGCCAGGAATTGGCTTGAGGGGTTTAGGAAAATGCTAGCAGTGCAGGAGGCTGGGCTGTGGAGAGGGTGGCTTCCAATTCCTTAATCCTGAGCCTTGGAATGGAAAGGGAAGGCCGGCAATAGACAACAGAGGGATAAATGGTCCCAGTGCAAGAGGAGGAGCTGAATGGAGTGGAATGGCGCTGTGGGCGTGGTCAGACTGGGGACATGGAGAGAGGATGTGTCCAGGGGAAGGCCAAGGCTGACACTGACCAAACAGAGGGCAGCTCTTGCCTCTTCTGAGGAAGGTGGGAACGTGGACAGTATGCTTAGAGAGAGTCACGTTTCAATTAAATCCAAGAAGGGAAGGAAAGATTGAAAAATAGGTATGGGATACAGAGTAGCTTAAAGTAGTCCTAAAGCAGGGCATAGCAGGTAGAGGTTGTAGAAGGGAATAAATCTTTCCTTTAAAAGGAGGTGGGAGCAGGCAGTGGCCATGGTTTCTTTCCCCTTCAAGACCAGCAAATAAAAGAACATGAGTAAAATATAGAAATCGCTTAAATAACATGAATATTTTATGTTCTCCATGTTATCTGGAAACCCAGCTGTTTGCTGACCATTAAAAGAAGACAGTTATAGACCTGGTAGTAAGTTATTTAAAAGGAGAACTCAGAAAATGTATTTGTTGAAAGATGTTTCTTGACTTGAATTCTCCATTATGCTTTTGGCCTTTGCAGAAAGAAGGAAATCACATTATGTACAAACGTTGTTAATTACTCATTAATCTGACATTTTGATGGCATTAAGCAACAAATATTAATTTGCGACTCAACATTGTGATTGTATCTAAAATGTAAGACATCTCCAAAAATATGAAACCTACATGTCAAAATTACTTTCTTCAAAGACTGATTTTGGCAAAACTCATTATTAGAGCCTTCTGTACTTTAAAAGTTTTAAATGACACACTGCAATTTACAGAATTCATTATGGTGCACAACTAATTAGAACTTTAAAGGAAATCACAGTAGGGAATTAGACATTTTAAAGAGCATTTTCTTGAGCTGAAGTGTTCTTCAGGATAAAGGTTGTTTTGCAGTAAACGAGACACTTGGATTTTACATACATATATAGACACACACTCTGAAGGGTAGCATGTTTGACCAGTCGTGTTCGGAAATCATTCTTGTTCTCTGTTTAGACAAAAGGAAAAAGCAACAAAGGCGACAAGGGAGGGGCAAGACAGAAATGCAAATTAGATGTCCGTAGCATACTTGGGAGCCAAACAAAAAATGCAGACATATCTAATTAGTTTCCAAAGCCAGCTTTACCCTAGGGAAAAAAAAAAATTCTCATCTAAGAAAACAGCAGTGCGGGCCGTGAGTCCCAGGTGTATGGGTGATTACAGCAGAGAGCAGAGAAAGCCACTGTTGTTAGGCTCAGCTGCCTCTGTGCTACACAAATGTGCTTACAGAAAGAATATAAAATCGACCATGGATAACTCCCTCCCTTTCCCCAAATTGATTAATTTCTCGACGTGCTGGCAGGTTTTTCCATGGATGGGGATCGAGTTTGAGAGATGAATGTGTAAATCAACAGCAGGTGGGAAGTTGAATTTGTCTGGCCCAGCTGCTGTTCCCCGCATTTCCTATTCTTTCTGGTTATCTCAGTCCAGCATCTGTCATGGAGCAAGACTCATGGGCTTCTGTCATCTCAGGCCTGGGGAGCCACAGTGTTGCCTGTGTCTTCCAACAGCTCAGTGCTTTCAAATAGCAAACGGCAAGAATGACGGCCCCGTCACTATTAGCAGGAACTGCCAGAGAATTGAGGAGGGTATTTTTTATATCATGTGTTGAGATTTCTCTTGATTCTTGATGTGGACACATGCTTTCCACTTCACCTTGCATTTGGATACTTGCATGATCTGGGCTCTTTTTACAATACTTCCTTTCCCAAATTTATTGCATAATAACACTCATATTTGAATGTGATTTTCTTTGTATTTTAATCTTGCTGATTGTACAACGGTGATAAAAAATGACCTGCTTTCTTGCCCCTTAGATTAAGTTTTGAAGGAACAATGTATTTTCCACACACTTTGGAAATCTCTGTGGAATTTAATCATCCAGCCGAAACACAATTTCAGCATTTCTTAACATCATACAGTTTTAGTGTTGGGCGTAACCTTCAGAGGTCAACTTCTCTACTCTTCCAATGTAGGAATCCTTCTGCCCGACTCATCACAGATGGCCCTCCAGTCTCTGCCTAGCATAGGTCGATGAGGTTGATTCTGATATGGAGGCAAATTGCCAATGCCTATCTTTGACAGCACTTCACCATTGGGGAATTATCCTAGTAATATTTAGCTTACCTTTCTTAGACAATAGGGTTGCTGTTTCTCCAAGGCTTTCTTTGAAAGAGCAAACAGACTGCCTTGCTTGCTTGCAATGTTGCTTGGATAGATCTTATCTTCTAAATAAAATTACAGTTACTAATGTCATTTAGAAATATTCTACAGAAAGTATTGACTGATTATTACTGGCAGAAAGAAAGTCAGATCTTTGATATTTATTATAAAAGAGATGGGTGACATTGTCTTAAGTTTAGCTACAGCACAAAATATTACATTCAGTGCTACAGCAGGATGTGATCACTCAACTATTTAGCTTATGTATATCGTTTATTTTTATTATTTGGGCATTGATTTTCTCTACCATTTGTTTCCACATGAAGTCTTTTTTTTTTAACAAAATCTAATTTCTCATAACAAGCAGAAATGCTTTTAAGGAATTATTCTTTTTCGTCCTGTCAAGTTGCAGGAAACATCAAATATTGACTGTAAACTGTTATCAATTTCATATGTGACAAGGTCTGCCATCTCTTCATGTACACATATTTTCACGGCCCTTAATTACTTTTTTATTCTTTAAACCTTAGCTAAAGTATTTGGTATACTACATTTGTTTTTATATAGTTATTTGTAATCTTTTGGGTAGAGAAAATAAAACCAAGTATTATTATCTACAGCTTTCCAACAGAATTGGCTTCAAAAATCTTTCTGTACATTTTCAGCAAAAAAAAAAGTCATCAGAAAGGAGAAAAAAGATTTAAAAGAAAATCCCAAATTATTTGGAAAATTGATAGAAATAGACTCTCACCCATAGAAATGTGGAATATTCAATTAAAAACTTGTAAAGAGGCTCAACATTGTTTTCTAGTGATATTTTAATTTGTCAAGGAAAAGATTATATGCAGATAAAAAATTGTAACATCTTAGAGTTAGAAATTCCCTGGAGATCAAACCCTTGCAGCCTCTTCATACCTCAAGTGATAAGCAGTTTGTCACCATTATCACAAATATTTGCAGAGCACAAATTAGATGCCAGGCAATGTCTCCAGTATGGGTTGCAAAATTGAACAGGACAAAGATGAAGAAACAGCGCCCATTGTCATGGAAGTACATTTGTGTGGACTATCTGCCATGTACACAACAAGCTGAGTTGTTTAAATTTTGCTCCTCATATCATCCAGACCCTGCCTCCTGTGTCCTCAGGGACTCATAGAGCTCAGAGTTAAGATTATCTTGGAGGTCTTCTAAGCCAGCCTTTTACAGGTGTAGGAAACCTCTCTGTGGAAGCCATAGTTGAACACTGTCCCATGGATGGGCTCAAATAGGTCAGTGTTTCTGGTAAAACTGAGCACAGCCTTCCACCTGTGGTCCAGCATTATGAAGTGAAGCCATTTCCTCTCTAGTTTTAGACACTAGACATCCCCCAAGGAAGGCAGCCTGAGATTTTGTTAGCTGCTGCACATAGTTACCTGGCATAAAGCTGATGGTCAGCTGTAAACCTTAGGCCTTTTATAACATGCATTGCTTCGGAGTCAAGCCTCCCACATCCTGTACTTGTATATTGGATTTTTTGACCCTGAATGTAGGACTTTGCATTAATCTTGTTTATGTTTCATTATGGTTAAAATTGGCCCACATTCTAGCTTATTTTGAGCTTTATGAGTCTTGATTATTTTCTCCAAATGGTTTTGATTGATTACTTCATTTGTAAGTAACTTTTGCGTGTTCTCCTTCCATATATGTGTATTTATTGTTTTATAAATTATATGTATGTGTCATTAGCTAATACCTCAAGGCACAGTATATACTAAAGGCAAGATACAAATAGTGAATTAAATTCATATTTCACATCATCCTGAGGATTTCATTTTTTTTGTTTTTTTCTGATCAGATGTTATTAAATCATTGTTGTTTTTATCTGGTAGGACGAACATAGTGCTCGTACTAGGAATAGTAGAACTATCCATTCTGCTATCTTCCTGTTGTTCACTTATGCTTTCATTATTAGTATTATCTTCAATACACTATGTTTTTGTGGGAATCTTTTTTGTAAGCCAGCTGTTCATTTAGGGAAGATTGGTTTAGTTAAAACTAGAAAATGTATTGCATAAATCCACTTAACAGAGCTCAACTAAAAGGCTGTGTGTGATAATACGGGGAAGAGAAAAACAGATGAGAGAAGGCCCTCCAGTCCTCTGCTGTGATGACCTACTCTGCCCTTAGACTCGCATCCCTGGCATGACATGCCATCCTCCCAGTTACAGACCAGGTGGCAGTATCGCTGTGAGTCAGGGCATTTAAAATGTTAGTGAAGCTGGCCGGGTGCAATGGCTCACACCTATAATCCCAGCACTTTGGGAGGCCGAGGTGGGCAGATCATGAGGTCAGGAGATCGAGACCATCCTGGCTAACACGGTGAAACCCTGTCTCTAGTAAAAATATCAAAAATAAATGAATAAATAAAAAATAGCTGGGCGCGGTGGTGTGTGCCTGTAGTCCCAGCTACTTGGGAGGCTGAGGCAGGAGAATTGCTTGAACCCAGGCGGTGGAGGTTGCAGTGAGCTGAGATTGTGCCACTGCACTCCAGCCTGGCGACAGAGGGAGACTCCGTCTCAAAACAAACAAACAAACAAAAGTTAGTGAAGCTGAAGGGATTTTAGTTTAAAAATAGACAGAAAGTGCTCAAGTACTGCCTTCCCACAACGTAGTGAGCCGCCTTGCATACCTCTCGGTGCTATACTCACCCTGCTTTAGTGATCTCTCCTCTCGTATATCAGTTGTCTGCAATTTTTTTGTCATCCATATTTTGACAGCTCACTTTTAGGTGTTCATTCCAGTCGTATATAAAAGTAGGAGTTGAAAGAAGGATTAAGACAAATTACTGGAACAATTGCGACCTCTTTCTAGGTTGACATCGATCCATTTATCAACCCTCTTGAGGTACGGTTTTTTAACTAGATGGGAATAAGCTTAACTGTTTTGACAAACGGCCCCTAATTTTTCCGTCTGGGCTAGAAGATTATCATAAGACATACAGTCAAACACGTTGATTCTAGTGGTAACTGTGACTACCACTTATTGGGTGCCTCCCCAGTAACAGGCTTAGTACTAGGCTCTTTACAAATGTTATTTCATTTGTTTCTCATGGGGAGCCTATGAGATGGGAATTTGATTCCTGTGTTGGGAGGAAAAAGTTAGGAAACTGAGACACGGAAGGGTAAATTTGGGGGCAGCTGTAAGTGTCACATGAGCAGGCTTTTTGACATTAGAGTCTGTCATTAGGAAATGTACTAGGGCATGTCCACCACATAAATCCCTAGAGTGAACGACAAGATGGTTTCAAAGGATGCAGAAACATAAGTTTTAAATCACTGTGTTCTCTGAGTATGTAACACTTTACCCCCTTTTGAAAATTGGGACATCTGCATGTCTGTAATATGCTAGCCTCCCTCTTCTCTTTGCCACACTGCCTAGGGGACAGGTACCAGTGTGTTTTTGGTTCATATGCATGCTCCTTTAACAACCCAGGTAGAGGTTGCCAGGACCTGGACACAGGAACATGTGCAAAGTAGCTGGGTGCCCTCTTACTCTATCCTCACCTACCTTTGACTGCAGTCCCCCTTTGCTGTGTTTATCTGTGCTGGTTGGAGAATCATTTGAGGAAACAGAGCTGTTTTCTCTGCCATCTGCTGCTGTCTTGCCACCTTCCGGAAACAGTGGCTTTCTGTTCTCTGGCGGGTGTGTATAAACCAAGCAATTTAGAGTTAGGATACTAACGTATCATTTCAAATGATACGTTAGTTATTTTCAGTTTTTACTGTAAATTTTCAAACGAATTTTAAAAATCGAAAAAATAGTACAGTGGATACCTATTTACCAACCAGGTAGATTCAAATTAATGTTTTCCATATTTGCTCTTTCTATACTTCTTTTTCTGAAAATTTAAAGGGATGCAGACATCATGACACCTAACTCCTGAATAATGACTGTGTCTCAGAGTTGTATCTGCTAAAAATAAGGATATAATCTCTAAAATAAGGTCATTCGCCTACATAACTGCAATGCCATTTTCATACATAAGAAAATTAACACGAATTCTCTAGTATCGTGTAATACCCAGTGCAATTATCCCTCCGAAATGTATTATGTATTTTTTTCCCCAAACTAGGATTCAATTAGGTTTCATACATTGCATTTGGCTTTTATATCTCCAATAGTTTTAGAATTTAGGCTTTTGTTGTGACAGAGGTGAGAATAAAAGATCTGGATGATTTTCAAAAAAATATTTAAATCCCATCTCACATGAAGGATGACTTTTCAGATTAAATAGACTATTGATCTAGATTATTCCGGTGGTTTTTTACTTGGTAGTAAATGGCGCCGGATATGTTAAAGTTGTAAAATATAGAAATCTCTAAAGTGTGTACATGAACCACATCTTAACAGAGGCAGTCCATCAACTGTAAATGTACATGGGACCTGAGTACTTTGATGCTGTTGTATGTGTGAGACCATCTCATAAGCAAATAATGCATCAAGGGTTTTGGCTCAGCACTGGTAATGGATTATAATAGATTGAAATTAAATATGATATAAGTGACAGGAAAATTCTGCCAGGTAAGTAAATAATTGATTAATCATCCCCCAGTTAAACCTGGCAAGTTAAATTGCAGGGCTGGAATCGAATGCTTGGTAGAAGCTCCTCTCCACATTTTAGTCCTGATAAAAACTGTGCTGAAGAAGAAAAGAAAAACCAGAAACTGTTCAGAGGAAGGGCCTGTCCCTTGCTGTGTCTTATTTGCGGCATGGCATTGTGTGTATTCGTTGCGCTGTGGAAGTAGTGATAAGAAAATGAAGATCCAGGAAAGAGCTGTCACAGAAAACATAAACAAGTAGAGATCCATGGTTGCTTGGAAATCAACAAATTTAGAAGGCAAGTGACAGCATATCTTTCCTTTTTTCATTTTGTTTTGATTGTGATAAGTGGGATCAATATGACTTAGCATAGCAAAACTGGTCCCAGTGTGTGCGTGTTACTGTGTAGCTGCCACTGGACGGTCAAATGACCTTGGCTCAGTCACTAGCCTGCCAGTAGTCTGGGTGTCTGGTTTCTAATCTGTAAATAATAGACTTGGATGGGAGATCTCTGAGGTGCCTTCCAGCTCTTCAGATCTAAGATTCTAACAGCCAGAAACCTCTGTAACATAGTGCTCTCCTGATTTCCTCGTGTGATTATAACTGGTCTTTGTCATGATGACCCTCGGCCGTTACAGTCTTCCATGTGTCTCCTGAGTCATCAAAGAAAAATTAAGGTGTGCACTTAGTTTATATGAAGCATATGATTTTGTTCTACTTCTTAAAGATTAGCAGTATTCCCCTAACACTTTATTAACGAGAATGCTTTATGAATCAGAATAGTCCATTCTGTGACCATGTAGAATAAGAGAAATTTTATTGTAATTAGAAAAAGATGTATATATTTTAAAAAATGGAATAACCACTAATACATTAAAGTTACTGCTTAAAAGCCCTTAATTTACAGTAATGCAGCAACCTAAGTGAAAAAGAGCTGACCCTACTCATTACCCAAGGCAATGTTATGTTGGATTTTAATTATAAAGATCGGTTCAGCATTTGTATTTTCTGGGTCAGCAGAATATGTCCTGTATAGCCTTTAACAAACTTTTTAGACTTTTAAAGCTATGATTTCTGCACTGTAAAATGGGAAAAATACAGTACATGTGTCAAAGAGTAGTAAAAGGATGAAACGAAATCACAAATCGTGTATGTAAAGAGCCTGGGGCATAATAGGTGTTGAGAAATGTTAATGATCATAGCCATTGTGGTATCACTGAGTCCTTGGCAATTTCATTCAGGGTGGAGAGTCCTCCAACCAATCTGCATGACCAGGAATCAAGACTCATTATGTTATGTCAGTCATCTTAATTGGCTAGCAACATTGGATTGACCTTACAGCAATTCACTGACTACCTCATAACCTGAGAAAGATAGATACCTCCACTTAGCTTAATATGGAAAATAAGAATTCATAATACACTGATTCAAGCTACTTGAACATTTTGTCTTAGAAAAGATTGACACTCATTCATTCACTCTTTCCATTTTACTGACCCCAGAAATGCCAATAGCAGCTGCCTTATCTTCAAATGTAAACATATAATAATATGAACAAAGAATTCACAAAACAGACCTTTGTGGTAAAATGTGATGATTATTCTTTATATTTGAATCTGAGCTAGATCAAATCACATTTCCCTAAATATAAAAAGCACAAACGGCAAAAACATGATACAATTCAGGAATCATGCTCAACGCTGGCAGTACGATACCCATTCACTACATTATATGAAATGATTTAGTATTTGTTTCTGGAACAATTGCCAAAAGGAAAAATCAGAATCTCCCACTCAATCTTTCATCTTAGAAACTTTAAAATACTCTTATCCATATTAATGAAGACAACTCCAACATTGTGAATAGTGGGCAAGTGACACTATTATCCTGTCTTATTGGCTCTCTCCTCTTCTTTTTAAACACCTGTCTATCCGTAGTCTTCTTCATTGCTATACAATTAGAAAAAGGTTAGCTTTTAATATTTTCCAAGTCCATGTAAAGAAGGGTTTCTATTTCCACTTCATGTGTGTGTCAATTGAGGTCAGAATGGCATTATCCTTGTGTGATTGGGAGCATGGACCCCACCCCACCCCCACTTTCCTCCACCCCCTGAGAAACAGGCCATGAAGTGGTAAGAGTCTGTGATAATTTAGGCACATCTAAAAGCAAATAACCCTCTCCGGAGGCAGTTTCTTGAGGCACCAGCATCAGGATTTATTTTTCTGGAAACAAGCATCGCCATAGAAATTGACTCTGGTGACACTCCTTTTTTGGGTTGGAAAATGTCAGAGTCTTTGGTTTTAATCAAAATTGCTCATAATCTGGCTTAACGATGCCATAAAGGCCTTGGTTTGCTCTGCCCCAGGTGAATGAAAATATTTGCTGTGAAAAATAGGTTATTAGTTTTATAGCTCTACCTACTTCAATGCCTCTATCAAGAGTACGAGAAGAGATATTAAATCTCAATTTTTAATAAAATTATTGACATCATTGGGGAGCTTTATAACACTTGACATTTGCTTTCAGCGTTGGGGGAAGAAAGAGAAAGTAAATTGATTTGATATTTATTTCCTAGGTTGGAGTACAAGTTACTTTAAACATAAAATATGTGTGTTGCCTTTGAATACAATGAGCAGAATGGGTTGTTGGTTCTGAAAATGAACATAAATTTTAAGATAAAATGGGTAATGTAATGATAATAAGGTAATCTGATTGCTAAATGAACCTGTTTGATTATATTCCTCATTGGATTCCTGTTGCCACCTAGACACTCTTCCAAATTGATATAAAGTATTGTTTGAACCCAGAACATACAGCTCAGGAGTGAAAATACAGATCACATAATGAAGTTAACTTCTTTTCAGTAATGGGCTTTCAGTATTATTTTTTCTACAAGAGTTTAAAACAAAACTTTCAGAAAATATCTTTGAATGTGAACTTGCTTGCAGAGACTATCTGTCTATATTCCAATGGAATTTGCTTCTAGTGAATGATTGTGAGATACTGGGGCCAGGGCAGCGATGGAGTTGATGGCAATGGTTGCTAGGCAGAGGCCATCTGGGACTGGACAAGGCCTAGCGAAGGCTTTGTGGGATAGAGGGAAGCCAAGGGTCTTCTGTTACTACCTTAGCAGGTCGGTTTGCCTATCACTGGCTGGTTCAAATCCCAGATAATCAATATGGAAAGGTTCCTAATACAGTGGGATAAGTGAGGGGTCTGTGTCTTAGGAAAAAAAAAAAAACCTGCTTATTAAAGTGTCAACCCTTTATCACCATTTGTCACTGGCCTCTAAAGGGAGCTGTTCAGGAATGGGCGTGCCTCTTTGAAAACATGAGATCCATTTTCCTGAAGAATGATCTCAATTGATAAGTTTCCTAGTTGTGCCATTATATTGCTACCAAATTCTTTTGAAAATATGCTGGCTTCTGCAGTGATCACTTGCATTTTCAGGAAAAGGCCTACAAAACTTGTATAAAGGCCAGCTGCAATTCGGTTTATCTGTTCCTACACTATGTGCAACAGACTGTCTGAATTCTTTTTCCTTTCCTTACTAAAGACGATGCCAGCTTATTTACCCCAGCAGTGTTCTTAATGTAGATGTTAAACTGCGCGATAGATTTTTAAATGAATTTTTAATTACTTTCTGCTATTCTGAGCTCATTGCAATCAGCAGCCATCTTGCTTGAGGATAAAACAAAACAAAAACGGCTAGCTCATGGGAGGAGCAAAGGCCTTTGCAGGAGTGGAGGACAGAAGCCCATTGTCAGCGACAGCTGCTGAAAGCTTTCCCCAAGCACAGGCTCAACTGCCAGAGGGTTCTGGAGGCTTTGAGTTTTCCGCTGATGGTTCCTCTTCTCTAATGAGGTCACCTCTCAGCACAGTAGGTGGGACGACTCTGCTAATGGGAGATTCAGAAACGCAGATTGCAATTACAGTCTTTGTTTCCAGCCATCTCCCGTAGTTTCTGAACAACCCCAGAAGCTTGTAACAGGGACAGCTCCTCTACAAATACGTAACACAGCCAGATAGGACATATCATTTATGGGGCATCACCTCAGTGCCAGATGCTATATGGTGAGAATGATGCTGGCCAGGAATTTATGTGACGCCATTTTTATAACATTTAAAGCTATGCCATTTACAGTTTCATATAGTCAGACAAGTCTTATCATCCACATTACGCCATGAAAAATGCACGGTTCAGAGGGTATAAGTTGTCTGTCCGTGGCCACTACTCTAGGCTCCATATTCTGCAAAATGGGAATAATACAATCATACCTGTGCCAGTTAGAGTTTTATAAAATACTATGTGTGAAAACACTTTAAAAATGGGTGAATGCTCTACAAATATCATGTCTTACAACAATTAATCCTAAAATGCATATTTTTTGAGTACCACACAGAGAATAGAAGCAGATAAACATCTTCTCTCCCCTCCTTTCACTTTCCTTAATGGAATCTGAGGAGAAGCCCGACCTAGGGACCTAGGGACGACAGAGCCCTGGTCATCTGGACTGGGGCAGTTCGGACGTGCAGGTGTGGCTCCCAGCAGCCGCTTCCATCTCTGCTTTCCCGTCCCAGGATTAGGATGCTCATGTCGCCATGATAACAGGCCGCTGCCCTACTCCCAGCTGGCCAGATCAGTCACCTGGGCCAGTTCTGGCTGGGTCATTTTTTGTTTGTTTGCGGAGCTTTTTTTTTTTTTCCTTTTTTTTCTTTTTTTCTTTTTAAGTTAACTAGATCAAACTCCATATCTCATTTGGATTTTTCTGTCCTCTTAATTTCTGTATATTTTTTGGGTCTGATTGTAAATTAGTAATTCTCTTAGTGAGGCAGAATGAAGCGCAGAACACCAAACAAGATTCTGCTTGAATTCCAGCCCCAAGGTGAGGAAGTGGGCATTCATCCAAGTGAAAATTTTTGTTAACGTTAGGTAAGGATTCAAAGGCTCTGACCCAAAGCTTTAGTACGTCTCCTTATCTTAGATTGAATTGATGCATAACTGTATGAATGTTTTTGTCAGGCATCACCATAGGTACTTTCAAACCTGCTCACTCAATTCCTGCAGTAGTTTTGGGTGGAGGGAATTATTCTCCCCTTTGTTTACAGTGAAGACTCTTCCAAGTCTCAGGAAAGCTGCTTGGCTCCAAGGCAAGGGCTCCTCCCCTCTGCTGCGCTGCTTCTCTGCACAGCCATATGAATGGGGCTCTTCACTCTTCTCAGAGAGGTCAGTGGGCAGCAAGATAAGGCAGAAGCCAATGAGTGACTGTCTCACCTCCTCACTCTCCTCCTTGGGCTGAGAGCTCCAGCATCTCAGCTACTCTCTAAAAGGATCTTGCAGTAACCAAAGTGGAACATCACTTTCTGGTCTTCCAAGACCAGACCAACTAGTCGGGGACTTCCAAAGGGAACAAATTGCCTATACTTCCTTCAGACCAAGCATCCTGAAAGTCGTTTGAAGTTGCCTGGACTACTTTGGGTGGGAGCCAGTACCTCTGCTGGACCCGGGGTGGGGCCTGCCAGCTGGGGGGGCCTTCCTCCAAGACAAGGGTGCACATTCCCACAGCAAAGCCTGGCTAGGGCTGTGCCTTTCTGATGTGATGGGCATGTGACATCCTGCTGATGAGAACAATGACAAGAGCAAACATATGTTGAGGGATTCACTGGAGCGCCACATGCATAGTGATATTAAGGAAGAGATTGGATTCAAAAAACCCACTGGGAAACCATTATAATAATCCAAATAAGGGAAGATAACATCTGGCTGAGGACAGGGCAGAGGAAGTGGGAGAGTAGATAAATGGAAGAAATAAGATGAAGGAAGGATCAGAAGGGCTGGTGGCTGAGTTGAGGAGGTAGGTGTAAAACTTGCAAGATTTAGAACTGGGTGCCAGTGATGAGAAGTCCTCAAGATCTCCACAATTTCTATTTCCCTCTCTGTCTCTAAATAAAACTGTTTTTCTTTAATTACAAATAGTGAGGAAAAATTTATTTTTTTACCTTCACTTTTTAGTGTTTCGTTTAATTACTTATACTGTTACCATATTGCTTTCTGCTACTTTTCATTGCAGATGGATTAGCCAAACTTTGTTTCCTAGCCAGAGAACAAACTGAATTACTATTTATAATGCAGTTTCTATGGAAAATGAATTATACATTTCAAACAGCCTCACAAATAGAATTTTGGAATACGGAGTTGTGGACTTCTTTTATTGACTTTTATTTGAAAAAGAGATATTCTTATAGTAGATGTGGGATTGACTCTCAGAAGAAAGGTAAAATTGGGCAGCATATATGTGGGAGTCATTTGCATAAAAGTGAGAATTTAAGAGGATGAAAATGATCAAAAAGTGGGCAGCGGGGAAAATCAAGGCAGCAGTGTACTCCATTTGTCCAGCTAGTTTAGAACTGAAAGGAAAATGAATACAAAGTCTGCTTTATTTAAAATAAAAAAATAAATAAACATTTCTAAGGTAAAAGTCAATTGCGAAAAATAAAGGTAAATCTCTCTTTTAGGAAAGACCAATTTTGGTGAATTTATCTGTGAGTTGTAAAGAATATTAATTAATATATCAAGCAATGTAAATGTTCTTTTTGAAAAAAATGGATTGGGCCATCATTCTAGTTTAAAATGATTTATGATTAATTTATTTGTCTGAGGCAAAGGAATGGTTTGTGGCAAAGGGCTGGTGGTGGCCCTGTCTATATGGAAACTGCATGAGTCCCTCGGGTTCGTATGCATGCCTCTCTGAGCTGTGACATCAGCCTGCTCACTTGGGATTTCCTGTTGAGAGTATACTTTTACTTCCAAGTTGCTATATTTAATTCAACTCCACAAGGCTTTATTAAGCATCTTTCATTCATATGCTAGCACCAATATAGGCGCTGGGAGGAGTCAACAGCATAGGACCCTTTCCCTGCCATTAAGAAATTTGTAACTCATTTGGGGAGGCAAGACAAACCGACATCAGCCAGTTAGAGTTCATAAAAGGTGGAGTATCTTCTTTCTGTTCCCAAACTGTTGGGCAGTTTTTATTGCAGGGACATGGAAAGAAAGAGAGAATGAGAGAGAGAGAGCATGCTCTGGAAACTGAAGCAGTATCAGGAGACCTTGTGAAGGAAGAGGGATTTGGGAAGAGTTTGAGTGGATTCAGGATAGAATATCATCAGACTAGGAAGAAGGGGAAAGATGAGCTGGGCAAGGAGGAAGGGATGATCAAAGCCTCATCCTGATTGTCCACATCAGGAATTATGGGAGAGGAAGCCCAGATAGTTGAGGTGTGGTCAGTTAAAGTGTGAAGACCTCGAATGCCTGGCTAATTTATGTGACCTTGGTCTAATAAGTAGTAGGAGCAGGATATGGCCAGTGAGACAAAGCAGTATTGAGCACAAAACTGTGCAAAGCCAGGTAATGGTGCTTGTGCTCCTCAGTGGGACCTCATGAGCCACGTTGACATTCTGAGATGACAAGCCTAAGAATAATGAATCTGTCAGTCCTCTGGCTCTTAATGACCTGAATCCTAAATGTACAAGGGGAATGGCCCTAACTTGAAAAATGCCAGCTGCAACCAAATGGAAAGAAGTGTAAAGTCCAGATAGAAAATCTCTTGCAAAAGAGAGAATGAAGCTGTGGGACCCTTGTCAATTTTCAAAAGCCACAACCCAGTCAGGCAGCACATATCGGAGCTCAAGAGAGAAAATATGGCCACATTGAATTGACCATCTTCGTGATCCTGAAAGCATTGCCTGTAAGTGAAAATATACTCACTCCTGGGGAGGCTGAAAATGACTAGTCAATTAGATATGGTCAGGAGACATTCCCCTACTTGAGAAATTCAATGAATTTTTCACTTTTAAGGCAGGTTTGCCATTGTGTAGAAAAAGCCATAGAACTTCCTGATTGGTGCACACATTCTGAGAGCCCAGCATTCCACTCACTATTGCATGAAGTTGAAATGATAGGAAAAAAGGAATCTGCAGCTGTCTCTTTTTTCCTGCTCTTCCGCTTCTGTCGTCAGTTTTCGTGGAAAGCTTTTAATGCAGGGGCAAGGTTTTGCTAGCAGAGCCAGGCCCATACCAGCAGCTCTTAGCTTTCAGTTTTCTGAGCTTTGTTACTCATCGGTTATAGTGGTCTGTTCTTATCCCCAGTGTAGCAAGTTCTAAATCCCATCAGCTTACCAATCCACTGGGCTGAGAAGCTGACTTGGGAAGGATGGAAAATGGATGTAGGAGTGAACCACAGAACAGAAAGATCCCCAGCAGAGCTGCAAGCTTGGGGGTGGGAGGGGAAGGGGATGGAGGAGGCACACTGGGCATTTGATCATCTCTAAGTGCATAAAACTTGCCTGTGACACACCTAGAATGGGTCATTTAAGTGTACATTTGCAGTGGGTTCCAGAAAAATATAAGAAATGGTTGAAAGCATCCAAAAATTTAAGAATCCTTTCTAATGAGTTTCAGGAAGGCATCTCTCATGGGAGCCTGGGGTGCTGCAAAGTTGCTGTTGGAACTTCAGCATCACAGCTCTGGTCTTACTTCTTTGATGTACCCCATGTGTGGGGCATCACAGGCCCTGCCTTTGCAAACAAAACCCAGGTGTAAAGGCTGCAGAAGTCTTGCTGTGGATGGGCTGTGTTTCCACCATACTGCATCTGTGCATTTCTGCTTTGGGCATTATGGTTTCCATTTCTTTTAACAAGTGGCAACTACAACTGCCACAATCCCCTTGGCAACTTCTCTTTTCCAAGCCAATATATGAAACAAATCAGTGTAATATGCTCTAAAAATATCCATGTGATGCTTTAAAAATGCGTATTTCCAACATGTTCTCCTTCAGAGCACTTTGCCTTGGCAGGTAAGCACTACCTTTACATGCTTTTGCTCTTTATGGACTAGGCCCATCCTTAGCCAGGTTGATTTTACTTTTATTCATGCTCTTTATGAAATTGGCTCAGATATAGGAACATGGAGCATTTGTAACTGTTACTTATTCATTTAATCAACAAAACTATATTCAACATTCATTGCTGTCCATTGTTCTAGGTGCTGAATATAAAAAGATTAAAAATTTGGTCCTTCCTTCAAGGATCATGAAAGGAAACAAGCAAGTACACAAATATTTGGCACCATAGGCAGAATGAAATTCTAGAGGTCTTTGCATGCTGTATTAAGAGCATTTACTCAGTTATCTCATTGGCTGGGATAGCAAGCCATTGCAAAGTGTTAAGAAAGGCAGTGACATCATCCTCATCTTTAGGCTTTATAAAGATGACTCTGGTATAAGAGAAGAATGAATTATAGAGGGTCGAGCCAGACAGATTCAATTGCTGGTAGTTCAGGTGAGGTTTATATGAGCCTAAACTGCAGCAATGTCTATAATTTTTTTTTTTTTTGAGACAGAATCTCGCTCTGTCACCTAGGCTGGAGTGCAGTGGTGCATTCTTGGTTCACTGCAACCTCCGCCTCCCGGGTTCAAGTGATTCTCCTGCCTCAGCCTCCTGAGTAGCTGGCACTACAGGCACCCGCCACCACGCCCAGCTAATTTTAGTATTTTAAGTAGAGATGAGTTTTCACTATGTTGGCCAGGCTGGTCTCAGACTCCTGACCTCGTGATCCACCCGCCTCAGCCTCCCAAAGTGTTGGGATTACAGGCGTGAGCCACCACGGTCAGCAGCAATGTCTGTGATTTAAAGGAAAGGATAGTTAGAGGAGATATTTAGAGAGAATTGACAGAAAGTTGTTACTGGGATTTGGCAGTGGGGAGGGGGGGCACAGAGACAGAGAGTGAGAGAGAGAGAGAGAGAGAGAGTGTGTGTGTGTGTGTATGTGGCAAACGTGATGGATAAGATGTTTGTCATGATTCTGGCTTGGCTGTGTGGATAGATGGTGACACTTTTAAGAATATGAATGAAAGAACTGGTTTTAGTGCAAAAATAGTGAGTTTTGTTAGAGATAAACTTTCAGGTAGAAACTTAAAGTGAGCAGTTGTATGTCTGAATCTGAGGTTAGGAAGAAAGGCCTGGGTTAGATATGTAAATCTGGGAGTGTGTTTTGTGTGTACAGGTGGCAGTGAGGGTAATGGAAGGAAAAGGATCACAGAAAGTGGGAAGCTCACAGGTTTGATCATTGTTTCTGGATTTGAATCCTGGCTCTGTAACTGTGCTTCCTGTGTGACACATTGAGAAAGTTCTGTAACCACAATGAGCCCTAGTTTCTCATTTATTAAATGGGGATGGAAGGATTGACCTTAAGGCATTGTTTGTTTATTTATTCAGTCATTAATTGAACAAATATTTATTGAGCTTCTACCATGTGCTTGGATCTGGCAATGCATATCTGAACAGAACAGACATAGTCCATGCTCTGAGTTGGCTTTCAGCCTTGACAATTACTGTAAGGGAAAATAACAGGAAGAATTGCATAAGAGAATAAATGTAGGACACTTGCCACAATTGTAGTATACAGAATAGGCCCTCAGACATTTCCAGCCAAAGTTATAACCTTAATGGAATGATGCAGATAGACTCCGGTTTCTGGTGGGTTGAGGAACAAATGAGAGATGAGAAATTGGCAATAACGAATAATGATTACTAGTTCAAAAGTTTGGCAGTTAAGAGAAATAAGAATTTTGAGGGCTATATGGAGAAGACTAGTGGTTGAGGACAGATGTGGGGTTTTTCAAGATGTGAGTCTTGAGCATGTCGACATGCTGAGGGACAGGAGCTAGTGGAGAGGATGAAGTTAGAAGAAAGAAGCAGAGAGGTCTTTTGGGAAATAAGCAGATGCAAAGAAAAGCCCCTTTTTCTGAAATAGTAAAAGAAGCATGTGAAAGGGATTAAATGAGATAGTGCATTACAAAATGCAATGAATGGCATTTGAGGTACTTTAAAATTGTGTTGATTTTGGCTGTGAGCATGGATACACACATATCCATATTCATATCCGTGTACTAGTGTCTATAGCTACACACACCCGCCACACATGAACACATAGAGTTAAACGTTTTAGTTGAGACTGAAGGAGGAAAGCTGAAGTTCATACCTGGTCACCTTACTTTCTTGATAAAGGAAGAAGGCATCTGCTGAGAGATGGGACAGAATTGTAAGGTCATGAGGATAAGAGTGATGGCTTAAGCTGGCCTCTTAAGGAATGACACAAAGAAGAAGGTGCACCTAGGGGAGAACCCCTGAATGACACTGGGGGTCTGCTGGAGATTGGAGATATAACATATATCATATGTTATAGACACTTAGGGCTGGGGATTTCCTGCAGCAAGCCCCATTTCCCTCAGAACCTTTGGGGTTGGCTGGGAAGCTGTGGTGTAACAAAAAGCAGGTGAGAGAGCAAAGGATGCTCAGTACAGGAAATGAAGTGGTGGACTACAGGGTTTGAGTGCATAGAACGAAAAGATGCACCCGAGGAGATCCCAGGGAGGATGACATTAGATGGCTCCATAACATCCAGGAGCAAGTGCCTGGGCAGTGAGGAAGGAGAGGAACTGGAAGAATTGAAAATGGTCATTAGAGGGTTGTATATTGGAATTTCAATTTTTAAAAAGGGAATGGCTTGGCCGGGCATGGTGGCTCACACCTGTAATCCCAGCACTTTGGGAGGCCGAGGCGGGTGGATCACTTGAGGTCATGAGTTCAAGACCAACATAGTGAAACCCCGTCTGTATTAAAAATACAAAAGTTAGCTGGGTGTGGTGGTGGGTACCTGTAATCCCAGCTACTCAGGAGGCTGAGACAGGAGAATCACTTGAACCCAGGAGGCGGAGGTTGCAGTGAGCCAAGATCATGCCATTGCACTCCAGCCTGGATGACAGAGTGAGGCTCCATCTTAAAAAAAAAAACAAAAAACAAAAAACAAAAAAAATAGTCTTAGAATGCCTCCTAGGTAAGGAGTTGCTAAGGTAGAGTGCAAGTGATAGCCATAGGAAATTGAGGAGCTTTGAGGCTGCTCCTGCACCCTCCACCCACACTAGTGAACTGAATCTTCTTTCTGCAAGGTCCCAGTGGTCTTTAGTTGCCCAGTTATATGTCCTTTTCTTCATTCTCAAAATTTTTGACTTGTCTTAGAGTCCTTTCCTGTTGACCAACTCCTTCTTCATGCCCTCTGCTCCTTGAGTGTCTGGCACATGTATGTACTCTGGGTTCTCCTCTCCTTCCCATTCCTCCACTCTCCTCCCCATTCCTCCACTCTCCTCCTCTCAGCCCTCAACTTGCTGATGGAGACGTTCTCTGAAGACTCTTCTGTCTCCACATTCATGATCAGAGTCACACTGTGACAAAGGTGTGCACAAAAGATTGGTGGAGGGAAAGAGGAGGCAAGCAGACCAGTTACAACACTGGTTCTGGAGTCTGAGCAAATGGCACACAAGCCTGGAATTGGAAAGTGGCTCTGGGAAAGAGAATAGAGATGGATGTGGAACATATTTTGAGTTGATAATGGAAGTCAGCAGGACTTGACAACGGGGAGAAACATGTATATGGGGAAATGGAAACAGAAGGACAAAAGATGACTAAAATGTTGAGACTTACTAAGAGGAAGACATTAACAGAAAGAGAGAACATGAGAGGACAGAGGCTTGGGTGTGAGGATCAAGGGAGATATTGGGTTCTGTGTGGGGCATGTTGAGTTTCAGGTAGTAGCAGCCCATTGAGATAAGATGTACAAAACATAGATGAAAATTGAAATGGTGACCCAAAGACAGCAAGGTGAGTACTAGAAATATATATTGGGGGTTAATGACCCTAAGTTAGTTGTGCGAATGACACACTAGAGCAGAGGAAGATAATGCCAATTGAGAACTAGTAGGAAGAGATGATAGGAGAGCCAAGTAGAGAACCCCAGAGACAGCTATATTAAAGGGGTGGCATGAGAAAGGCTCTCAGAAATACAGATTTGTCATGACGTGGGCAAGAAGCAAGTAGAGATAGTGAAAAGAAAAGAGAAAGCAATAATCTTGAGGTCTAGGGAAGACTTAGTAGAAAGACGAGAATTTTTATGGCTCAGGGGAAGGAGAAAATAAGGGAGAGAATACAAGCAAAGAGCTACTTGTTGGATTAAGCTGTAATCAAGGAAGACCACAGCTGTGTACCCTATTCCTCTGAGGTGGTAGAGAAGGAGGAACATATGGGCAAAGAGGGAAATGTTGAGATGGAGAAACATGGCAGGCTGGTGGTCTTCAACATTCTTGTTAAAGGAGAAGGTAGGCATCTCCACATGGAAGGCTTGGAGTAGATGCTTTAGGGAATGGAAAAGGTACTCGTTAGACCTGTAGGTGATGGCCTGGGAAGAAATTGGGTGATTGGATGTCCTGGGTTGCCCAGGACAGTCATGGTTTACACATGTTGTTCCAGCATAATTATTTTAATTGTACCTCTTGTCACTCAGTTTGGAATATATATTGCAAGGTCACCCTAGAGAGAAGCAATGAAGACTTAAAGACAAAAGGTGTTTCCCTGAGACACACACACACACACACACACACACACAGAGTAAGAACCCTGGCATGTTCTGCTTAAAAAGCTGAGGCACACAGCATGTCGTTTGCACTGTTGGGTCCAACAGAGAAATGAATGGCTCAAAAGTCTAGAGAGAGCACCTAGGACATTTGAAATTTAGTTCATTAGAACTTCACTGTTGAGCAGATGCACACATCCAAGTTGAAAATGTTCAAGGTTTATTCCCACATCAAACAAACCAAATAAACAACAACTTTTTCTTTGTATTGGTTCTATTTGGAGCAATTGTCAATGCATTCTTCTGTCCTCTTTTTTCCTACTTTCTTGGTACATAATACACATACTAGTCAGACAGTGGCATTAGGTTATTTGGAAGTTGTAACTTTTTTAAAATCACCCTCTATATCATTAACTCTAAGTATTTTTGGTTCAGGCTTCTCTATACTCCTACACATTACTGAGGACCCCAAAGATCTTTTATTCTGTCGGCTTTCTGAATCGATGATTATAATTATGGAAAAACTGAAAAACTTAAATATTTATTTATTAACTCACTTAAAATAGCAGTAATACATATGTTATCAAAAATAATATATTTTATGAAAAACCAATAAATTTTTCAAAACAAAAAGTATCAAGAGGCGCTTTTTTATTTTTGCAAATTATTTTAATATCTGCCTTAATAAAAGACAACCGATTCTCCTATCTACTTCTGCATTCGATCTACTGAATACCCTTCAATAGAAATGTATGAAGAAAATCCAGCCTCACACAGATATGTAGGGAGGAATATTTTAATAGCCGTCAAAGGTAATTGTGGGCATTCTTTAATACTACACCAACATTTGACAAGCAGAAGTTCATTAAAATTTGGTTGCAATGTGGAATCTGAAATCATCTATTGGTCATTTAGAAAATATTGGTTCACTGAATTATACAGTGTTGACAATAATAATATATATAATATCTAAAAATTGTATACATTGGTATCACCACAAGTTCATCAGACAAGTCTTTAAGTATTGGAAAATTGTTAAGCTTATGTTGGTAGATATGAGTTTCCAAAAAGCAATTCTTCACTTGAAAGCTTGAATTTTATTGTTAGCCACAAATACTACCAAGTTGTTTCCTTAAAATGACAGGCTTACTTCATTCATTGTTGGGAAAATGTCTTCCAGAGACCCAAGTCTGGATAACTTTGTTTCTCTGTCAGTAGTTATTTCATGAAAAAATGTGAATCCATGAAAAACGTGGCTAGTTGAGCTCACTACTCAGTTGCATGAATGTTTTTCCCCTGGAGACTATTGTACTTCAGTGCACAGCAGAAGTGCTCTATTCTCCCTTCCCCTTTGGTCACACAGAATTTTAAGAAGATGTGTATGTTCTCATGACATGCTCCCACCTTTCTCTTCTTCTCTCCCCTTGTCCCTCCATCTTTGTTGCTCCTGTAATAAGCCAATCCCTGTGCATTGTACAATGTCCTGGTTGCTTTTTAAAACTATCTCCTTAAGTTGTGGTTTTGCAAGCCAAATTATAGAGTTCACCCAGGGGCACAGCTCAGATATCATTCCTTCTCATTAATTAACATGTTTTGCTGAGATGTGTAGTAGACATGCTGTACATAGCTGTCCAGTGAACATTGGATGAATGAGGTGGATGAGAGCCTCTCCTATTTATTGGGTTAAGTAGGGTTGTTGAGGGTATATTTTTGCTCAATTGAATTATTAAGACAAACAACATCACCCAATAACAGCAGACAGCTTAATAACTGTGTTTATCTAAAACATCAAGTTTTGTGTTTCAGACATATTTCTTTAGTAATAAATAACACCACACTATTTCTAACAATAGTTATCTCTAGAGACCAGTGCTACCAAGTAAAACGTAAAGCTCAGCATCTCCTTTGATGCAAGATGAGGGTTTTTAGATACAGTGTAGACCTTTATAGAGTAGTGATTTAATCTTTCTAAATTACATACTGATGCCTGTGAGATTTCCACAAGATTAATCATCTAATATCATCGATAGCTTGTTGCAGCTTATTTGTAAAAGGTAACAAGATAATTTAAAAAAAACTTACATTCATCTGTTTTCTCAAATTTGATAGTCATAAATATCGTAGTTGATAATTAGGAGTTACATTCTGTGTTTCATATATTTAAATTGTATATATTTCTTAAGTGAGATGTTTATGTATTCTAATAATTCACTTTTTTGTGTGTAAGCACCTGTTGGAAATAAAATAATACTAGATAATTAGGCAATATCCAGAATTGCAGAAATGTTTACAGTGGCAAGTAAGTCTCCATTTTCAGTTCACCTGTCTCCCTCAGAACTGCCACTCTGAGAATCCACTGCATAGCTGGGTGAAACTTACTAGATATTGTGAAGAAAATGAAGTCTGTGGTGTAGCCCTTACAGCTGAGAATTAAACTATCCTTTCAGACTTTTTCTGCATATATAAACATGTATTAGAGAATTATTTCTATTACATGCATTTTATTTTTTTTTCCTTTTATCGTTTTCTTTATAGTCAAAGCAAAAGGGGTGGTTCATCTACAGTGATTCTTTTTTTGTTTTTTTTATTATACTTTAAGTTTTAGGGTACATGTGCACAACGTGCAGGTTAGTTACATATGTATACGTGTGCCATGTTGGTGTGCTGCACCTATTAACTCGTCATTTAACATTAGGTATATCTCCTAATGCTATCCCTCCCCCCTCCCCCCACCCCACAACAGGCCCTGGTGTGTGATGTTATTACACACACCCCAAAAGTGAGAATGTAGTTGTAGCTTTTAGCAATGTGATTTGTAACATATCATTACTCAGTGTTCATTACTATATGTATTCATTACTCAGTGTTCATTACTGTATGTAGCTCCTTCCTTCCCACTGTGCCTGAAACTAGGTTTCACGTGTACCTGCTAATACCATGTAGACAGAACCATGTGTGCCCCATGCCTGGAGAGACTGTGGCCAGCAAGAAGGCTGGTTTGCAGCTGATGTTATTCCTATCAGCGCCTGAGGTCACACATAGGGCAGGCCCTGCTGAGCTTCCTAGGGCAGTCTTTGAACACCAAGCTTAGGAACGCAGCTTTGGACAATCTCTCACCACATTGGAGTTGACAGCATGAATGCAATCATGGAGCTAAATGGTGTTTCAGAGAATGAGATTGTACCTCCTCTTTAGTTCTGCTTCGCTCCAGGTTACCAACTGCCCCAGTTTCCATGGGACTGTTCTAATAGCAAGACATGAAGTCCGAGGGCCCCTTTTATGTTGCCCAATTTTCCTGGCACTGGTACAAAATCCCAAATCATGTGCAGTGGGAGTGAACTTGGAACTGCAGAGTTTTGCAGGGATTATGAAAGAATCAGACACAACCCATGTTACTGATCTTCAATAAAGAGAAACTCCAGAGCATTTCTTCCCCTGAACTGATTTTACTTTTTGTCAACAGCAGCCAATACAAAGCCTCAAACCCACTTGGCATTCGGCACTTTTGCATCAGAAACTGCCTGTGTTATTGTGCCAGTGGTTGCCCTAGGTGTTCATCATGAGCACTTAAAATGATTGCTTTTGCAGTTGCAGATGGCTGTACCGGTTCCAAACAAAGAGGGTCACTGAGGGCTCTGCTTATAGAGTGCAGTTTCTGGAAGGAATTCACCACAGATTGTACAATGAAGCCCAAGCTCGCTGGACTCTGCTGGCCCAGGGAATTTTTACAAGGTTAAGTCAGCCATAAATTCTGTCTGGGCCTTGTCTGTTCCCTGATAGTTCCTCTAGGGCTTTTTCGAGAGTTTAAATTAAACTATCTTCTTGTCCATTGAGATGCACAACTCCCACTCCCTATGGATGTGTTTGTGCAAGCTCCGTCACAAGAATACGTGGGAAGTTGGGTTCTGTCTTCACTGCCATCTCACAAGAGAAGAGAGTTGAGGGACAGTACTGAATTACACATGATCGTGATCTACACAGACCATCCGTTTTAGAAAAAAATTGAAAATCTCTGCCACCTAGGAGAAAAGAGAGTAGGGAATCAAAAGAGCCCCCCAAGAGATGATTACTTTCATCTTATAAAATGAAAATTATAAACTACAGGGAGTTTCTTTGTAGATTAAAAAAATCTTATTTCAGAACGTTTTACTTCTTTCTTCAGAACGTTTCATTTCTGCTCCTTACATCTACATAGTATTTTAAAATTGGTGCATGTCATACCTTGGACTTGGAATTCTTTTCTTTTTTTTCTTGTTATTGCCAAACCCTGTGCCCCCGAAAGAGTTCCAGGTGTTCATAAGAGGCTGCTGGAGTGTATTCTTCCTGTCAAATGTGCAATTACTGAGTTATCAAAAATACATGGGCTCCCTTATCCTGATTCTGTTCTCATTTTTGGACAGTTTATTCCTGAGACTGATCAATCTTGTAATCAGGTTAAACCTCTTATAAAAAACATTTAGTGCTTTTATCATAGATAAACCACATAAAATCCCCCTGCCTGTTGAGTATGGTCAGTATGTCATGCTAGTAAAGAAAGTCACCTTGTTTCCTCTTAAGCATGAGGATGTAGTAAAAGAAACTCTTGTTGATTTGGCTTCCCGCCCACCCCCTTTGCCCATCATTCAGCAGAACCTGGAGTGTGTAGGTTTCTAGTGGCTTGCAGCAGAACTGAGGGAGAAGAGAAGGTGGAGAAGCACTGTGGTTGAGCTCCATAGAGTAGGCTGGGCTTCTGCAGAGCCTTCTATGCCAGGGAGCAGCTGGTCATTTTTGTCCATCCCCTGAACTGATTTTTTTTCCCCTGAAACCTTGGCTTGGATCGCTTCCTGCAAACAACGTGAAATCTTGCATGTGTGCCAGGTGAACTGCTGTTCGAGATATTTTCAGAATTCAAGGGTGTTATGCTAGGAAGTCAGGATCATTTAAGTAAAACAAACAAACAAGCAATTATGGGGTTTTATTTCTGTATAATCTGTAATTTTGAGTTGTAGTTCCTTGGGGGGAGGAGCAGCCTGAGATGGTTATGGTGTGTTACCAGGCAATTGCTACAGGAACAAGGCCAGGGGCCTACTGTAATTTAGCCTTTGCAAACAAAGCTAAAAATATCAAAACATGATATTATAGCAACCCCTTTGTCTTTTTGGTTTCCAGTCATTAGAAGCATGTTTTTTGTCTTGTCATTTATTTGTTTAAAAAAATGAAAAAAAAATCCCATCTCAGGCTCCAGGTGCCTGCTGCAGTGTAGGAGCAGGGCCCTGTGCATAATGAAGCTGCCCTTGCTGGCTGCTAACATAGAAGTCAGGAGACCAAGGCGCCTGCTGTTATCTTAGAGATTGTTTTTGCAGTGCTTGCTTCTGGCCTAATAACTACTGGAGGTGAAAATGGAAGAATCCATTTTTCTTTTCTAAATTACATGGAAAGCCAGCCCATGATGTCACTCTTCTAGAACAAATAACATTTAAAAAAATTGTTTTAATGGATTTTTGAGATAAATATGAATTGCTGTGGAGGGATAGCAGTGATGTAATGGAAAAAGAAAAAAATGAATGTGGGACTGTCTAAATGTTTGTCTCCACCAGGAATGTTATTGGATTCTGCCCTGTTTGTTCTTCCTTTGTTAGTTACGGTCACGGGGCATATTCTCAGTGGGCAGACCACAAGACACAGGCAGTGGAGACGCGATCTCATTAACGATTCAACACGCCACCCTAGTGGCCACCCGAGCACATATTCCGCATGGAAATTCGAAATGGACGTTCAGTTCATTGCTTTGGCTCTCTGGGAAAGAGGCTCTCAGCTTGGGTTGCATGGGAAAATCACCTGGACTCTTAACAATTACTAACGCCCTCTCCATCCCTTCACACTCAAATTCCCCTAGTCACAGGTAGGGCTCAGACTTAAGTATTTTTCAAGCTCTCCGTGCAGCCAGGGTGAAGAACCACTGTCTTAGAGGAAAGCAAGTTTGGGCAAATCCAAGTGCAGCCTCATCTGGCAACCTCAAACTCTGCTGACCTCCTTCTGCTCAAGAGAAGATGTCTTCTTGCCCTCCAGAAGAAAGGCAGAGAAGACCTTTGGGAATTGGAGTCAGGGTTGTAATTTTCTTAGGCTGTGGCATATCTTTTTCTGTCTGTAAAATAAATACCGCAAAAGTGCTGAAAAAGTCTGGAAAAAAAACCACCCATGCTGCTGTTTTGCATCAGTATTGGCTCAGCAGCCGGGTCAGCCAGGCAGATTTAATGCCTTTGTTATAATAAGAACCTTTTTCTTCACCCAGGGGAATAGGATGTCACAGTTTTGACCTCTGTGGTTTCGCTATTGACCTGGTCCTCAAAGCCAGAGAGTTCAGAGCTAGGTCTGAGGTTCTGAGGTTCTTCTCCTGGGAATTGTCAAGAGTGTTATGGAAAGCAATTTGTTAGGGATGAGACATCTCTCTGGTGAATGGTAATACTCTGAAAGGAAGAGATGTGTCCAGCCTTGTCTCAGAGAGGCCAGTAGGGAGTGCCCTTTGCTGTCTGCCAAGAGGGAAAACCGTATGTTGAGGAGCGTTCTGCTTGTTGGATAAGAAGTGAACATCTAGAATGGAGTTAAAGAAAAGTTTTGCTCAGACCTGGCTAAGATCGAAAGAAGAAAGTGTCAGGGTTCAACTGCCCTGAAGACGTAAGTGTCCAGGCAGTATGCCCAGTGCTGCGGGTGCCGGGCTGTGCAAATGAGAGCTGGTCTCAACACCCTAGAGTATGCAGTGAAGGGGAGAAGAGAGGGAGTGAGCAAGTATTGGGAGGAATTTCACAAGGGAGGTGCTGGGTGCCATGAGAAGAGACAACTGTAGGACCCTACCCACTGGCATGTTCCCAGATGGCCACTGAATGGGATTGCCGAACACCACATTATCTTGCAAGGTTGGATGGAGCATCCTCCCTCCCCTTGTGCAGATATCACTGCAGGTAGACCAGATGCCTCTGGGTACATGCTCTGCAGTCTGCATTTAGCGCTGTACTCTGAACTAAGGGTGGAGAAGAGGACTCCATGGGGGTACATGCTCTGCAGTCTGCACTTAGCACTGCACTCTGAACTAAGAGTGGAGAAGAGGACTCCATGGTAAGAAACACAAACTGACTTGTTTTCTCCTACAATACCCATACTCACTTCTAATACTTCACTTCTGACATGAGATGTTGGGGCAGGGGCATTCCCACACACCAAGCAATTCTCCAGTGAACACCAACAAGGTGTCCTATAATTTAAATCATTTCTGACACTGTCTACCTGGAGTTAGAGTCAGATCCCACAGGCTAAAGGCTCAGTCCCACGAGACTGCCCTCACATCACATTTCAGTCGCAAGTCCCAGGTTGTGACCTTTGCTTCTGACCCTCCAGCCATTAATCAGGGTTCCCACAACCCCCTCCTTAGGTTCCATGATTGCTAGGATGGCTCACAGAACTCAGGGAAACACATATTTACATTTACTGATTCATGATAAAGGATAAGGATATTACAGAGGATATAGTTGAACAGCCAGATGAAAAGGTACTCAGGGCAAGGTGTGTGGAAAGAGGTTCAGAGCTTCCATGCCTTCTCTGGGTGCACCATCCTCCCAGAACCTTTGCCTGGTCAGCAGCCCAGAAACCCTCTGAACCCTGCACTTCAGAGATTTTTATGGAGGCTTCATCACGTAGGCAGGATCCATTATTAATTCAATCTCCAATCCTTCCACCCTTCTCAAAGGCTGTAGAGCAGGGCTGAATGCTCCAACCTTCTAATCATGATTTGGTCTTCCTGATGACCAACCCCAGCCAGGAGCCCACCGAAAGTCAACTAATTTGAACAAAAGACTCTCCTATATCACCCAGGAAATTCTAAGAGAGTAGGAGCTGTATGTTGGCAACAGGGGTCAAAGACAAAATATATGTTTCTAATTTTGTCACGATATCACAGGGACCCACTGTCTGCTCATTGGCAGCAAGCACCCAGCATGACAATGGAAACGTGTCTGTGGGGAGAACAGAAGTTAGAAAAAGGTGGCTGTGAAGTAGCCTGTGGCATTGTGGAACCCACCTTTCCATTATTCAGGACCCTCCACAAGGTAGAAAGTGACTTAGAAAGTCACTTAGAAAGAAAAGGAAATTTAAGTAAAACCACCCCATCCACTTAGATGAATTTGGAAAAGGCCAATCGCTTTCTGATGCACCTGTTCAAAAAGATAATTTCTAAGTCCTCTTTAGAGCTAAGATCCAGAATCTCCACTGTGGTCTCTGGGCTCCGAGTAGACTCACTTAGTCTGTTTTGATTCAGCCTCAGGCCTTCTGCTTGTCTTACAAGCAGAGAATGGGAAGTACTAAGAATCTCCACTTCTCAGACTAAGTCAGGGCCTGTAGTTCATTTTAAAAGCAGGTTCAAGACTTGCAGTTTAAACCTTTGAGACATCTGGTCGTAGCTGGGATCTATATAGCCTTTGCTTCCCCCACCCCCGATGGGACCATTATGAGAGTAGAATGTTTTCCTGCACCCTTACGACCCTATTGTCCATGCCTGAGTGAAGAAACCTCTGGTTTCTCTGGTTGGGGAAGGCTCTGGCTGTCTGTACTCCTCTGTGGTAGCTCAGCCCCAGTGTAGAGAAGACCACCACTGGCTCTCTCCTGGCTTCTCGCCTGGTCCGGTTTCTCTTGCTCCTAAATAGCAAAACCGACTGATTTTTTTTTTTTTGAAATGGAGTCTCGCTCTGTCACCCAGGCTGGAGTGCAGTGGCGTGATCTCGGCTCACTGCAAGCTCTGCCTCCCGGGTTCATGCCATTCTCCTTTCTCCTGCCTCAGCCTCCCAAGTAGCTGGGACTACAGGCGCCTACCACCATGCCCGGCTAATTTTTTTTTTATTTTTACTTATTTTTAGTAGAGACGGGGTTTCACCGTGTTAGCCAGGGTGGTCCCGATCTCCTGACCTCGTGATCTGCCTGCCTCGGCCTCCCAAAGTGCTGGGATTACAGGCGTGAGCCACCGCGCCCGGGCAAAATTGACTGATTTCTTTCCACGCCTGTTTATATTTCCCGCCTTCTCCCTGGGAAATGTGATAATGATCAGAAAAATAGCAAAAAGGCAACAGCAGGAAGACAGTGGAGGGGCATAGGGCTGGATCTCAACCATGGTCCTAGCTGCCTTCCAGCATAGTTGCTAGGGTCAAGATCTGTGAAAGGGATTTGCAGATGAGGGACTCTGAAAATCGTAGGAAAACACAGTAATAACGCACCAATGGGTGCTACCTGTCTCCACGTCAGTGAGCCAGCCAGAGGCACTCCTCTACCATTACAAATCCAGTGGAATAGCTGTTTGACCTTGGGCAAGTCATTTTAACCTTTCTCAGCCTCAACTTCCTCACCTGTAAAATAGGTGCATTTTACTTAAAGCACAGATTGTTTAAAGATTGATGTGATATGAATATGAGAGGACATGGCAAAGTACAAGGAATAATAAAATATTGGTGGGAGATGTTATTATGCCCATACCTTGCTGAGTGATGATAACAAATAATGACTTTGTTAGATCATGGGGAAGCCTTTCAGATCCTCAGTTCACGACAGGTAACTTGTCATAGAAGGAAGTCTGGAGCTCTCTGTCAGGCAAGTATAGTTGTCACTGCGACACACACACACAAAAAAAAACACTGGCTCTATTCTACCTACTGTATGTCAACTTCATAGTGCATATCTCTACATAGCCAAGAAAAATGAAATACAAATATAATCATTTTAAGCACTTTTTAGTAATCACAAATTCAGCTGGGTTAAGTCAAATTTCAGATTCAAAACTAACTTCTTATAGAATCACTCACTCGTTCACTCCTTCATTAAGTCAGCAAAAATTTGATTTCTGGCTCTTTGGGATTTGGTGTAATGAATTTTCCCTTGCATTTAAAGAGGGCTGCTGTATTGATAAACGTGTTGACAAACACACAGGATATGCCACTCTCACTACACTGACTAGAAAGTACGCAGTCTGGGTCCTTCCATAATCAGAGGAGCTGTCAAGCAACACCGATCTGCCAGTGTGAAGAATCCAGAACCCTGAAGCTTTTACTCTTCATCACTGGCCTTCAATTTGCCTCATTTCTGGAAAAGACTCAAATGTCCTTTGTATGTATATATATCTTTCTAAGCTTCATCACTCCCACACTTGGAAAAAATACCATTGTTTCTAAATGGTTTACGAGCAGTGTTATAGAGCCTTCCAGTCTGGGGTGCCATGAGGGAACCACCTTCCAGAGTCTGCTGCCCAAAGCCTCCTGATATGGTGCTGACTTGGGTCACCCACAGTGGCTCAGGCCACTTCTCCACAGGCCTTCCTGTGAAGGTGGGTGTCATTTGCTATAGGGGCAGTTGGCCGCTGTTTCTGAATGGCAGAAACGTGTTTTTTTTTTTTTTAATTAAAAAAAAAAAATCACCAAACTCTTACTTAGCATTCAGCAGTCACTCAAAAACTTCAATTCCAAATTTTGCATGTGGGCCTGTTGGGGTTGAGTTAGTGGTGTGCAGAAGTCTGCAGAAGGCTCCCTGTGGGGAGAAGTGAGGTCCCACTCCAGCCTGGAGCCCGTGTTCTATGCATTCTCATCATGTGGTTCACATAACTCAGCTCAAAATGTGAGCGGCACTTAATTCCTGGCACTCTGCCAGGTTGGCAGGCGGACTTTTCTAGAATGGATCCAGTGTGACCAGTTTGCTGTGGCTTCATAATAGCAAGCGAGATGGCGGTTGGGCAGGGTGTATTACTGTTGTTGTTGTTTTTGTCCGACAGCTTGGTTTTCTCTTCTCTCCCCAAAAAGTTGATCCACATCTTTACATACCTGTTCTATAACTTCTTTGGAAACTGTATGTATGTTAGGGTGTGACTGGATTCTGAAGCCAGAATTTCACAGTACACATTTTTCCACATCTGAAAGGAATTGGAATTGAATTCCGAATAGCATTTAGAATTGAATCGGACAAGTAAGGCCTCTTCCGGGTTAGGCTGGATAATCGAGTTAATTCAAATCCATTTGAAGGATGTTCCTTGAAAAATGTTGCCTTGTGGAAAGGTGCTATATACACAGTGAATGCGTTATCTGTCTGTATTCTGAGAACTAAAATCTTGTGGTCTCGGTCCTATTTGTATTTGGTGTCTTGTTTTTGTTTGTTTGTTTTGTTTTTGTTTTTTTGCCCAATTCACTTTTACTGCTTTTGTGAACACGGCTTTGGAATTCCAGCTCACATCTGTTATTCCAAGGGAGATGCTAGATGGTCGATGTCTGGTCGTGGCAGCCTCCCTGCTAGCTTGCACGGTCGTGACTAGCTCAGTTCTGAAGTTCAACACATTTCCACCTAATGTGCCTTATGACAAAAGAAGGGCAGCGTGTGTCCTCCCAGATTGGTTTACACCCTGCATCACTTAGGCATGTGTAATTGTAGTTCGTTGCAGTGTTGATATCCATTACCTAGTAATTAATGTACTATCTTCCACTTCTGTTTGAGATGTGTTATTAACTTCTCAGATCTGTCCTGCTGCTCCTGGTTTAATCTGTACACAGTAGGAAGAAATTCTGTTTCTTACCAAAAATTGCAGAGCAATTTGATCCAGTTTCTTTTGTTGAAACGCTGAGCTAATTATATTTAACCACGGATGATAGTAAAGTTGCACTAACAGCATTTTTTAATCAATGGGAAATGTTTAGCTTGTGTGGGGTTGGGGAGCTGGGAATCCAGATGTGGGGGAGGCCAGGCAACCAATTCTATAGAAAAACGTTAACTGTGTGATTAAGCATAAGCTTTCTAATGGAGTTATTACAGGACTAAAGAGGTCTTTATTGCATGAACGTGGAGGCAGGATGTAAATGTGCTTGTGTGCGTATTAAAGAGGAGAGAGAAGATCCTCTCTCTTCCTCTTTCTGTGTGTGTGTGTGTGTGTGTGTGTGTGTGTGTGTCTGTGTGTGTGTGTCTTTGTTTTTTGCACATCTCCAAATTGCTTTGTAGAAGTAACAGCCAGCTTGGGAAACCCAGGACAAGATTGACCTAGCTGATAGCAACCATATCCCAAAAACAGAAACCTGGGACAATTGTTTATGTGGTTTAATGGGCAGCTAGACAGACGTGTTTGCCCACGTTATGAGGCTAGCAGATCATTTCAACTTGCCTTTATTGGTGGAACAATTAGGGTTGAACTCTCCCCAATGTAAAATCAGTACTGCAGATTGGCTCCACATTAATAATGCAGAGAGAAAAGATGTTTGCTTAGAAAAAGCTAGAACATGAACTGTGATTTGCCTTCTCCTGACCCTGTGGCAGCTCCTCAAAAATATAGTTCAAGCTGTACCTCACATAGGGGAAGAGATAATACATATTATCACTTGTCATCAATTCCCTGATTATTGTTTAGGCTCTTGAGTGTAAGATGACAGTTGGTTCTATGAACACATGGGTCCTGGTAAGCTTGCATTGCTTTTTCAGTGTGGGATGGGAGACTTTTCAGAGTTGGATGGGAGTTTTTTTTTTTTTTTGGAGATAGGGTCTTGCTCTGTCACCCAGGCTGGAGTGCAGTGTTGCGATCTCGGCTCACTGCAACCTCGGCCTTCCGGGTTCAAGCGATTCTCCTGCCTCAGCCTACAGAGTAGCTGGGATGATAGGTGCCTGCCACATGTCCGCCTAATTTTTGTACTTTTAGTAAAGACGGGGTTTCGCCATGTTGGTCAGGCTGGTCTCAAACTCCTGACCTCAAGTGATCCTCCCGCCTCAGCCTCCCAAAGTGGAGAGATATTTTTTACAGCTGTGTTTCATTTGTTTGTTTGACTGATTCTTTTTTTCAGGAGACATGAAATAACACATCCAGAACCTTTCTATGATTTCCAGGCATCTTCATTTTCAAGTGTCTCGATTCCTACAACTCTTTTGTAGATCAAAGCTACCTTTTCTTGCAAATTATATTTATATTTCTGTGGTGCTTTTCAAATCGTTTGACAATTGCCAGATTATTGAGAACTCATAGCAGCCTGAAACCAAAGAAGGCAGATTGCTAGGATTGTCCTTTCATGGAAGAGCAAGCAGAGATCAGAGAATGTGCCCAGCACTCCATGGCTAATAGAGGGAGAGGGTTCCAGGCCTCATACCAAGTCAATAGACCTCTTCCCAATAAGGGTCACAGCACTTTGCTCTTGATTTGATTTTTAGCAAACAATTTCTTCCCACCATTAAAAAATTCTACCCACTCTTAAAATAGGATCGCTGTCCTTTGGTCATAGCCAGTCCTCTTTGGTTTTCTGTAAAGGCAGTGTGCGGTGAAAGTGACAAATACCTGACAAAGAGCAAAAAAACAAGGGAAAATAGAAATGCACTGGCTAGATGTTAAGAAGATATGAAAAAATGCAGGCTTATGTCCTCACTATTTGAAAAGATCAAAAGGCTATGGAGAATTGTGTTGAGGAATTGGTCTTTGGGAGGGAAGGGAGGGAAGTGAAGGAAGAAGAGAGTGATTTTTGTTGTTGTTATGTGTCTTGCTTTGTTTTTTCTTTTCATCTCGGGGCTGCTTGTTTAGGTTTCATTTTTATGTCTCCCTGGCCTAGTTGGTTATTAAACAGTGGGCCTAAAAAAACTAAGGGCAAAAAGGTGTTTCTCTTTCATACTACATGGAATAGACATTGGGAGTCATGAATTAGAATTCTCTTTGGTGGAAAATGAAAAATCATTAAGGTTGTCTTCCAATACCGCTAAAAGCTAATTGCATTAAAATAATTATTTATGCTGTAAGTAAGGGCCAGGTAATCTGAGCCGATGTTGGTGTTGCATTGTATTTGTGTTTAGAAATCTTCAGTAGTATAATTAAAAGTAAAATACAGTGACTTGATCTTTAGGGGTCTTGCTTTCTGTGGGAAGTGCAGGGTTCAAGAGGGAGCAGGAGACAGACAGAGAAAGTGGATTAATGAGTGCTGGTTTCCTCTGTGTGCCAGAGGCTGTGACCTTATTTATTCATGTTATCTCATGTAATCGCCACTACAAAACTCTCAGGTGGATGTTATTATCTTCATTTTGCAAAGATGGAAACAGGTGTTCAGAGACATTAAACAATTTGTGCCAAAGCATACAGCTCTTAAGTAAGTGGCAGAGCCAGAATTTGAACCCAGATCTCTCTGATCTATTCCCCCATATTGTTTCCCAAAGGATAGTTTGGGGAGGCATGTGGCTTGAAATGCTCATGAGAAGGGATAACTTTCCTGGGCATGGTGGCTCACACCTGTAATCCCAGCACTTTGGGAGGCCGACGCGGGTAGATCACCAGAGATCAAGAGTTCGAGACAAGTCTGGCCAAGATGGCGAAACCCCGTTTCTACTAAAAATACAAAAAATTAGCCAGGCTTGGTGGCACATGCCTGTAATCCCAGCTACTCAGGAGGCTGAGGCAGGCAGAATTGCTTGAACCTGGGAGGCGGAGGTTGTGGTGAGCCGAGATCATGCCACTGCACTGCAGCCTAGGCGACAGAGTGAGACTTTGTCTCAATAAATAAATAAATAAATAAATAAATAAATAAATAAAGAGAAGAGATAACTTATTGCCCTCTTGAAGCTAACAATGAATTAGATTTTCTGATCACTCACTGTCCAATTGGGTAATTCATTGCTTTCCTACGAAATATGGGTTGAATTCTGTCCGCCCCAAATTCCTATGTTGAAGTCCTAATCCCTAGTACCTCAGAATGTGACCTTACTTGGTAACAGGGTCATTGCTGATATAATTAGTTAAGGTGAAGTTCTACTGGAATAGGATCGGCCCTATCCAGCATGACCGGCATTCTTATGAAAAGGGAAAATTTGGAGACAGACACACTTGGAGATCAGAGTTATGCTACCACGAGTTAAGGAACTCCCAGAAACTAGAAGAGAAGCCTGGGACAGTTACCTGGACAGTACCATAGTACCTTCTGAGGGAGCATAACCCTGGGGACACTTTGATCTTGGATTTCTAACCTTCAGAGCTCTGAGACAAGGAATTTCTCTTTACCCTGCTCAGTTTAGACCAGTTTGTTTCAGCCAGCCCTAGAAAACTAACATAGTACATCTCATCTCTTATTCCCATTAGGTCCTTAGTTTTGTCCCGTCAGCCCAGGCTGGGTGGTGGTACTTCTTCCAAGCTGTCTGTTCACATACTTTTAGCAGGTTCCAGGAGCTGCCATCAAAACCATTTTGTCTCGTGTATTGCATGAAGCTCATCCCCTCTACATTCCAAATAGCCGTCCTCACCTGTATTCCCAGCAGTCCCCCTCCCCTCCAACTGATCCTCATTGTGTTCTGGAATTATTATTTTCTGTGCCACAGTGGATTCCGTAAGTACTCCTTGGCTGGATGTCAGGATATTATAGCTTGAGGATTGATCTTGGTATGTTCTTTTGTCTGGGTCTTTTATTTTGCCTTATATTGTTCATTCACAGATTTTAGAAGATTGCACATTTTGTTTAATTATGTTGGAGACAGACTGGCATTTTAGCTGTTACAGTCTGTGGGAGAGGGGTTGATAGCAAAAATTATGTGGAGTTTAAATTGTGTTCGGTAAAGGAAGTAGAAATGAATAAAGCTGTTTTACCATGAAAAGTCGGTATTTTGCCTTGGATCTTAGAATGGGTCTTTTTTTATTTTTTTTCCTTCTTAGCTGGAAATGTTCTAAGTGCTGCATTGTCTATTTCGTTTGCCTTTTACAAGTCTGACTGTTATAAAAAGGAAATTTGTATCTGTATTTGCAAATTTGAGCCTGGCAGCTGTGTTTTGAAGGCTTAATCTGGGATCGAACTGAGATGCAAATGATGTCGAATAGTTTTTCCCATGATGTTGTCAAGTTTTACTTTTCAAAAATACTGCTCGTGGCAGCTCCAGCCTCCACACAGGGTCTACTGAGTTTTAGATTTTTAAGTAATAGGCAATTTTATACTGATGTTCCCTCAGAAAAGCAATGGCTTCTCGTTGTACCCTCCCTACACAATGCCTGCACAACTGCCGTGGGGCTGAGAAAGAATCCCTTCTCTGCTCTTATTACATTAGCCATGTTTTTGATTAGTTGAGGGGAAAAAAGAAGGCCTCACAAAACCACAAAGCTTTTTGTCTCTCATGTCTGTCAAAATGTGGCTGATTTAATTTGAATGAAATTTTAATTAGAAAAATTCTGCCAAGATCTAGCCCTGATTTGAATATTTATAGATATGTTAAGAATCTCCGTAAACCTGGGGTCTAATTTGAATTACTTCCCTGGACCTCAGCCCTAATGGTACAGAAAGTGGCGGGGGAGCTGTGCGATAGGGCAGATTACCCACACACTGGGCTAGAATGGGGGTCTGGACAGGGAAGCAGCTATGTGCGTGGTCTCTGCTGTTTTAATAGCAGCAGTTTATCCAGAGATGTTTTTCAGGCTTGTGAGCACTTCATTATGGGAGTGGAAAACATATGACTAATATTAGCATGTTACCTGATATATATATATATATATATATATATATATATATATTTTAGAGGGTGCAGGGTATGTCTGAAAAACCATGGGGATTGGGAGAGTCAGAAAATCCCTGTCCAGGTTCATTCTTGCCTAGTTCAAGGCTTGTGTTCTTGGGCTTAACCTGCAGAGCTTCAATATCTTTATCTCTAGAATAGGGAAAAATAAGATGTGCGAGGCTCATAGTAAAACCGTACCAGCAGCAGGAGTCAGCACGGCAGGGCTGGTGGCCTCGGGCAGCAGGTTACTGTGCTTTATGAGTAAAGATGGTGGACTTGGATTGTTGTTGCTTCTAGCTAGCTCAATGCCAGAGGCCACCTGTTCCAAATCATCCCTTAGCCCTAATGAATGTGCTTGATGTTAAAAAAAAAAATCTCCATGGCATGTTACCTTTGTCATTGTGTATTTAGAATAAATGCTGTGTGTCCAGTGCAGCAGAATGAAAGCTTTAACTAGACAATAGATTTGTTACCATAGTCTGCCTTCATCTAGGAGATTAGAAGTGGAAAATCCTAAATATATGCAAATATAAATATATATCCCCTCCTGAAGATTTCCTGGCAATCCTGTTCTTTTTAACAGAGCTACAGAAAAGACCCACATAGGACTTAGTTCCTCGAATCTGCAGACTCATAGCCCCTCAACACTTCCTGAGTGATTGCTGGGGTTTCAGCCCTTATTGACATTTCTCTTTCAGAGATAAGACTCCATTTCCCCGACAAACACCAGGTATTTCTAAGCAACCTCAATTTCATTTAGTAATGTTGGTGCAAAAGTGCACAGGCACAAGTTTCTTTGTATATGGCAAAATAAATTGGCGAGGTTTTAGTGAAAAAAGAAAAAAATCTGCAACAGTGATTTGCTCCAGTAAATATTGTCAGCAGATATGGCTGTGACTCCTGGAATAGGGGTCTTATGTGCACATGAACTAGTCATTTTGCACGTTGGTCCCCTGGCTCCTCCTGAGCCAGAGACATGGAATGTCCCTACCTGGCTCATCTGACCACCCATGGCTAGTATAGACTTTAACCTTATTGCAAATTCAGGAATGTGAAAAATTCATATATAGTATGCTTAGTATTTTTTCCACTTGCAAGTGGCATCAAGAAATCAGGCTTCATTAGGATTATCCCTGAGGCTAAGAAAGAGCAAGTGGTGGTGAAGAGCAGGAAGCAACATGGAAGATGGCTTAGGGTAGGAGGGACTCCTGCCAAAACCCTCTGTGTGCATCCCAGAGGAGACTTTTGGGGAGTACAAGTATTATGCTGACACTCTCACTCCAGGCCCACCAACAACTGTATCTCCATCCTCAGGGAATAGTCCTTTATATCTGCTGGAGAAGGTTGTATATATGTGTGGAATTTGTACACCAGCTAGGAGCCAAAAGGCTTCCTCCATGGAACTCCTACAAAATAAGACTCCAGAGGTGCCTTGGCAACTGAGGTTGCTGGGTGATGTCATGCCCTTGTGGGAGATCTGTATTTCTTAGATTAACTGAAGCCTTTGAATACTAACTTTGATGTGTTATGTTAACCATCTGGAGACATTTTACAGTTGTTGTCAAAAGGTTGACTGAGGTCTCTAATGCAACACGAGGAGTTGATGGAAGCTTAATAGAGTTTACCAGTTTTGCTGATTTGTGAATGACAGCACCACAATAACCCTTGGCCCAAGAGATGGCGGCTGTGTGTACTGTTTGAATGAAGGTGGCAAGGGGTAGAATGTGAATCGTGCATTTTGTAACAATTTGGAAAGCAGTTGAATTGGGTACATCCACCCTAGTTGGGAAACTTTGCCCTGTTGGTTACATATATGTCATTGATTTATTCACCACTTATTTGCCTTTGTAGAAAGCCCTCTTAGTTTAGGAGTTTTGCACATCAGCCCTCATTCCTCAATAAGAGGTGTGGTATATTTCAATATGCCTTATGTGTATATTTGGTTTTAGATCAAGGCCTAGCCTAAGCTTCCAGGGTATTGCTAGTAAGGCTGTTATGATACTGAGAAGAATGAATCTTTGAGCTTTGCTTCTTTTCTTCACATGGAGAAATAGTAAGACATCTTTGTTTTCCTGTTTTTCATACCATTCACCATTGTGGAAAAACATCAATCATACTCCCCACGTATCTGAACATATTTAATACTGTGTCCCTATATTTATAATCCCAACATATTTATGCACATGTATAATTATGCATATATAAAAATACAAGAGAGGAGAAAAAAGCAAAAATAATGAAAATGGGAATACTACTAAAATTAAATGGAAGCAAGAAGTTGATGAGAGGGTAGAAGAAGAAATCACGGTAAGAATGTGGGTGGCAGTTACCCTGATTTGATTATGTGAATGTATGAAATCATCGCATGTACTCCCAAAATATGTATACATATTATATATCAATAATACATAACTAGTATAAAATAAAGAATGTGGGTAGTTGGTCAAACAACCACCAGATGCTGGTGTTTTGATACAATTTAATGTGTCTTAGGGGAACAGGGTTTAATCATCAGAGACTCTACTGTTGAGAACACCAAGCTGGGAATCCAGAGATTAGAGTGTGTTCATTCAGGTCCCTTCACCAACTGCACGAACCCCCTGATCTATGCCAGGAATGGGGCTGGTCCTAGGGATGCACAGAACAAGGACAAGCATGGCCTCTTGGAGGCTAATAGATTTAGGAGGAGTTCTCTGTCGCCTTTTAAAAGCAAAGGTGTATGGTAAAGATGGCTTATGTTACTCTAAATTAGATTCTGCTTTGATTGTGGTGAAGCATGAATATAAGGAAGGGTCCCAAGGTCAGAAGGGATGCTAGGTATTCTAGAGCCCATCAACATTGTGTCATCCACAGTTGATTGAATTGTATTCTATAAGAGATTAGGTGAAGGTCCACTTGACTATCATCCAATTTTTAGACATTTTGAAAAACCATCTGGTCTACTCTGAGGTCACATCCCCACCTCAGAGAACACCCACTAGCCTGGGAAGAATAAACACAAAACACTCCATGGTTTTCAAAGGAGGTGTTATGGGTTTTTGCAAAGGTTTCTTTCTTAGTTACATCCTAAGATATGAGACATCTGTAAATCCTCTCATTGTTTGTTTTTTTCTGTGTGTTTAATTTATGTGGTTTTTTTTTCTCTATGGCTATGGGATGGAGCCAAATTTAGCTTAACAAATTCCTAAAGGCAAATACAAGAAATGCTTTCCAAATGTTTCCACTGTACCATAAAAAAATACACCACTTGTTTCCCAGCCTGTTGAGAAAAGCTGGCCCATCAACTTCTTATGAGGACTGCATCCTTTATGAAAAATTAACATGCAGAAGGGCATATGAGAGTGATATGCTACACTGGGTTTACCAGGAATTATAAACTTGACTTTGCAAGGTTGCAATTTATAACCTGCTTCATCTTCTCCAAACTCCTCCATAGACTTTCTTGCCTGACAATGTGGCAGGGGTCATTGGCAAGATCACAAAATGTTATCTCAGGCATATCCTGGGATGTGTTTTTTCTGGCTGCCTATGAGTCACACATTGCATATTTTAACATACCCCTGGTTAGAATGTTCTCAGTGCTGGTGTTGACCACACTTATGCACAGAGTAGATCCTGGTGTAAGCTGCTGACCACATGAGTGGCTTGAAGAACATCAGCTCTTCCAGCCTCTATCTTCCCCAATCATGCTAGGATGCTGCTGCTGCCATCCTACCTTATGTGGGCTGAAATTCCACCAGAAAATAAGATGGGATTTGTTTTCGCCAAAAAAAACCACTATTAAAAGTTACCTAGGAAAGACAGCATTACGTATTATGTCTTGTTGTTGTTGTTGTTGTTGTTGCTGGAGTCTCGCTCTGTCATCAGGCTGGAGTGCAGTGGCACGACCTCAGCTCACTGCAACCTCTGCCTCCCGGGTTCAAGTGATTCTCCTGCCTCAGCCTCCTGAGTAGCTGGGACTACAGGCGTGTACCACCACACCCAGCTAATTTTGTATTTTTAGTAGAGATGGGGTTTCATCATGTTGGTCAGGCTGGTCTCAAACTCCCGACCTCAGGTGATCCCCCCTGGCTCAGCCTCCCAAAGTGCTGGGATTACAGGCATGAGGCACCGCACCTGGCAGAGAGCATCATGTCTTTCCTACAGTTTGTAGCCCCTGTCATGGGCAGGGTCAGATTTCAATAGAGCCTGGAGCCGCTGAGGTGGGACTGTCTCTCCCAGCACTCCGTTTCTGCTTTCTCTCTTTCCTCTTTGTCGCTCTTGCTTGTTACCGTCACATTTTCCCATGGCCTCTCCCTTCACTCCCTCAAAAGGAATGCCTACAGCAGCAGTGAAAGAGGGATTCACTAGAGGAGAGTGGGTGGGAGGAATGCTATTTTAGAAAAGTAACTAAATAAATGGATAGTCAAGCTCTAAAAAAAACTTCCTTAAAGACTGTGTGGGATTTAACATCCAAGAAACGAACATGAGATAGACCATACAGATGAAATAAATGCAAATACGGTCCCAACATTACAAATTTCCTACTTTCTTCTTTGCCCCATTCTCCGGGTGCTTCCATTTTAGAAGAGAAAAATGAAGAAGGAGAGACAAAAAGTGAACCTGAGAGCAGAAGAGAGGCAGGGAGACAGAAAAATGGGGGCCAAATGGGAGAGAAAGACATCGGAGAAGAGTAAAATAACTAAGGATGGGGACACTCTCACGTTACACCACATCCCTGATGCATTAATGTGTTGACTTAAAAAAGGCTGCAGGGGCTCATCTCCCTGCACAAGGTCTACCTTTCTGCCCTGAGAGATGATTTGGAGTTCCGATGTGTATTTCATTAGCAGATTGATGAAACGTGGTGGCACATGCCAACCGTCTGGAAGTGTGACAGTGCATCCAGGCTGGTCTCGCCTCATATCCGTGGACTCTGATGAAGCTCCTTCATCCGGGAGGCCAATTAGCAAACTGTTGAATGCTCTGCTTTTTTGCAAGTTTCTGACAAACAGCCTGGTTTCTGGCAGATGGAGGGTAACCAAAGCAAGCCTGCTTGCTGGGGTTAGGAGGAAAAGCTCATTGCAAAAAGAAAGAAGATGAATTTCTCCCTGAGTAAATGGCACATAAGCTCCCTGGTTGATGTCAGGACAGAAAATGTTTGCTGGGTTTCTGAAGAGTGAAGAACCTGGGACTAGAGTTCAGGGAGTGATGACACATGGCAGATTACAGCATTCGAAGGCCAACATTCGAAGAGTCCGGGTGCTTTAGTCTCATTTGCATCAGCTCACTCACCTGCTGCTAACACCAGGCTGGAAGAAGCAGGCTCTTGGTGACCCACTTTTATTTCAGAGCCCAGGACTAGGACTTGAATGTCAGGCAGGACAGTATTATGCCAGAGCTGCTCCACTGGTTTGTGAGAATCAACCATACGCATCTCTTCCCAGCTCTGCATTTGGTAATACCATGTTGGTAGCTTGAAATTTCACGGTGGGAGGATTTACACCACAGATATGGGTGAATGCTACAAATCAGGACTCCCCCACCACCAAAAGCCTTTTGATAAATATTCACCAGCATGCCACTGGGCAGGAGAGAGAGATGAAGAAACTGTCATATACTTTTTAATTATACATTTTAACAATTTTGAAGCCTAGCCTTGTTTTCTGTGAGAGTGTATGATTATGTGTGTACCCCCAACTTGTTGATTCCTAAGTAAAGAATTTGCTCTCCTTTTGCTATGGAGCAAAATAAGAGCACATTTCCATTTTCAGGGTTTGTTTAAGAATTTTGCAACAAGTTGAAGGAAATCATGTCTGCTCAGCTAAGCAATTTGGTGTCTGTTGATAGCCAAACAGCCTGGAAAATTATCTTTGCCTCAGCTCACCCACTGTGCAGGGAATTATGCTGACAAGCTGGCTGCTTCCAGAGGCCTATTGTGTGGCAGCACAGTGGTGAGGGAGAGGCAGGTATGTGATTAAGCCATCTCTTGCTCTGTCTGCTCTGCTTAATAAGTGAACACTGCCAGACTGTCTTTGTGTGCCTTTTCTATCAACGCTTGGGTCATTTCTTCTCTCTCATCCCCCGAAGGCAGGATAAAGTATAGACAATCACCAAAAGATTTTGGAAAGCATTTCCAGCAAACACATGGAAATTGCTAGAGATAAGAGGATGTCTGAAACCTCCTTAGCATGAAATACCAAGATTTCTTTTGCTTTTAGGATGCATGTCTTAAAATATGGAGACACTTGGCTTTTGTGACAGTATCTTTAAGAGGCATCTTGGTTAATAAGAGACAGTGGATGGGGAAGGATTCAACTCATTAATATTCTAGAGTCAAAGAATATTCACACTCAATCTCTATGATTTTGTTAATGTAGAAACTGGGGACCCTGAGGTTATATGACTTTCCTAAGATGGGCACACAGAACAAGACCCCAGATTCCTGGGCAACCCAGGAACAGCAGCAACATCTGCCACCACTGCTGCAGCTGCTGCTCCTTCTTTTCTCACTCCTGTGATTTGTGGACGACTGACTGGCAGGCTCTGTGCTGAGCATTCTCCTGGCTTCTCACTTCATCTCATAGGCATTGAACAGCTGCTGGGCACAGGTATGACTGAGCACTCAGAGGTTGCAGAGAACAGTGAGATATAGCCCCTGTCTGGAAGAGGCTTATAGTATTATCCTGCTTATTGGATATGGACTACCCAAATAAAGAGTGAGTTTAGCGCTACAGGGGTATTGAAAGGCAGGAGAAAGTACATTTGATTGGGCTTATAGGTATCTCCAAGATTCCTTCTTGGGAAGCATTAGCTGCAGGATAAAAACAAACTTTTAGAGGTAAAAACTATAATGTGAAGTTTTTCTTAGCATGACACTTGATACTAAAAGAATTATAAGGCATTCTCTGGAATGATCCTTCATAAAGCCTGATGTAGGAGCCCCTATCCCTGGGCAGAGCCCACATAAGGGAAACCCCGAATCTCTGTGTGATGTGCAGGAGGCCGTCTTCCTGTAGCACTAAGTTTTTCTTCCACTCTACTCTGAAGCAAAAACAGCAAGGACTTGTACTTAGAGTAGAAAAAGTAGAAGAAATATCTCCTCTGAGGCCTCACTGCGTTATTGGGGATGGCATAGTACAAGAGAAAGGAAATGGACTTTGGAGCAGAATAAATCCAGCTCCCCAGCTGCTAGCTGTGTAATATTGAGCAATTTACTTAACCTCTCTAAGCCTCCAGCTCTTCGTCTGTATAATGGGTGGGTGGATGTGAGGTTCAACCACTCAGTCAATGAGTATGCAGAGACCATGCTGCGTCCCAGAGATGATGTTTGTAAAGCATGTGGCCCACAGTTAAACGCTTCGGTGTTGATGGGAGTCTTGCGTCTGGGATGAGGACCTCATTCATATTGCAGTTTTTGGTACAGTATCAAGCAAGAATAAAAATATCCCTGATCTGAAATAGCAATGCTGACTCTACTGCTGGGGCTTCTTTATCATGTTCTCAGTTTCACTAAACTGTAAAGATGAGTTCCTACAGCCTAGGCTGGGAGAATCCACTTAGAGTAATTTGCTACTGATTTTAAGAGGGCTCTGAGATCTGGTCTGCAGCTGTGGTGTGGGAGAGCCCTGGGCAGCCTCTCGGGCCCTGCCAGCCCTGTGGTTCCAAGCTGCCCACTCTCAAGCTGCCCAAGTCAGCTTGGCCTCCTGAGCTTTGTTTGGTAGGATGCCGGCTGTTTGGCCTTGACAGGTGCAGGTTCTGAGGTCTAAATACCTGCTTTGAGTGTCAGTAGGCTAACAAATGATGGCCAGACTTTTCTTAAGAAAGGGGTTTACCAAACACCGCTTGTTCTACTTATAAGTGGGAGCTGAACAGTGAGAACACGTGGACACATGGGATGCGGAACAACACACACTGGGGCCTGTCGGAGTGGAGGACTGGGGGACGGAGAGCATCAGGAAGAATAGCTAATGGATGCTGGGCTTAATACCTAAGTAATGGATTGATCTGTGCAGCAAACCACCATGGCGCATGTTTACCTATGCAACAAACCTGCACGTCCTGCACGTGTACCCTGGAACTTAAAATAAATATTTAAGAAAAAAAAGAGGGGGTGGTTACTATGTGGTTGTAATCCAGATGATCTTCTCTCCCCTCTTCCGAAAGAGGACTGGACCTCAGAAGCAACCAGGGGTCCTGGTCCCATCTCTTTGATTGACAGATAGCCACTCAGGATTAGATTAAGGAACCCCACGCTATTTTTGACATACAAGCCTCCAGAGTTTAAAAATTGAATGAGACCACTTAGCCACTTTAGCTTCAAAAAGTATTTTTTGAAATTAGCCCTAGGGGTACATTCGGAATACACATGTCTAAGTAGCTTACTGCTGCATATACCCAAAGGAAAGAAGAAAAACACAAATCAATACAGTGATTTTTTTCTCTAGCTCCTTGGTTTTATTATAGCCCTGGTTGGAATGATGTTATTTGGTAAAACACAACTTACTGTCCTCAGAGGTATTCATATCTCTTCCCATCAGTCCATAGGGATTGCTTAACACTTGAAGAAACATCAAGCTTTTTGACTGTACCCCAAGAGAAGTAAAAGCCTTGATAGAAGAATAGTCTGTCTCGTTCTCTATTTCTCCAAGCTCACTCTCCTACCAGATGGCAATATGTCCAGGGACGACTGGTAATGCATTACAAAAGCACACCAGGGCCAGCTTGTAGAGTTCTTCCTGCCGGTCAAGCAGGAGGTGTGGAGCGTGGATCTGTTCCTTCCTTCACTGTCCTCTGTCATCCTGGCCCTGATGCTTCTCTTCTGGGCCCTGAATGTGACGTAATTAACAGCTGTCTAGAACGTGCCTTTTTATGCCTTGTATTATGGTTATAATTATTCCCCTTTGCAGAGTGCCTCCCACGTACTAGGCACTCCATGTGTCATTTTGCTTGCTCTTCATTGCCACTCTATGATGCAGACAGTGCTGCCATCTCTGTTTCACCAAAGAAGAAAAGCTGGGAGTAGCTGGTTCCTCCAGAGCAGCAGCAGCAGGAGCTCAGAGTGGCAGCAGAATCCCCCCAGAGTTAGGGGCGGTGCTGTGTTCTGGGTGGACTGTCTGGTTTGGACTAGAACTTCAGCCAGCAGTGGAGAGTCGAGCGAGCAGAGCCCCCGACTGGGGAGCGGGGCTGCAAGAGGTCAGCACCTCCCAGATATTCCAGGACCTCAGGCTTACAGCGGCAGCCCTCGCTTTGCCCAGGTGGCTTGGGACCTCTGATGTGCTGCCACCATCAGTGAAGATTGGCTCAGAACTGGGTGGGCCTGGGCCGCAGATTGGAGCCCCACTTGGCAGGACTGGGGTGAGCCAGCCCTGGAAGAAAAATGAGAAAATTGGGAAACTCCTTGACAAATTGTCAGTTGGGCCCCAGTTGTTTGACTATAGAGGTGAAATGAGTGTTCAAAATCAGTTAGTCCAACCCCTTCCTTTCTAAATGAGCGAGCTGAGACCTTCCTGGCAAGATACAGTAACTTGCCTCAAATCCTGTGGGTGTTTGTAGGGGCAAGACCAGAACAAAACCCCTGGTTTTCTGGTTCCTTTTCAACTGCTTTTCCCACTTTGCCACCCTCTGCCTCTTTTATACTAATTCTACAGCTGGGGCACCAGTGCCACAGAACCCAGGAGGACGTTAGAAACCAGAATCCGGATGCCCTGCCACGTGTGCACAGCAGGCCTCTTTCTGTGGGATCTGTCTGTCCCGCTCCTCCAGATTGACCAGGCATTGCCATTGAAAACAATTTCAAAATGCATTTTTTACCCAGTAATTTAAGAAACAATATTCACCTTAGGAAATACACGCAAATGAAAGAGGGTTTGCTGTCAGGTAGTGGAGAGCATTTATTAGAACCTGCTGGGTATAAAACCAACTACAAGGCACTTTGAAATTACAGAAATGACCTGACCTCACTCTAGGTAAATTATAGTCTGGCTTCTTGGTGTGATTTTTTTTATCCCCTCTTTTTCTCCAATTAACTGCTTGAGGCATCTCGAAAATATTGTTATCAATTTCTAATTTGAAGACCAAGAAACTTTCAGCAGCAAATTATTTAACCAGCTAGAACTCGCATGTCCAGGGACTTATTCGTGTTCATAATACCAACCACTTGGAAAGCAAATGACCTCCTCAACCTTGGGACCAGGAGGCTGCTTTGAATCTTGTGGGTCAGTGTCCTCAGGAGAGTGAGCTGGGGTATGACACTTCTGTGTCATTTGACTTTCTCTTGATCGTTTAAAATAGGGAAACAAAAAGATTGTATAGGAAAATGTCCTTATATATTTTCTTCTATATTTTCTACATGTAGGCAATGTCTAGGGAGTATGTAAGCTGTAGAGGTCCATGCTGAATGCTCAGAAAGATCTATCATTCCAATGGAAAGGGCATCTGCACTTGTGCAGTGGCTATGAATTCCCAAATTCAAGGAAGAGCTAACAAATCACTGAATGGCTTTTTCTTTAAAGTGAAGCAAATGTTGTAGAGAGGAGGGGAAAAAATCAATCAACAAGCATAGAGATACCAGGAATAAATAATAATCTTTTACATATAAAAAGAGCATCTGTCCTTGGGACTCCATAGCTTTGAAGGCAAGATGAATTCAGCTAGGAACTGAGGGAAACAATTGAAATTTTTCTCTTGTTGGGTTCAGCAGGGGATTGAGAGTCCTAGTTAATGCACCTGTAGAGGTTTAAAATTCATCAATATAACAGAATAAAGATAAGAGGCAGGTAGTTCCTTATACCATGGAACAGAAAGCTTTCTATGCTCAAAGTCTGCCATTTAGTGCCAGCTATCCTTTTAACTACCATTTTGAAGATACAATAGCAGTAATTCATCTTGTTTTATGATTTATAGCTAACTCAGAATTTCTAAAGACTTTTTATTTCAGAACCCCAAAGTCTCATTTTAGGAAGGCAGTGTCTGATGCCTCATACATACCCACACCTTTCTTTTTCTTATGCTTAACAAGAATCCGCTCTGAGCCTCTAGAATGCTTCTCACACTATATCCTCCTAGTGACTAGCACATTCGTCTGTGGGAGCTTTGGACATGACTCACACAGGGAATATGTCAGGCCGACCTGCTTAGCAAATCAATAGAAAGATTGCCCAACTGATCAGCTGACACTTATGGAGACCTTCCACTTGTGGTGTGTGAGTTGTCATCCTGGGCTAGGTGGACCAAGGATGTCAAACTGTGTGCTAAGGGCAGTGGTGTCCAGTCGTAACGTCCTGTCTTTTATATTATATCCATTTTGATTGCAAGTCATATCTACTTTTAGAAAAATATGATGTTTTCATGTATATTGATGTACTAGTCTGGGTTCTCCAGAGAAAGAGAACCAATAGGAGATACATACACACACATGCATATAAGTGTGTGTGTATATATACATTATATATATGTGTATGTGTGTGCATTTATATTTATATATATATAGAGAGAGAGAGAGAGAGAGAGAGAGAGAGAGAGATTTATTATAAGGAATTGGCTTACACAGTTATGGAGGCTGAGATATCCAAGATGTGCAGTTAGAAAGCTGAAGACCCAAGAGAGCTTATAGTCTAGTTTCAATCTGAGTCCAAGAACCAAGAGAGCAGATGGTGTAAGATCCAGTCCGAGTCCAAGTCTGAAGGCAGAAGAAAACCAATGTCCCAGCTCAAAGATAGTCAAGCCGAAAGAAAGAACTATTTATTAATCAGTCTTTTATTTTATTGAGACCTTCAACTGACTGGATGAGGCACACCCACATTGGGAAAGTCAGTCTGCTTTACTCAGTCTACCCAATTTCAATGTTAATCTCATTCAGAAACACCCTCACAGACACAATCAGAACAATGTTTGACCAAATATCTGGGCACCTTATGGCTCAGGAAAATTGATGCATAAAATTAACCATCACAATCAGTTTTAGTGTAGCATTGTACTTCCTAAAGTGTTACAGGGACAAACGTGAAAACAAATGCATGAAATGGGAGTTTCTGCAGCGCTATGTCACACTGCTTAACGTAATACATGGCCAAGTAGGCAGAACAACATTAGAATGATTGTAAAAATAAGCAATTCCAGGAAGGGGCTTGAAGAGTTTAACTGAGTTTAATAGTATTTGCAATTCGTCAGTTATCCCAGGTAGGTTATTGACTAAGCCAGTGACCCCCCTCACCTGGCTGTATGTAAAAATCACTTGAGGAGCTCTTTAAAACTAGAACCACAGTGGCCCTACCCCGGAGGTACTGATTCAAGATTTTCAGGCTGTAGCAAGGAAATCTATTTTTAACAAGTTCTGGAGGTGATTCTTAACCAGATAACCTGCCCCTGGTCCAGAGCCTGCCCCCGCTGCATTTGGGGACCATTAGACTGGTGTGAATCTCAGAAAACAACGGTCATAATATGATTTTCAGGTTATTTCAGCAACTATCTTTTAAGGCATGGCCAGGCACTATGCTGGGTATTGGGAATGCAAACAGTCCTTACAAAGTTCAGTCATTTAGGCCAGGGGTCCCCAGCCCTGGGCTGCAGATTGGTACCAGGCCATGGCCTGTTAGAAACCGGGCTGCACGGCAGGAGGTGAGCAGTGGGCCAGTGAGCATTACTGCCTGAGCTCTGCCTCCTGTCAGTTCAGCAGCAGCATTAGATTCTCATAGAAGTGCGTGCGAGGGTTCTAGGTTGTATGCTGCTTATGAAAATCTAATGCCTGATGATCACAGCTGAAACAGTTTCAGCCCAAAACCACCTCCCAACCCTCTGCCGGTCCATGGAAAAATTGTCTTCCATGAAACTTGTCCCTGGTGCCAAAAACTTGGGGACTGCTGATTTAGACAGATGATAATGCATTACATTATAACACAGTAAGAGGTTTGATTAAGGCACAAGCTAATTGCTATAGGATCACAAAGGAAGAATTGACCTTTCTACCTCTTTACCTTCATTCCACATTCTTGGAGAACACTTGGTCAGATTTTGACAGTTAAGATCAGGAGATGGCCCCGCATCGGCACTCTGGGGGCCTGGGTTGGTGTTTCATGGGAGAAAGAATCCAGAAGTGTCACATTTTGAAGCTTACAAAGGGTCGCCCTCTATTCTGTTCAGTCTAGTGTGTCCCAGCCCTCTGGCAGCTGATCAGGGTCTCATGGAGTGTCCTAGCAATAGCCTCTGAGTTCAGAGCATGCAACAGGATATTCACACACAGCAGAGGTGCGAAGCCAGTGTCCCAGCTGGTGTTTCTGGAAGGCTGTGAGAAGCAACAGAATTAGCATAGAGGGTGGCTTCTTGCTCAGGCTCCTTAGGGGACATGAGTGACACTCACTAATGTGTCCTCCAGTTAGTTCCATCTCTTTTTGTTGCCATAATGGTACTTTCCTTCTCAACTGAAGTTCTTAGCTCCCTTTCTTGACTAATTCTCACCTTTGCAGGTTTGCCTCTTGCAACTGGTATCTAAGGGAGTTCCCCAGGTAAGGAGAAGCCTCATATCTGAGCTGAATAGCAAGGCTTTTTGCTAAGATGCAAAAATAAGCCAAATTCGTGTTTGACTGCAGCAGATTTTTGCTCTGTGAGGAAACTAGACCCGACCTTCTTGACTTCAGGCTTTGGTCTCTGGGTCAGTCTTCCTCGTGACATTACAAAAGGATCTTGGTCCAAGACAAGAGCCAACCCTAGAATTGAATTCATTTTGGGCATTTGATGGCCTTTCCCCAAGGGTTCAGGGAAGGTACAGGACACAGAGGGTAAGCAGTCTTTGATGTGGTGGTTATTTTTGTTTGTTTGATTTTTTAGCCTTATAACTTACCTAGAAGTTTTGGAGAAAAATTTGAGTTTATCATCACCTCTCCTCAGCTAGAAAACAGGCAAATAACTCACAGTCCAGTGAGTTTTGAGTCTGATATTGTGTACACTGAGGATCTGTGTGTGTGTGTGTGTGTTTCTGTGTGTGTGTGTGTGTGTGTGTGTGTTTTGGCATTAAGATCTGCATAAGCTATTCCAAATGTGTCAAACTTGCTTAAATGGACTCAGTGAGGAACGCTCCATGAAATGTGAAGCTATGTGTAGACCCCACACTGGAAAAGAGGAGTAGACAGTAGTCACTTATACCTCCAGAGAGCAGAAAGAAACTCAGCAACAGATTCGTTGTACCAGAGGGAGTTTGAGGACCGCCACTGGAATTGTGTGCTCTTTTTTCTCGGGCCATTTATTCTGGCAACTCTGGCCCTTTAGCAGACTTGGTTGTCAGGTTATTACCATTTAATAGCTTTCTATAAGATACTGGCATCTTTAAAGGCCAAATAGTGTTGCTGACAGCTATGACTTTATAGAAATAAAGGCAGCTTGCCTTGTTATAAAATAAGGTACATTGCATGAGCAGGAGTATGTATTCATATAGATCAGTGCCTTTTCTTTTTGACCAAAGTTTGTTGCTACTGTTGCTGCTGTTGGGTGTGGAGGACTTCTGTCTGTTTGCCAGTCCTGTAACATATTCAGAAAGCTCACCCTGGGAATTTGAGGGTGTGAGGAGAGAGAGAGCCAAAGGGGAATGAAGGTAGGGATGCTGTTAGACAAAAGACGGGCATGTCGGGGAGATCCCAGCCCTTGTGAAACCAGCAGCCCATTTTATCACCATCGTCTGTGGATGAAAGCCTGAAAGCCACACCTCATCCTCTATGATGAGACCCTGAGAACCTCAAAGGGGCTCCTCAGTCACCCCCAGGACTCCACATCTATCTAAGAGCAGACAGATGTGTTACTGTTTCTACAGCAGCAGAAATTACAGCCTTGGCTGTCTGAAGCATTAGAGCCATTCAGCATGGAGTTTGTTTGGGGAAGTTTCTTATAGGAATAGAAGAGAACTGAAACTTGAATCTCTCAGCATTATATTTCAAAACATCCTGCATGAACTCCTTATTTAAATCTGTTCAGATTGATACTAGTCTGAGGGCTTCTCAGTTTTAGAGCTGTCAGTCCAATTTGGAATAGAAACTAGTTATTGCACCCCATATTTAGCTACTGTTGAGGTTGATTCTATTTTTAAAGAAGAAAATTTCAGTGACTGGTGACCTGGGTTCTTTTTAAGGAACCCAGTTTTGCCTGGTCACTGTGACTTGACACAAACCAGTGACTTTTGGTCACTAACATTCCCAGGGGGAATTCACTGTCCAGGGAGACAGGGTGAGGAAGGTGGTGTGTGTGTGTGTGAGTGTGAGTGTGTGTGTGTGTGTCTCCCTGTGTGTATGTATGTGGTTTCTTCCCATTGTCCCACTCACATCTCTTATTTAGAGTTGGTGCTGGGATGCCAGGCAGAGTCACCGTGGTCACTGTAAACTTCCACCTCCAGAAAAGGCATTTGTTCTCCTGAAGATGGAAGGAAGTTTTCTGCAGACCTCCCCTGAAAAGAGTTTGTCCTCTCCGTAGGCTTTTCCCTTTCATTTAGACAGCAATACCAGTGATCCAGGAATAAGGAAGCTTAGTTACTTGGTTTTAAAGTTATAAATAACTAGAATTTGTCACCTTGGTAGGGAAGTTAAGAAGCATAGCCTCGGCCGGGCACGGTGGCTCACACCTGTAATCCCAGCACTTTGGGAGACTGAGGCAGGCAGATCACAAGGTCAGGAATTTGAGACCAGCCTGGCCAATATGGTGAAACCCCGTCTGTACTAAAAATGCAAAAATTAGCCAGGCATGGTGGCGTGTGCTTGTAGTCCCAGCTACTTAGGAGGCTGAGGCCAGAGAATCACTTGAACCCAGGAGGCAGAGGTTGCAGTGAGCCGAGATCATGCCACTGCAGTCTGGCCTGGGTGACAGAGCGAGATTCTGTCTCAAAAAAAAAAAAAAAAAAGAAAAGAAAAGAAGCATAGCCTTTGTGAAATTCTTCCTAGAAGGAGACTTAGCTGCCATCTGATTAACTTGGTTTGTGTTTGTTTCTCATGGGTGAGCCTCGTTACTTGTCCCTGACCTTTGAATTGGTTCCTTGGGACTCCATTCTGATTTTAGTCCTTGAACATCAAAGCACATTATGACATTGTGCCTTGGGGGTGAGGGGCTGTCTTTAATGTTTCTGTCTTTGATTTCACAGACTGGGATTCAAAGGCTCTCTTGCCTGTTGGATGAAGCAAAGCGAGTTTGTCAAGGACAGTTGGGTTTGGATTGAGGGAGGAGGAAAGTCTTAAGAAAATCGTGAAAGAACTTAGTACTGATTGCTTAAATAAAAAATAAAAATGCTACCATAAAAACAAAACCCAAACAAACAAGGAAAAAAAAAAAAACTATGCTGGATAAAAGGATCTCATTCCATATTCAATTTGTATGACTTATTAGCAGTTCTTTTTGGATGTAGCATTATTCTGGGCAGGAAGACAGGAGCATAATTAGCACATGGGGGAGGTCCCAGTGACCAAGTTTGTGTGTTTGGTCGTGTTCCCCCAACCTCACTACTCCTACCAGTGAACCATTTCCCCAGCCCTCCCAACTGACTCCACCTAAATCTTTGATTTATTATAAGTCAGAAAAAATGGATAGCAACCTTGAGAGCAGCCAGAGGCCCTTGCTGTTCTTAGACACATAAATCACAAGGTAGAAGTACGAAGAATGAAGACAGAATGTCAGTAACCAGCCTGGGGGTTGGGGAAGGATTTTGGGACTTTTCTGGATCTCTGAAATTACAGCGTGTGAAGACAGGAGGAGGCCATCCACATAGCCTGAGGACTGTTAACTAACTGAGAAGGAGAAAGTAATGCTATGGGTAATTCTGTGGATGGATGCATCATAATGTTGCCAGATGTAATACTGCAGACTCACAGAAGAAGAATGTATTTTGGATGTGCCAGCACCGCCCCACGGCCACCATCTGCTGCTGCCCCTTCTCCTCTCCCCTCTCCACACCCAGCCCTAGGTTGGGCTACTCTGGGTTCTGAGTTCCTGATAAGCCATGGTCATGATGACGTGGCATTTCCTACCCTGATGAGTGGTGAAAAGCTGTGGGTTCCAGGGACAGCTTCTCATTTGTTCCCTAACTCAAGAAAGCGAAACAACGATGTCCCAGGGTATTCTGTTTGGCAAGTTATTATTCAAATGGCTGGATTTTCTTCTGCTCTACCTCCTTCAAAATTTTGTATAACTTAGTTTATGTATTATCTAGCAGGTCAGGCACCATCTGATCTGGTGTGACAGTGGTTGTGGGGGTGGGGAATGGACTCTCCATCCAGTAGAAGAGTGTGACCTCCAACAGGAATCCCTTTAACATGGACACTCTACAGATGACCCCTTAAGGAGAATGGCTGCTTGGAGACAGCACAAGTTGAGTGGCTATATGAATAATCTGTTTCAAATGCACACTCTGCAGGGAGTGGGGGCAGAACCAGTCACAATTTATGGATCATCAAAGGATAATTTTATTATCAACGTTTTAATAAGGAAAGGTATGGCTTATCCAGAACCCAAATTGGGGGATCAGTAGTAATCCATAGATGGGAAAATGAAAATCCAACTAGCAGCCCCCGACCCCATCCCTGTTGGCATCCACCACCAATGCTGAGAACTGAGCTATAGAGACAGAAGGGAAGGGCTGCAGGTGGACATTGAGGCTGGACCCACTGGTGGTGAGGAGCAGGGTTGGAGGGAATTCGGTTCAGAGAGGAAGGAAAGTCTACGGCAGGGAGAAGAGTGTAGCCAGGTGGGCTCAGGAATTCCAGCAACCTGTTTCCATTCCCTGTTTAAACTTAGTATATCCCTGGGCCTGAATCATATAGCTCCTAGGAGACAGTGTTTTTCTTTTCTTACATGCCTGCCTGCCAGTTCACCCAGTAGAAAATCAACTTCTTTTTCATCAGAGTTAATTTTGAGATTGACTTTATAGAAATATATACTTAAGAGCAAGGGCTGTGGAGCTGGATCTCCCTGGGTTCACATCTTGGCTTTACTGCTTACCAGCCTTGTGGCCTTGGGCTGGTTATTTAACCTCTCCATTCCTCAGTTTGTTTGTTTGTCAAATAGGATAATAGCAATACCTATCTTATAGGATTGTTGTGTGGATTAAGTGAAGTGCTTGGTACAGTGGCACAGAAGATAGATAGAGATAGATAGATACACATGTACATACATAGATATACACACATGTATGTGTGTATATGTGTGTGTGTGTGTGTGTATATATATATATATATATGTATATGAATGTGGAATTTTCCACTTGATATAAACCAAATTTAACAATTCTTTGCACTGGTTGTTGGAGACATTGTAAGCCTTTGTATCTTCAATAGCCCAGATGTGCTTAAAGCAATGAACACATAAGGACATTATTGAAAGGCACGGGCAGGATCTAAAATTCTCAGGATGAAGTTGCATGCTAGCATTCTCTGAATTTCTATTTTCTGAATGTAAAGAATAAAACATCTGCAAACAACAGCTGGACAAATATTGAAAGATATAATTCCAACTTCTTGCCATGTTGGCAAAAGCAGTTGAGAGAGAGGGAAATGCTTCGCCTTGTATCAGTACCTTTTTATAGCTGGAAGAAAAGAACATCGACGAGTCATTTTGTCAAGGTTTCAGGAGAGCAGACCAAAGAAAACATCGTCTGGAGCCTCCTGGAAGCAATCAGATAGTGTACAGCCATTTACTAAGAAGGCCTATCTTATCAGGGCAGATTGATGGATTGTGCTTTGTTTATCTGGAGAAGCTTAGCTGAGTTCCAAACATCAATTTGCATCCTTGCTCTACATTTTAGTAATTCAGTTTCATGCAAAGTGCTGGCCCGCAATAAGGGTCTGCTTAGACAAGGGAAAGAACAGGAAAGGTGGCCTGAAAAGGGAGCAAGAAACCTGAGCTTCTGTTAAAAAGTGCCCCTGGGGTTGGTGGGAGGCACTGGATGGATTAATCAGCTTGCCACAGGACTAGCAGAGCACACACCATTTGTCCAGCTTATTTAGCTGTGCTTAATAGAGCTATTCTCTCCCTTTAATGAGAGAATGGCTCTATTGGGATGCAGGTGAGACCGGGACAGAGCAGGCAAAGAGGAAACAGTTGAAGAAATAACTACTGAGGACACAAAAAGAAAATGAGACACAGAAGCAATAGAAAGCCCTGGGTCAAGTGTCAGGACAACGGCCAACCCTGTGGCTTTCAGACTTTGCTGCAGGCATCCCAGATTTCTGTTCCTGGTGTTTTCCTACCTATAAAATGAACGGGTTGGAGATAAGCGTCAGGTCCTTTCCAGCTCTAACCTCCTTTGTTAGTAAATGGCTCTGCAATCCTGGCCATGACTCCAACATAGTAGAAGATGGAAAAGTTGTGCTTATCATTAGGCCAGTTTCACCCCTTCTTGGCAGACCCCCCACACCCTTGGCTATCTGCTCCTCAGTGCATGAGGCTGCAGGACATTCCTGCCTTCACCTGTTGTGTTCTATATAAGACTGGGCTGATGTCCACTTGAAAAGGATTTCACTCCTGGCCTGGAATCTGGCCCTTTTGGAGCTCTATGGAGATACTTCTGATTTTTTTTGCTGCTTTGGTAGGAAGCAATAACATCTGGAAAGCATTCTCGTCTTCTATGAGACTCTGTTAAAACTAGAAAACAAACAAGCAGGCGTGTATCATCAAGTTAGGCGGGAGTCTCTCCTGGCTATGTGCTTGATCCACGGCTTTGGTCTAGGACATGTCTGTCTCCTGCTCTTGCTTATGCTCCCTTTGAGTCATTTCTTCTGACTGCCCATTAAGATGCTCCAGCGGGCTCCAGGCACAGTGGCTTATGCCAGCCTGGAGAGCCCAGCACTTCGAGAGGCCGAGGCGGTTGGATCATCTGAGGTCAGGAGTTCGAGACCAGCCTGGTGAACATGGTGAAACCCCATCTCTACAAATAATACAGAAATTAGCAGGGCATGCTAATTGGTGATGTGGGCCTGTAATCTCAGCTACTTGGGAGGATGAGGTGGGAGAATCGCTTGAACCTGGGAGGCAGAGGTTGCAGTGAAGCGAGATCCAGCCTGGGCAAGAAGAGCAAAATTCTGTGTCAAAAAAAGAAAGGAAGAAAAAGAAAAAAAGAAAGAGAGAAACAGAGAAAGAGAGAAAGAGAAAGGGAAAGGAAAAGAAATGAGAAAAGAGAACTGGGTGCCTTTTGGGGACTGGGAATTGGTGGTGGGAGTGAGAGCCTGGGAACCACATAATTCTATTACTTCTGAGGAGATCAACCAATGTGTAGACTTTCTTGCCCTATAACCAGAAGCACAGGATGCTGTGACATGAAATTAGTCACGTTTTCTAGCAGCTAGGTGGTTTGTAGGGGCAGCAACCATGGTTTGAAACCACTCACTTCTTTCTATAAAACTAAATCGGACCTAATGAAATGCTAATTTGACCCAGGGAACTCAGGAGGCCAAGAGAACTGAAGCTGTTATCTGGCTTGGCTCTGTGTTCTGATTTGAAGCCAGCCCCCATGGAACAGAGCCAGTCCCCAATTATGCCGGATTCCCAGCAGCTCATATAATTTATTATGCTAAGAAATAGAGCCTCCTGCTTCTGGCTAGTTGGTTTCTGTTGTTTGGTTACTAGAGTTGCGTAGGATAGAGTATTTATGGTAATAAAATATCGGATAATCATCCAGGGCTCGGTTGTGAAGGGATATTCAATATCTTTTCTTCCTGACTGTAATATTAGACAATCAATTATGATGTCATATTAGACAGAATGCTGAAGAATTCTAAAGCCATATTCACCTTCTCCATCCTTTCCCCCTTCACTCTGTTTGGAAGAGTCATAGGATTTGGGGGCAGGGGTTAAGGAGAATTCTTACCAGGACTGCTTGCTGCATGGTTTTTGTGTATGACTCAATACCCAGTCCAGGTAGCTTTATGAAAAATGATAGATTTTGGAAACCTGCTTGCTCTATGAGTGTAAAGAGCCCAAGGGTCTCCTTCAAGTGCATTTGGTTTAGAGATGTCTATATGTTATCTGAAAGTTGTCTGTATGGCTTGTCTTTATACCAGGAAGCTCCGTTTTCTTTATCCTGTGGCATAAAAAAATGAACCTACCAAGAGTCATCTTTCCCTCCGCCTTTTGTCTCAAATTCTGCTTTCACGCCTCTGCTATGCACTAATGTTCCTAGCCAGAAAAGACTGCAGCTTTCAAGAGGGGTTTCCTTCATTCTCTAGGCTGCTTTACGCCTCAGGGGAAACCCAGGAGCCCAGGGGCCTGTGGCGACTTTAGACAGCATTTCCCAAGGGCTTCGTTATAAACTTAGTTGATTTGGAAACCTAGCAGATCACTTCTAGATGTTTAGGTTTAAATAGGAATGAGATAGAATTCTTGGGATTTATGTAAGAGGACCCCAACTACGCTGATGGAAGGACTGGCAGTACTAAGTATGACTTCTAGGTGATTTCAGTTGCTGTTGTGAGCCAGCTTTAAGCCATGAGGATACTTCCAGTGGCAATTAATGTATGGCCTGCCATTATGAAGCCATTATACTGAAACAGAAGCCAAAATCTGTACAAACACATATTTTATAGTCTCTTTAAAATGGCATCTAGCTTTTGGATTAATATTTGAAAGTTAAACAGTCTACCTTATTTTCTTCTTCCACCCAGTTACTATCAACAGTAGCTTAAGCTGGAACTGTAGGACTCACATGTCAAGTATAGACAAGACTGCTCTGTCATCCCTAATAATGTATTGGTTCTTCTCTGCCAAAACGAGATACATTTACTTATGTCCAGCTATTTCTTGCAACAATATCAACCTGACAAGTTCCATTATTCTATTAATACACACACATATTTTTATGGGCTCTCAATGGATGTATCCACACATACACAAAAATGTAAATACACACCACACACACACACACACACACAAACACACCCCTTAGTAGATTTTTTTTTTTTTTTTTTTTTTTTTGAGACAGAGTCTCGCTTTGTCGCCCAGACTGGAGTGCAGTGGCGCGATCTCGGCTCACTGCAAGCTCTGCCTCCTGGGTTCACGCCATTCTCCTGCCTCAGCCTCCTGAGTAGCTGGGACCACAGGCGCCCACCACCACACCCAGCTAATTTGTTTGTATTTTTTTTAGTAGAGACGGGGTTTCACTGTGTTAGCCAGGATGGTCTCGATCTCCTGACCTTGTGATCCACCTGCCTCTGCCTCCCAAAGTGCTGGAACTACAGGTGTGAGCCACCGCGCCTGGCCACCCCTTAGTAGATTTTTAGACAGGCTGAATTCAATAGTATATAAGAGGCCCCTGTTATCTCATTCTCATTACATGTGTCATTGGGAATTTTGTTTGTTTGCAGGGTGTGTGTGTGTGTGTGTGTGTGTGTGTAAGTTCAAAGTACTGTCATATGTACTGTCATTTAAAAACACACAGCATGACCTTGTGTTTGGTACTTTATGTACATTACCTTTCTAAACAATTTCGATATCCCTTTGAGATGAGTAGGATCAATATATTCACTTACAGATGAGGAATACAGACTCTGAGATTCATCTGAGAACTCACTTAGTTTACTAACTGTCAGAGCTGGAATTTGAACTCAGATCTCCCTGACTCCAGATCCTGAGTTCTTAATCACAACTGTCTCCTCCCTATTTAATTCTTGTGACAATCCAATCGCATTTGTTCGGTTTTTACAGACAAGAAAACTGAGACCAAGGTGAAATTACTTGTCTGGAGCCCCCCATGTTATGATGTTTTTGGCTGTGGTTAAATTCAGTCTTTTATATCTGAGATGTTCTGACCAGCAATTCAAATGCCTTATTTTAATGTAGAGAGTAGAACTGGGCCACCTGACCACAAACTAGATTATTCGGGAAAGTTGCTTTATCTTAAACCATAAAGGGAAGACATTGCTCCCCTCAGAAATAGTAACCGAAATAATTTCTTTGGGAAGCGTTGTTACTAGAGGTTAATTAAGAATAATAATGCACAACAGGTATTAAATGCTTATTATCTGCTTTACATATGTTGGTTCATTTCATCTTTTCAAAGCCCCATGAGGATGGTTCTGTTTTTCCCTGTTTTACAGATGAGACACTGAGAGGTTAAATAACTTGGCCAAGATTACAAAGCTAATAGGTGGCAGAGCTGAGATTCAAACTCAGGTAGTCTGGGCTGGTGTCCTTGGTCTTAACCACCCTGCAATGTGACCACATTCGTTTCCTATTCACTTTCACTGATTTTGTAGGTTTGGTGGTGAAGAGACCCTTTATTTTCCCTCCAGTAGTTTGCTGATAATGAGAGCAAGCCATCTGTATTAGTCTGTTATTATAATGCTGTAAAGAAATGCCTGAGACTGGGTAATTTATAAAGGGAAGAGGTTTAATTGACTCACAGTTCTGCATGGCTGGGGAAGCCTTGGGAAACTTACAATCATGGTGGAAGGGAAAGCAGCACAGACCTTCTTCACGTGGCAGCAGGAAAGAGAAGGGTGAATGAGCAAAGCAGGAGGAGCCCCTTATAAAACCACCAGATCTCTGAGAACTCACTCACTATCATGAGAACAGCATGGGGGAAACTGCCCCCATGACCCAGTCACCTCCCACCAGGTCCCGTGCTTGACATGTGGGGATTATGGGAATTACAATTCGTGATGAGATTTGGGTGGGGACACAGAGCCAAACTATCTCACCATCCCAGGCAAGTGGCACTGCTTCCATTCTTATGCTCCTGGTCTCAGTATCTGGATTTCCCACAGGTATAGCCAAATGAAAGAGACCTTAGCATTCAGTTATACTTTGAAAAATACAAAAACAATTCTCCATTACAGTGGTTATGTTTAGCAATACTTAAGGCTCATTTCTAGAATGATAGCCAACAAGACAAACATATAGCTGTAATTTAATGCCTTTTTCAAAAGTCCATGGTCATTATTAAATAGATTATAGAAAACTCCCTTATCTCATCATAGTCACTGATGATATTTATCCTGTTTGTTTCACCCGTCCTTTAAATTGGTGATCAGAGCATCTTGCTTGGGTGTGTCTACATTGGCCTTGGGCCCTGAACATCTGTAATGTCTTCCTCAGCCTCCAGTGACTTTATAACATCTTGACAAGGAAGTATTTTCAATTAGCCACGGGAGAGACTTTGGTTCCCTGTCTGCTGTCAGCTCCTCCCTCCTCAAGCCCATTGGAATCTGAAAAGAAAACCGATAAAATAAAACTACTGCAAGAAGTTGCTGATTCATGTGAACTCTTTTTTGAAATCAGAACAAATTATTCTCTGTTGCTTTGCCCACCTCTTCTGATAAGCACCTGAGCATCTTTTAGGAACTGAAATTTTAATTCACTTTTCTTCAGCAGCTAAGACTTTATAGCCTACTTCTGCTAGGGAGTTGGGAGTTACAAAACATCTATCTACACCTGAAGCCATTTGCTAAAAGAGTTGGCATTCCTTTCAGAACATATCATCAGTTTAAAAAAAAAGACATTTAAACAGAAAACACATTTCAAAATCTATCAGTCTCCCATGGGGCTATTTTACTCAACTGAGGTGGGGAGAGGGAGATTGTTTGGTTCTCAAAAGACAGAACTTTTTTTCTGTCTGTGAACAAGGGATAGAATAGTGTGGGAGAAATGGCTGGACTTGGAACTGCAACCCAGTCTTGAATCTTGACCCTATCATTATCATCACTTATGGCTCTGAGCGTCCCTTACCCATATGTAAAATAGAGGCTATAATGCTGTGATTATCTATGAGCAAAGAGGCCAGTTATAGTTAACCAGGAGAGAAATGATGGCAGCAACTTGATATTAGAATTTTTTTTTTTTTTTTGAGATGGAGTCTTGCTCTGTCGCCCAGGCTGGAGTGCAGTGGCATGATCTCGGCTCACTGCAACCTCCACCTCCCGGGTTCAAGCAATTCTCCTGCCTCAGTCTCCCGAGTAGCTGGGACTACAGGTGTGTGCCACCACATCCAGCTAATTTTTTGTACTTTTAGTAGAGACGGGTCTCCTGACCTTGTGATCCGCCTGCTTCAGCCTCCCAAAGTGCTAGGATTACAGGCGTGAGCCACTGCGCCCGGCTGATGTTAGATCTTTGTACAAAGACTGTGCTCTTTCTAGCCTATGATTTGGAAAGAGTGTAAATGGTAACTAATAGGTTATAATAAACCTATTTGGAGATGGACAGAAGGTTATAGTAGTTGAGGGGTTTAGGGGAAGAGTTCAAGCCTTAGAAGTAGATGATTTTTAATCTTGGTTTTAGTGCTCATTAACTAAGGGACCCTGAGCAAGTTATTTTATTTCTCTGAGCCCCAATTTCCACGTTCATACAGTGGAGACAATAATATTGGCCTTTTTATCACTCAGAACTGTTTGATGAAATAATGAAGTGTGTTTTGTAAACTGGAAAGTGTGAACTGTCCACAAAAGAGGGCTTGGGGGATGAGTGCTTCTTGGAGGCGTGGGAAGCACTGTTGGAAGCGCCTCTTGTCCCTGCCCCTGGGTCCTGCCCAGCCCAATACCTAGGTTCATAAGCACGTGTCTTTGAATCCAGCTAAGATGATGCAGTATTTACGCAAGGAGTGTTTATGGAAAGCAAGAGATGGGATACTTCGTCTGTGAGAAATGTTTACATAAGTGCCTTTTAAGGTGGGAGTTATGCCCAGTGACGAAATTCCACTTACATATGCAACTGAAAAAAAGGTGAAAGTTGAGGTAGGAATTTGTATTGGGAACAATGAAAATAGTAACAGAGTAGGAAAGGACCAGGCAGCAAGCAATGGAGGGAAGGAGTTTTGAGATCAAAGCAGGATTTCCACTTACTATCATTAAACCTAGTATTTCAGTGCTTCGTGTTTGGGGAAGAATAATCAGCCATTGTGCTGCAGTGGAAAACATCCAAGCATTGATTTCCAGAGAACCTGGGGTTCCTCTGGGCCAGCTTTGTCTCTGGTGTTTTGAGGGAGGAATCACTAGCTTTTCCATCTGTGCAAAAGGCCAGGCGTCTAAATGGATAACTCTTCCTTTAAAAACTTCTGTGATGGGAAGGGGAACATCACGCTCTGGGGACTGTTGTGGGGTGGGGGGACGGGGGAGGGATAGCATTAGGAGATATACCTAATGCTAAATGACGAGTTAATGGGTGTAGCACACCAGCATGGCACATTTATACATATGTAACTAACCTGCACATTGTGCACATGTACCCTAAAACTTAAAGTATAATAATAAAAAAAAGAATATTTTGCAAATAAAGTAAAAGAAACACCCTTAAAAAAAAAAAAAAAAAAAACTTCTGTGATGATAAATGTGTGCGTGGGATCCTGTTAAGCAGGGAATTCCTTTGAAAGCCTTGTTTCCCTTTTCTCTCCATGGCCCAGAGATAGATCCTGGCCGCATTTGGATATGAAAACTCCTCAGCCTTGCCGTGTTCTCCTGCCCCTTGAGAGTTGTGTTCTGTTTGAAAAGAGCTGAACAAATGAAGGCTGTTTTTTCACTTGGGATAAGAATATCCTTCTCAAAGCAGTAAGGGCTGAACGAGGGTAACAGGATCCATATGTTGAAGCTGGCTGCTAATACTCAGCATATGGTCCAGCAAACTTTCTTGGGGGGACTCAGCTTCTCATTCTTTAAGGAATGCTCCAGTGAACTCCAGAAAAGATCAGGACTTAGGTGACCGTGGCATAGACACAGCTTCTGGGCTTCATAAGCCTGTAGTTCCCAGAGAATGAGAGCCACGGGAAGTGACAGGGAAGGTCCTGGCTGGCCTTAGCATGGATAGCACTGGCCTGCAGCTCTCTTTGTAAGGCTCCATGCTCCCCAAGATACGATGGGCCCTTATCAATTCATGGGCTCTCTGTGTTCTGTTAAGGGATAGTGAATCCAAGGGTTGTTACTTGGGGTTCCCAGATGGTGTGTTCTAGTGAATGGAAACGTTTTGCCCTCTGTGCAGGGGCAGCATTGCATCATGGAAAGATCACCTACCCGGAGCCAGGAGGCCTGGGCTCTGGGGCCACGCTAGCCCTAACTAGAAGTGACCATAGGAAAGTCACTCCACCTTTTCCTCATCTGGAAAATGAGGAGGCAGGATGTGGTGATGTCTGAGACCCCTTTGGGCTCTCACAGTGTAGAATCAAGTGGCACCTGAACTCCATCCTGAGGAGAATGACAGGAGAAAGCACCCACAGATAATCACACTTGCACTGCGGGCAGTGACCCCGCGGCATAGTATTCCAGCACAGCTCTGTGTGCTGCGACCACATTCAGGAGAGGCAGGGGAAGACTTTTTATTGCTCTCAGGCAAGAATTCAGTCCTGAGCCTCAGGGAGCCGGCAGTGGTGGTCTGAGCAGGGGAGAAACTAGCTGCCCTAGATTACTCTATTTCTTCCAAACCAGTTTTTGGAAGTCTGGGTTTTCCCCTCTGATTTTCACAGATGACAGCGTCAGCATCTTCCCCCTGCCTCTGCCCAGGGCCCCATTTCTCCCCTTATGCCCTCCTCCTTCCCTTTTCCATCCCTGTCTCCACCACATCACCTCTTTCTCTCTGAAGCCTCTGCTGGCTTTCTCCGTGACCTGCCTTGTCTGTTGCTGGCATGGTTAGGAAGGCCGCACCCCCTTCCCAGCCCCAAGCAGGCCCTCTAATCCCTGCAGTCGGCTGAGGACAACTGTAGTCTCTCCATCAAATAAGCATAGACCAAGACCTGCAGCAGCTCTGCCTGCGAGCCGGTCACCATGGCAACGAGCATCACCTCCATTCTACTGTGAAAAGAAAATGGCTGTTGGAAGGAAGGGCTCACTGAATCTCCATTCCCCAGGCTGTTTTGTTCAAGCCTGTCCCTCCTGTTGGCCAGAAGAAGCCCCATGCACTGAACCAAATACCTGTTTGCCTTTAGATTTGGGGTTTACTTAAGAGAAGGAAAGGCAGAAAGAAGTTGAATTCAAAGGAATAAAGCATTTTTCCACCTCGAAACTCTATTTTCATGAGGAATGGTTGTCTGCTCCCAGCAGATAAACGAGGAGCAGATGAACACAGGGATCTGTGAGATCTGGCGCAGTGTATTTTGTCTTATCGGTGCAGTGGAATGACAGAGCATATGGATGTTCAAATAAATATTCAGGGAAAGTAGCCAAGGGACCCAGGGAATTCCACAGGGCACGGGCTACAGAATTTCCAAAGGGTGTCTGACTAATTGGGGTGGTGATATGTGATGTTGGCTCCTGTTATGGAAAAAGGTGTGTTGGTCCTGTAGTCGTGAGGGAAGGTGAGGGTTTACCCTTACCATCCCCACTTCAAAATCAGTGTGAGCCCTCCTAGTGATTGTGTCCGGACAGCCTGGGGAACTGGCAGGAGACCCCTGAGCTTGATTCTGGAGTGCAGCCTTACTGCACTTGACACAGCTGTGGAGACACTTCAGATGACATCCAGAAGGAACTGGTTGGGTCACCATTTCTGTGAATCCCAGGATGTTGCTGTTTTGGAGCAGGATCATAAGTCTTCTCAAGGGGTTGGAAACATTTAGTGCAGAGATCACCCAGAATCTCCCAGGGCACCTTGCACTCTCTGAGGGGAAATAGCTATTCCATAGGAGAATGGTCTGGGCCGTGTCTCTCTCTGGCTGCACATGGCCCTGGCTGTTGGTGGCACAAGTTCTCAAACTCCACACAACCTCCTCCCTTCACTCTTTCTTAAAGTCAGTTGGGAAGCCTATTTTTGAATGGAAGATCTGGGTTTCATTCTTGAACATTGGAATGTACGTTTGAACTGAACTTTGTGGGTTTTTTTTTGTTTTTTGTTTTGTTTTGTTTTGTTTTGTTTTTTCAGTTTCTCTGCAGGTGGATATTGTTCCCAGCCAGGGGGAGATCAGCGTTGGAGAGTCCAAATTCTTCTTATGCCAAGGCAAGTGCCTAGTGCTCAGCTGCATTTTAGAACTTGCTTCAGAAACTCACTGGGTAGAGCAGGAGCCCTCAGGCCATGTGAGCTGGCTGGTCAAGCCACACCTAGAATTCTTGGCATTGCTCTATTACAGGGTCAATAGTATGGCCATTTAAGAGCCAGGGCCTCTTCCTTCCTTTTGCAAAAATCTGCCTCAACATAGCAAATCTGTCATCTAGACTTCACCTTGACTACAGAGGAAGTCTAGGAGTTTTCTTAGAAAAATCAGCACAACTTCCAGAATAGTGAATCATCCCCCATCTCCTATTCTGTATACATTCAGAGTTCTGTAAATGACAATGGAGAACAGCACTGGCTCAGAAACAATACTTCGGTGGATCTGTTTAAGGCTTATTTCTTAGAATTCCCCAGAGCTTGAAAATCTAAGTCTAAAACTTGCCTGTAGGTAAATAGAATACTGGTATGGCTTTTGTTGTGAGGACATATATCCTGGGTTTACCAGGTCTATTGTGAATATCGATATTCTGTGCCATGGTCCCCACCAGAGCTCTGAGATATGCCAGACCTGGTGACCTTGTTTTACATTTAGAAAACATGCCCCATTTCCACAGCCCAGATAATTGCCAGAAAATGTCCTGTGGAGGAAAAGGTTTCAAATTAAGCCTCAGATTCTCTGTATATGACATGACTGGGATTCAGAACATGGAAGAACCAGGAAAGAGCTGAGCTAGGTGTAAATGGTGACATTTAGCAAGCAGCTTTTGGCAGGGAGGGGCCTTTAAATGCTGTCATGATTTGCGTGGACGAGGTGGCTTGTGGCCGTCGGATGTGTTCACTCCAGCTTTGCCTTCATTACAGCAATTTCAATGATCTGGAGACGCAGCCGTGGAGCCCACAGCACATCTTGCAAATAGCGATATTTATTGAAAACATGATGGGCCCTGAAAGGAAGACTGCTTCATTTCCATACTAAGCATCTGTGCAGGGCTGGGTGGTGCAGGCTGAGAAGGGCGCCACGCGAAGAGGCAGGGGCCCATGCAAACAGGCAGGGCGCCGCCACATCCGCCGGATCTGAGCGCCCTTCCAGCTCAGTGTCCTGGGCAGTTTCAGTGTCAGAGCCCTGTTCCAGCTCAGTGCCGGGGGCAGCTCAGCCACCACAGTCTGTTCCTCCTCATTGCTGCCTGGGGAAAGGAAGAATGGGTGGTTCTGGCTACCTTCTTTGCAGCATGCAAGGAAATGAATTTGTCTGAGCAGGGAGTGACGAAATGACAGTCATGCCAGTTTGTGCAGGCAGATGCTAGAATAAATGTGGCTGGAAAAAATGAAATAAAAAGTGGTTGGAATCTGCACTCCTATACTAGCCAGTATTTCTCGCCTTCATCTCAGGAGACCCATTATCCAAGGCTTCAAAAACAAGCTGATCAGTAGACTCAGACCAGTTAGGCTCTGGCGCCCGAATCCTAAATACACTAATTCCCTTGGTTACCCGTTGTGTGAGGCATGTGTGTTCCTAGCTTAGTGCCCAGCACACAGTATGTTCTCAACAAGTATCTCTTCTCTTCCATCATTAGGGATAGGACCATGATAACAACTAGTACAAGTGGTTGTTGAGTTCTTTCCAAATATTGTAAGAGGTGTTAAGTATATAATAGTTAAATGCAGAGGCCAAAGAAGGGCTGCATGTCATTCCAGCAGCCATACTCACCCCTCCCTGATGTTCAAGCCTTGACTGATCTGTTGTTCAGTAACTCTTACTGATCAGCCACTGTCAGTCTGGAGGGGACTTATTAGTCTTTTCGACTTCAGTAGCTTAAAAATAATCTCTTCCTCTTTAGTGGCAGGAGATGCCAAAGATAAAGACATCTCCTGGTTCTCCCCCAATGGAGAAAAGCTCACCCCAAACCAGCAGCGGATCTCAGTGGTGTGGAATGATGATTCCTCCTCCACCCTCACCATCTATAACGCCAACATCGACGACGCCGGCATTTACAAGTGTGTGGTTACAGGCGAGGATGGCAGTGAGTCAGAGGCCACCGTCAACGTGAAGATCTTTCGTAAGAGCCTCCTTCTTCTTCTGCATTCTCTGGCCTCTCCTTGCCAAGGAGACATGTGGGTAGTGGAAAGGTGGAAATGATGACAGAAGGACCAGCTGAGGGCCTAACCAGTCCCATTCTCTCTCCCTAAGTCTTTTCTGACCTTGGCCAACCCAGAACTCACAACCCTGGTTCACACTGGTCACAGCTACTCCCCCACAGGCGTTCATTCTCAAAATTCAAATTACATAGTTCCCAGAGGGCTATTACGGGTTTCTCTATCCCTTCCCCAAATGTTGGCTGACTGTTCTGCAATTTGGGCTCCTCTCCCTTCTTATTTCCCTCTCCCCTGCTGGTAATGGAGCCCAGGGCTCAGTGGGGTGGGGGATCATTATCTGAACACTCTCTGCCACTCAGAGCAGGCAGTTCCTATTGCCTCTGAAACCCCATCTGTAGGTGGCATCTCGTTACCTTGTTATTTATATCATGCATCCATCCCAGTGGTTGGAGTAATGGTGGGTGACAGCTAATGGAACAGTATTGATTGCACGGTATTTATTGCCATTAAATGTGCTTTTTTCCTGTTCTTTTCATCAGCATTCTGTCTGCCGTAGGAAAGTTGGGGTGGGACTGGGAGTAGCAGTTCGAGTGGGAGACAAGAAAAGGACTGATGATTCTTACTATTCGTTGTGGAATGGATGTTCCACCAGTTCATTCTACCTATAACCTGTGCTTCACTGGCATCATCCTGCATGACAAGGAACCCTTGGTGAAGATATTCCTTTCATTCTGTAGACCCTTTTCTGCACAAAATGTGATAAATTTAGCACTCAATGAGCAGATATTGGTTGCCAAGCATTGGTAACCTATGCTTGGGCCAGCTGCTCTGCCTGACGTCTCTGAGGGTGCCCCTCTTATACAACTGTACATCAGGATCGAGACTTGCCCAGGACTCAAGTCCAGGTACCATGGCTCTAGTGAAAGGGGTTCTTTGTGAGAGAAGCAGCTGTTTTCCCTCACTCTTCTGTTCATCTTCCAGAGAAGCTCATGTTCAAGAATGCGCCAACCCCACAGGAGTTCCGGGAGGGGGAAGATGCCGTGATTGTGTGTGATGTGGTCAGCTCCCTCCCACCAACCATCATCTGGAAACACAAAGGCCGAGATGTCATCCTGAAAAAAGATGGTGAGACCTGAATTTCCTGGCATCTGCCTTTTCCCCAGGCCACCAAGTTCCCTAGCTTTTTCACCTGTACTGAGGCATTCCAGTCCAAACTCCAATTCATGTGTGCCCGAACCCTCATGTGGTTTCTGGGTCCTGAATAGATGCATATCTGAAGTTGGTATACTTAGGTACCTGATTTTCTCTCCAGTACGAAAGACAAATTTCTAATAGACATTTACTCTTGGCTGTATTTCAAAGCCAGGGACGCATTTTCTTATTTGGGCTTAAAACCCCACCCTATGATACTGAAGTTAGGAAAAAGGAAAGAGACTCAGCCACCTGCCTGCAGATGCTCTCTGACTGATTCTTGGATGAACCTGCCTCTTATCTCTTCTAGTCCGATTCATAGTCCTGTCCAACAACTACCTGCAGATCCGGGGCATCAAGAAAACAGATGAGGGCACTTATCGCTGTGAGGGCAGAATCCTGGCACGGGGGGAGATCAACTTCAAGGACATTCAGGTCATTGTGAATGGTGAGGAGAGTCCGTTCTTCCTGATCTCTGCATTGCTACAACCTTGGTTCTCCAAAATCATTCTCTTTAACTTCCTCTTGGGTCTGTAAATTAAATCCTGTCCTGACTCAATCATCCGTCTGAGCTAAATCCCCTCCCCACCGTAACATCTAGATTTCTTTTTTTTTTTTTTTTTAATATACTTGCCTGTTGGATCTTCCTTCAACTACGAGGGATTTTAGTGCAGCAACTGAATGTCCTTCACCGTTCTGCAGCACTAAAAACTTTCCCCCTGCTTACCTATTAATCCTCATTGTCCTTGATGTTACCATAATTGTGAAGTTATTCCGCTGCTTAAATGTTCAAAGAAAGTATTAAGTCAACTCAGGCCTCAGAATAGTCAGAATCATGGTCCATAGGCTTGTTAATCTTAACTTGCAGTGTCAAATAAACACACCCATGGAATTGATCTGACATTTACAAGATGTTTACAGGAAATTATAATGTCAGTACTAAGAAAATAAGTAAATCAGGGTTGAATTGTTTTGACTATTGACACATATTTTTTTTGCCAAACTCTCCCCATCTCATTCCTTTGGTAAAAAACAGTTTTGTACAAGGTTGTTTATCACAGTCCCAGAGAAATGGCACTCTTTGTTATAGCTGATGCATTCGAATTGGTGTTAACCATTTAACCACTGGGAGCAGTAATGTCCAACTTTTTCCAGTACAAAGAGCTCCTTTTTAACATCAAGTTTCACTGAACCTGGTAGTTATTAAGTTTAGTATGCATTGACTGAGAAAATACATAATGAAGAATAGTGACTATAAATTGAATACCATCTTAACATGCATAAAATGTATTACTATAGCTTCTCAATTAATGAAAAACAAAAATGCATGTTTGTAGAACTGTCTATTCAGTTTGCAGAAGTTATTTAGTACATACATGAATTTCAATTCCTGACACTAACTCTGTAGCTGCACACGACGTTTGTCCCACAGGCTGAGAACTCCTGACCTGGAGTGGTGTCTCTTCTCCAGGCCATTGGGTTCTTCCAAATTTTCACAACCACCCCATGACACCCTTTTTTCCTTCAGTGCCACCTACCATCCAGGCCAGGCAGAATATTGTGAATGCCACCGCCAACCTCGGCCAGTCCGTCACCCTGGTGTGCGATGCCGAAGGCTTCCCAGAGCCCACCATGAGCTGGACAAAGTAAGAAACTGGCTCATACCTTTTATCATGGACTAGAGGAGAATGGGGCATCACAAAGTCTGCTCCATGTTAGTGTCTGCGTGGAATGGATGTGGGCTTCTTAGGAATATTAACCCCAGGAGAAGAATGGACTCTTTTCTATAAGATTCTCTTGCTTGTGCATTGATTATTCCTTCAATTTCAGCCTTGTGGGGGCAGAGTCAGAGCCAGAGGGTGTGGTCTTGGGAGCCCACTTTGAAACATTTGTGGGTACAGTTGCAGCCCTTGGATAGTCAGAGGATGGAATAGAGGAATAAGAGGTGTATGTGGACGTTCAACTTGGTGCCTTAACTTTTTGTGAAGACTGAGGAGTCTTTCCCATTGACTCAGTCTGCATTCTATGGAACCTAATTAAAAATAAACGTCTTATTTCTGTGGTCGAAATCATGCTACTTTGCATTTCTACATGCTCTAGGGATGGGGAACAGATAGAGCAAGAGGAAGACGATGAGAAGTACATCTTCAGCGACGATAGTTCCCAGCTGACCATCAAAAAGGTGGATAAGAACGACGAGGCTGAGTACATCTGCATTGCTGAGAACAAGGCTGGCGAGCAGGATGCGACCATCCACCTCAAAGTCTTTGGTAGGGGCAGTGGGGGCCCAGGTCACTGCTCTGCCACAATTCCCCTTCCTCTGCACATTCAGTCCATCAGTAAGACCCTGGCCACTGTCCCTCAGAACATAACCCAATGCAACCATTTCTTGCCAGTTCCACCACCTAGTCCAAGCCCTAGTCCAAGCCACCATCATCCTCACCTGAGCAGTGGGACGGTCTCATAGCTGGCCTCCCCGACTCTCCCTATTGGTCCACTTCATTCACTTCTGCTCACAGTAGTCAGAATGACCTAAGTACCACTCATCTGTTTGAAAGCCTCCAGTGGCTCCCTATGGCAACCAGAATAAAATTCAGACTCCCTGCAATGGCCTACAAGACCAGAGATGAACTAGCTCCTGCCTTCTTCTCCAGCCTCATCTTTCTTTCGCTTTGCTGCACATGCAAAGTTCTCCAACCACACAGGCCTTCTTCATGTCCCTCAGACATACCAAGCTTGTTCTTCATCTCAGGATCACTGCCCTAGGTTTCTCTTCTGCTTGGAATATCTTTCCCTCTGATCCACTCTGAGCTGCCTTCTTCTGATCCACCATTCAGATCTTAACTCAAACTCACCTTCTCAGCGGCGCCTTCCTTCACTGCCCTGGCTAATTCAACTCCCTCTGCACTGCGACCACCCCCACCCACCTCCACTCATCTCTCTCTCGTGACTCTTACTGTATCTTCTTTGCTGTACTTAACAGTACCTGAACAGATGTCATTTGCATATTTGTTTTGGGGATTGTCTGTCTCCTACCTCTACTAGTGTGTAAACTTCAAGATAGCATAACCCTGGCTGTCATACACGGCGTTATCCCTGTGACTCCAAACAGTGCCAGACTTGGCATAGGCCCTTGGTAACTTTAGTGGTCGATGGGCTGGCTGCTTTGCCTTGTTTGCCTCCTTCCCTGACCTGTGCAAAACAGTGTCATGGAAGAGCCCCCACATCCCTGCTCACTTCATCTTCATAAACTCAGGAAACTTCCATTCATTTCAGAACTGAAAAGCATTTTGACCTGATCTTGAAAAAAGAATTGGTTGCAGAGAAACGTTTAACCTAATGGCCCTCAAGTCTCTCCGCGTGTCTGTTTAGAAAACACAGATAAACTGGTCTACTGTAGACAGCACTGGGGAAGTGCCAGTCTGAGGCGCAGCTCTGGTGCATGGAGCCCCCAGGTCATTAAAATGTGCACCTGGGAATCAGGGTTGGGACCTGCTTATCCAGCCTGATAAGGAGAACTGTTCATAAACACAGACCTTTGAAAATCAAGACTTTATATGCAAATGTCCTGCTAGTTATTCAGTAGTAAACAGCTGGGTTTAGAAACAGGCTATCAGTTAGGTTCAAGTTAACCGTACGTATTTGAGAGAGAAAGCTAAACTTCATGAAAAATATTCTTGAAAGTCTTTTCTTGAATTCAGACTGATCTTCCCCAATCACTATGGTTTTAGTAAGTTTTTCCATATTGTAGAAAAAGATAGATGCATTTGTTAATTAATCCCTTCATTTAATAAATACGTATGGATCACCATTGTTGCTGGACAGAGGGGCTACAGAGATGAATAGGATATGATCCCTTGACCCTGGGAAGCACAAAGAGGGAGATAAATGGATAAACATAAATGTTATAATAGTGTCAGTCAGCAACATTTGAGTGACTGCTGTGGACTCAGTCATTGCCAAGTTTACAAGATGAATAACATGGACTCTGTTCTCATCAGTAGATTCACAAGCTAATGTAGATAGTCAACGCTGGAATTTGAAATGACAACACATTATTATGGCTGCAAAATAGCAATATGCACAGTGTTTTATAGGAAACAAGTTCTCTGGTCCTGTGTGATGTAAGTTAGAGAAGTCATTAAAATGTACTATTTCATAAGTAGGAATTACCCAGCTGAAGGAGTGGATGAGAATTTTAGGCAGCCTGGGCACAGGCACAGAGGCAGGAAAAGCACAGGCTATGCTGAATGGGAGCTTCTTGTGGACAGGGGCTGTGTCTGTTTTACTCACAGATAGATCCCCAGCACCCACATGCATTAGGCACTAGATTGAATAAATGAAGGAACTGTCATTAGTTCTATATGATGAAGCAAACATACATATGTGGCAGGGAGATAAGCCTGGAAACACGATCATCACCTGTCTCTAGGAAATTATTTTAGACTTTAACTCCATAAAGTAGTAATAATAATAATATCAAACACAAGCAGAACACCTATAATGTGCCAAGCATTCTGTGAAGTGCTATCTGTAAGTTAACTCTTTTAATCCTCATCACGCCCCTATGATGTAGATTTTATTATTATCCCCATTTTACAAAGGAGGAACCTGATCACAGAGGGATGAGGTGCCTCTGGATTCAAACCGAGGCAGGTGGCTCCTAAGTCCCTTCTCTAATCTAACAATGATGGTTGTTAATTCCAGGAAACCCAACAGGACACAAATTGTATCTGAATTATGTGGGAGTGTCTGGCAATACTAGAATCAGTGCACTCTGCCTGCATCACCAGGTAGCTCATGGTTTCTCTGAAAAGCAACTCAGCCCTGACTTGGCTGGGCATGAACAGATCTCGGCTTCTCTTCCAGACCTCTCTGGTGGTGATGGCTGCCCCGGAGTAGTGAGTGCAGGGCCATGTGGGACCGTGGTAGAGGGAAGAGAGTGGGTCAGGTCGACGGGAGGAGGTCAAAAGGCAGAAACTGCCAAGACAAGATTTGTCTTCCCACCCACACCTTGGACACATACACCCCTCTTCATCACAAACACACACACACACACACACACACACACACACACACACACACACACATATTTCACAATTTCTTTCCCGAAACTGCAGCTGGAAGAATAGGGAGCATAGTGGGGCAAACAGAGAAGAGGTGGCCAGGCTCCTGAAGAGACAGGGCAGGAATCATAGATTTGTAGAGACTGAGTCCACACAGAATGGGAATCCTCCCCTGTCATAGTCTGCGGAGCGTTCATGCAGCCTCCCTGAAGGAACCTGGTGCCTCTTCTCCACCACCTTTTCCCATCCATCTTCCCTTCTCATCCTCCTTTCTCTCCTCCTCCACTGGCCTTCCCATTGGTTGAGGAAACTGATATAGGGTTAGGGAGCCACCTGGGGAGGGACCAGCTGATTAGGGCTCCTTCTCCTTCCACTCTTTTATTTCCTTTCCAGCCCCTTCCAACTTGCCATTGTGGCCCATCACTGGGGGAGAAATGGGACAGGTTCTGCAAGTGGGAGTAGAGTCTACAGCAGTGAGGTAGAAAAGGGAGGAAACCTGTAGCTTAGATAGTAAAGAAAAGCCCAGAAGTCCTGTGGCCTCAAGAAGGAATGTCCATCAGTATGTATGGGACATATCTCAATTAGAGACTTTATGACATCATTTGTATCTAAGTGGCATCATTCTTTCCTCAGAAAAAGACATGTTCTAGCACATGTTGCCTTAGTTATTAGCTAGATGCTCCTTTTACTAAGTAGATGCATCCTATCATCCTTTAAATTTGGCAGTGAATTCTCATTACTGTTGTCCCTACACGTGCCCCTGAAGAAGTTTTGTCTCTATTGATTCTTGTGATGCTCATGTACATGCTCTTGAGGTCTCATGCTGCTGTGGCTGAGGAAAGTTCTCCAGTGGCCAGGAGCCCTGTGTCTCAAGCAGCCCCTGAGGGTTACAGCTAAGGACAAGCAGTGGCCTGAAAGAAGGTGCATCTGGTCATGCCCCATAGCATAGTGTCCAACCTCTTTGTTCAGGGATGCAGGGGCCTCGGGGCTCTTCTTTGGCTAGGGTTGTAGGAGCATGGACTGGAGTTGGAGTAGACAAGGCTGCCTCTTAGTGGCAAGCATTCTTGGAAAACTCACAGGAGGAAATATGGGGAAAGGTGCAGTGGAACAGTCTGAGGCACTAAGGCCCATGGAGGCAGGTGGAGAATAGAACAGGGATCCAAAAGCCAAGAACTCATAAGAGAGGTTAATTAATAGAGGGCAGGGGGTGTAGGAAGATGAAACCCAGAGAGATCCCTCTAGATGCTGGAAGGCAGAGGGAGGGAATCTTTTCAGTAGGGTGACCCAGCATCTGTCCCTGTTTGCCTACTAATGCCCTTTGTCCTGGTGTAATTATTTAGAGCCTCTCATGTCACTCTCAAGAGAGTCCCAATTTAGACAATAAATTATGCATATCACTGTCTTGTTCTAAGGTGGCATCTGAGCTTTCTGAGTTAGTTCTGACCGTACTGCTTCTAGAGTAATAGAGAATTAAATTATCAGTGGGAAGCTTCCCTTCCTTCCCACAGCACTCTGTAGACTATACAAAATTAGCCATAATCATGTTTTAATAAGAATATGGTTTGCCTTTTTTCTAAGGAGTCACACAATGCACCTTCTGTAGCCATCTGGGAAATGGAGCCTCCAAGGCCAAATATTAATAGATGGCAACTGACCCTTGCCTGTCTTCTGTTAACCTTCGGCTGCCATGACAAAGTACCGCAGGTCAGGAGAAGGTCAGCAAAACGCTGTCCAGATCTCAGAGTCTGACAAGATTTTAAGGGGCCCCAAATTCAGCCTTCCTGGGATTGTCTCCAGACCTCAAAACAACTGTTGAGTTTAGCGAATTCAGTTGTATGGCCACATTTTTTTTAAATTTTTTATTCTGTGACTTTTACAATATAGAGATTCAGCTCTTACTTTACCTTTCTTTTATTTTATTAACCTTTTTGTTTTTCATGTTTATTTTACCTTTATTTTACTTTGCCCTCTAAAACTTCCCTTTCAATGGCACTTGGCACATATTCCTTCCAATACGAGTTGTAATATTCTCAAAAATCGTACTTATTAAGGAAAACACAATAGGGAAACCTATGAGGTTTAACCTCATTCATGTGGACTCCATCAACTGAAATCTATGAACATTTGGCCAGATTGGATTGAGATGTGCCTATGTGCTATCCATCAAAAAAGGATTTGCTAAACAGGCTGTCAGTATGCATTACCTTTAGGCAAATATTTGAACTATATGGATGATTTTATGTAGAAGCAGGCATTTGTAACAAAAGTATATAGTTCTATTATTGTTTTCTGTTTATTAAAACAGCATCAAAGACCTCAACATGGAGAAGATATATAGGCAGTTGTTTATTTGCCTACTTAGGGTTACTGTATGAATTTGAATATAAAGCACATGTAGTCTTTCAAAAACTAGCTATCATTCTCTTGGGGTTTTTTGGTTCATTTGTTTGTTTCCCTAGCCTGACCTTTTCCTATATTCATGAAATAAGTCACATTTGTGCAGTGTTATCTTTTCTCTTCCACACAAAGTTCAGCAATTTCAGAGCATAATTGTTTTAAATTGGGAAAATTCAATTTTCTCTAATGTTTTAACATTTAACTTAGCTTTGGAATGCTTGTGTTTTCTTGCATTACCCAAAACATTTGGAAAATGAACTCATCTCAACTCATCTCCTTCCCATCCTGAGCCCACCCCAGAGCCCCCATCCAGTTCCTTGCCTGATTTCTTCATTTGAGTTAATGCTAACACCCTTCTCCCAGTCGTTGAGACTCCAAGTCACCTGGACTCCTTCTTATTGCTTCTTTTGGTTCTTCTCACCCCTCCTTGCCCTCTGTTCAGTTGCCACTTATTGAACCTTCCTCCAGCATCTGTCTCAAAGCTTCTCTTTGCTGTTTCCCCTCAAACAACCTTGTTCAGAATCCAACATTACCGCACATCTGGGTCATTGCCAGGGCTTCCAAACTGGTTTTCCCACTTCAAAGTGTTCTCTAGTCCAATGCTTCCTGAAATGTCCCTAGATTAACCTTCTTGAAATACAAATGCTTTTGTGCCCCTGACTAAATGCTGTCTGTGGGCCTCCACCAGGCACCAGGTAAAATTCCAGCCATCCAGCCTCACCTTCCTGTGCCTCATGCCACACTGTTCTCTTCCCAGCCATCTCTTCATATGTTTTTGCTTCTTTGCTTTTATTCAGTCAGTTTCCTACACTTCAAATGACTCCATCTCCACCCTAGAGTTCCACCTCCTGAAAATCTCATGGTCCAGCCCCAAAGCCGTTTCCTCTCGAAGGCTCCATCCAGGGAGCGATCTTCCGCCATGTCCTGCCTCCTGCATTCCTTGCCCTTATCACTTTTACTCTATAGGATATTTCTGATTATTATGGTTTCCGTGTTGTCACATGCCTACATCATTGTAAGCCTTGGAGAGTCAGGTCTGCATCTCCTAAAACACCTAGACTAGGGTCTTGTACTTAGCAGACAGCTAACCTTTGTTGGATAGGTGCATGCCATCATTTAAACCCAGAAAGCTCAATAATTAGATAAACTCAGAGAAATGTTTTGTCTTTTCAGCAAAACCCAAAATCACATATGTAGAGAACCAGACTGCCATGGAATTAGAGGAGCAGGTCACTCTTACCTGTGAAGCCTCCGGAGACCCCATTCCCTCCATCACCTGGAGGACTTCTACCCGGAACATCAGCAGCGAAGAAAAGGTATCATGCTCCCCAGGAGTTTCAGGGCCTTGGAATGCAGACTCAAAGCAGATTGAGTCTGCTCATGCCCAGTTCTCTTTGGGGAGCTGGGAGATGGGTTATGGTCACCAGAGGCCACAGCCAGATCCCGGGGCCTCCCTCCCCAACCCTGCAGGACATGGCCTGCTCATCATCCCCTTGTAATGGAATAGGCACAATTCCTTGGATAGGTTGGTGGGGGCGTGATGTATGGGCATGCTCAAGTTAGATGTTCTGGGGAGGAGGCAATGGTGATTGTCAATCCCAGAGTTATGGAGCTGTGAGGGAACAAAGAGAAGGCAATATCCTGGTCCACCAGGTGACATTGTCATCATATCAAGGGCACCCTAGGAAAGATCTCCCAGAAATAACCAGGCTCAAAATGAACCTATTAATTCTTTTTCTTGTGTTTGTATACTCATGCTATATATGCACTTATGCACAAATGCCTGGTTGCCATTGTGTCTGCCTGTATTCTTGGTCACATTTGGATACCATTTTGTTCTAAAGGCAAAAATATTTAGCAGTTTCTAAATGAGGATTACATCCTGGTTTTTCAATATATTCATGGAGGGTTTAAGAACATTGTAGCAACCTTCCTGGCAAATTAAAATGGCGGGAAAGATTGAGCTTTAAAGTCCGTGGATTTGTAGGCCACCAGAAAGCTATCTTTATTGTTGACAATATATAAAAACTGAGGTGACCCCACATCATACAGCCCTTGATTATTGAGTGGGCCAAAAGTAGGAGGAAAAAGCTTCATTTTAATGCAACTTAAACCGTCTTATGGTACTTCTCCAATCTCATCTCGTATATCCTGTAGTAATGGGCTTTGTTTTAGTTAGCCCAAGTTTTGTCACCTAGTCAGGAATAATGGCCTTAGCCTTATGGAACATTTGTAATGGATTGCTTATTGATCAGAATGTCAAAAATGATAGATTTTCACTCTTCTGCCTGCCTAAAGGAAATCTCTAGAGAGAGTAAACTCAAATAAAGCCCGAAAGGATAGTGTGAAATTCCAGAGTTAAATTTGGGATTTGCATTTGAGGAGCTGATTTCTGTCCCACTAATAGAAAACAAAACTGCATCAAATGGAACAGAAATTGCTCTTCCAAATAACCTATTATTTTTTGCAACTTTTACCTGCAGAGTTAAATTCACCTTAACAAAAAGTCAACTGAGGAACTGCTAAATATTTTTGAAACCCACATATGCTGTTTGAAACTGTGAAAACCAGCTAGATTAAGAGATGTGGTGTTTACTTGGATACTTTCTTTATCAACATTAGAATTAAACCCTTAGCTAAGATTTCAGCCCCACTCATGTGTGTTATGTGGATTTAATGTACATTTCAGGGCTTAAACCACAAGGCTGCTGCTTGGCAGATCTTTCTACATCAGCTTAAAAGTAGATTTTTGTCCAGAGTGACCCAGTGTATATCTTTGACCTACAGTGAAGGACAGAAATAATATCTATCTCAGATGAATGATGCTTTTGAATTCTATATCTTTTCTAGGAATAGCTCAACAGCCAAGCTAGACCAGAAAGGTTATTAAGATTTGTGCCTACTGAGGTTCTTTAATAGGTTGGCACTTCTGGCTTGTAGCTATGATTTCATTTTTTTTTTTTTTTTTTTTTTGAGACGGAGTCTCGCTGTCGCCCAGGCTGGAGTGCAGTGGCGCGATCTCGGCTCACTGCAGGCTCCGCCCCCTGGGGTTCCCGCCATTCTCCTGCCTCAGCCTCCCGAGTAGCTGGGACTACAGGCGCCCGCCACCTCGCCCGGCTAATTTTTTTTTGTATTTTTAGTAGAGACGGGGTTTCACCGTGTTAGCCAGGATGGTCTCGATCTCCTGACCTCGTGATCCGCCCGCCTCGGCCTCCCAAAGTGCTGGGATTACAGGCGTGAGCCACCGCGCCCGGCCGATTTCATTTTTATAGAATGAGAATAATAGCCAGGAACTAAAACACATTCATACTTGCTAAATATGGAGACAGGTGTCCAGCAGAGACTGTCTCAAGCCTAGTAGTGACTACTTTTTATATAATTCTGCTATCACTATAGATCATTTGTCTTAATCTTAGATCATTATTTCAGCCCAGCTACATTGGTTGTATTGTATTTCTTTTACTTGCCTTCAAGTTCACTTTATTGGAACATGAGTGAATCGGTATTAAAACAAGTCCTCCAAATCAGCTGGTGATGTGACACCAGACTGACATATTTGCCTAAGTGAAACCCTATATAAGAAAATTTGCCATTTCTGTTAATTATATATTGACGTCAAAGAGGCGTATTGTCCATCTTACACTGTGGATAGCTAATAATTAAGAAAACAAATATAGGCTGTTCATGAACTGGTTGGAGTACAGAAAATAAATTTCACTTTTACTTTGGCAGCCTCTCCTCATGTTCTCCTCCATCCGAAGTTGCTTCTATATAATTAGGAATCAAGATTACTAGCATCACTGTAATTGTAGGAGTGGAAAACAACCATTTTCTTTTTAAAATCAGGGTGATATGCTAAGCAAACAAGAATAGATGATTGTATCTAATTGGTCAGGTAAAGAATCCTCCTGAGATTTAGATCACATAAAATGCTAAAATCATAGATGTTCGGAAGGCACCTTTTGAGGTCATCCAGTCTCACCTGGCACCCTGGCCTAGCATCCTTGCCAGGAAGCCAGTCCGTCCCTGTCTGAAGCATGATGGTGTCAGTCCTCTGCAGGGGAGTTGGCCAATGCTGAAGAGCAGAAAGAGCTACTTCCTTGCCCCTTCCTCTACTCAGTCCTCCTAGCCTCTGCCACTCAGTCCTTTGCATGAGAGACATTAAAAACTCTCCGACTTTCCTCCAGTCCACTCCTCTTACCTTGAACATACCAGTTATTTTCACTATTTCTCATATGGCATAGTTTCCATACCTTTTATCTTTCTGGTTGTCTTATACGAGATAGTTTCAGTTCACTAGTGCTCCCCTAAAATTTTGCTGTGCTCAGTGTAATTAATGCAGACTTCAGGAGGGCTACTGCCTCTTTGATCTGGATGCCATCATGCAGAAAAAGGCACATTAGCTCTTAGCAGTCTCCTTATTCTGTTGCCTCATATTGAGCTTGTGGTCAACTAAAATGCTCAGGTCTTTTTTACATGATCCCCATTTAAGCCACATATCCCCTATCCTGTTCTTATGCAATTGATTGGTTAACCGATATTGCAGAATTTTATATTTATTTATGTTAAAAATTGCATTTTGTTTGTTGCAGCTCAGTGCTTCTCAACAGGGTCATGGTGGCAATTTGGGAAGAGGCTTCCTTCACTGGGACTGTACTATGCATTGCAAGAAACTTATCATCTCTAGTCCCCTTCCTGTTAAATGCCAGTAGCCACCTCTAATTGTTACTAAAAATATGACACATACAAACACCCTGTGGCTTGAGAATGACTGTTTGAGTCCATCTTTCTAACCAGTCAGGACTGACTTTCATTAGAAATTCACCTTAGAAGTCTATGTGTCCAGGGCACTTCAACCCATGTGTATATTAAAAGTAAAGTAGTAGAGTAGTCAGTGGAGATCCCAGCCTAAGCATAGAGCCCAAGAGCAGGCAGTCCAGTAGCCTTCCCAATGCAGTCGTCATCTAACATTTGTATTAGCTGTTGCTTCCAACCTTGTATGAACACTTATTTGCAATATCTTTGTCCAAGTCACTGATAGAAATGTTGACTAGAACAAGGTCAAGTACAAAGCCCTTAGACTGCCACAATGGCTTCCTTCTGGCTCGGTGGCTCAGAAGGTAGGCCACTTGATGCCACGGTGCCACAGTGCTCTCTCATGGTTTGTATGACTTTAGTGGAAGGTTCAATGATTCCTTTAACAAAGTTAGTTACAATATTAGCAAGTTAAAGCAGTTTTGTGTTTTGCTTCACTGCTGAGTTTAGTCTAGTATTAGTCTTCTTAAGGGAAGAGGTGGAAAAAAGGCATTCAACCATAGACATATAGTTACTAACTTTCTAATGGAATACCAATGTTCTTGTTCATTATAAAAGAAGGGGGGAGATAAGCAAAAACAAGTACAATGAGCGTGAATGTCACACTCTACCTTTGATCATGTCTCTGTATTGAGTCTAGTTACTCATTTGAGAATGACCATTACCAATCTGTTAAGCTTCAGCTAGTTGAGTTGGTTTAGCTCGACAACTGATAATAGCTAGGGTACCTAATTGTTTGGATCATCGAGATCATTAAGGTAGATCAGCTGTCCAAAAGTTGATGCATTTCCTAGTAGTTACTATTACATTGACCAAAAAAATTGACCATCATAATGGGTCAATTTGATCATCTGTATGAAAGTCATTGTGATACCTCAGAAAGCTTCTGCTTCCATGTTATTTCACTACTCATCCTGCCCAGATTCCTTTTAAATATTGCCAGGTGTTTGAGTGAGTGGTGCTAAATTCCAGGTTTCATTTACTTACTGACTGAGACCCGTGGATGATGATTTACGTACTCTATCCCTGGCAGAAAAAATCCATCATATGCCTCTTTGAACATCTCTATGCCTTTGAAATGACTGACAAAGGCCTATGAAGCCTTATTAAGGAAAGGAGAGCAGTGAAGAATTGAGATCAGAAGAGATAGGAAAAATGAAAAGCATTCTGTGAACCTTGAATCTTAGGCTGACAGAATATCCCACAAGTAAGAGAGAACTTTTGAAGTTCTGGATTCTTTGGAAGCTGGAGTTTCCTTTTCACGAGAAAAAAATTCCTCATTCAGTACAAACCCAGGGCCCGCTTTTAAACACTGGAAAAGATGACTGCATTAAGCAATCAGTCTGGTTTATCCAGCGTGTGGGCACATGAATAATGGAATACCTAAGAAAACTATAGAAATGCTTCACTTTATTTTATATATGTGTTCCTGCAGACTTGTGTGTAAGACAATAAAATATGAATATCAAAACAACCTAGAACAATTTTTGGAGGATTACTAATCACACTCTGATTTATTTCATAAGTGTGTACATTTGCATATCAGGTTGTCCTAATGTGGGTCACACATTCACCAAATTGTTAGGGCCGAGATATTTCCTATCTTTCCACCAGGCACAAAAGTAGAAGGTTATGTTACTGGAAGCTTTGTGTTACTAGCAACTACTTATTCTAAAAGCCACAGAACCATAGTGATTTGGGAGAGACACAAGGATAATCAGATTTGAAAAAACATACAACTCAATGTGATAGAGTCTCTCAAAAGAAAGATCTTGATTCCTGCAGCCCTGGCATGTAACCGACAAGCTTCTAAGTGATGTGGAATTGGCAAGCACATTTGACGTGTTGGCCCACCGTTACTTTGGTCTCTGCATGTTCCTCTGTTCTCACCTTCTTCTTCATTCCCACATCATGTGACATAACTCGATATTTCCATCTCATTTCTCACAAAAGTTCCTTGCATTTAGTGGACTCTTACTAAATGTTTGCTAACTTATTTGCATTCCCTGGGTTGCGTTGCTATGATTCTGGCATCTTTTCTATCCTTTTTCCATCTGAACATCAGAGACAATCGGGCAGTCTTGCCAGGTAATAAAAAGAACAATGCAGCTATCATGTCTTTGAATCCTAGTATGAAAAACAGATAAACTGTAAGGAGAATAGATTCCCAAGTGCTGGAGAAATAAAAAAATCTAGATGTGGGTGGAAAATCCCTCTAACCTCTGTGTCCCTGGGTTGGCTTGCAAATGCCAACTTGTGAATGGAATGCCATGTTTGATGGAGATGGTACATGCTGGAGTCCACATACCATCTGTGCATTCTCTGCTGTTAAGGACTGGAGCCCTCCCTCAACCACTTCCATTTGGTATCCTCAAAGCTTCCTGACTCCTGGTCTCAAGGACTTCATACTTCTCATTCCTAGTGTACCTCTCTGCTCCTTGCTTTGTTCCTTTTTGGCAATAAAAATTTGATTTTAACAGAATGCATGCAAAGAGTTGTAAAATGCATGAGCATTAAATGGCATTAGTATATCTATGATAAGCTGCCTTATAAAATCCAAAGAAGGAGACCTATTCTCTCTCTCTCTCTCTCTTTTTTTTTTTTTTTTTTTTTTTGAGACAGAGTCTCACTCTGTTGCCCAGGCTGGAGTGCAGTGGTGCGATCTCGCTCACTGCAAGCTCTGCCTTCCGGGTTCACGCCATTCTCCTGCCCCAGCCTCCCGAATAGCTGGGACTACAGGCGCCTGCCACCACGCCCAGCTAATTTTGTGTATTTTTTTTAGTAGAGATGGGGTTTCACCGTGTTGGCCAGCATGGTCTCAATCTCCTGACCTCGTGATCTGCCTGCCTCGGCCTCCCAAAGTGCTGGGATTACAGGCATGAGCAACCGCACCCGGCCAGAGGAGACCTACTCTCTTAAGTGTCTCTAGATAATGTGGTTAGAACTAGTCATGTCACCAAATACTATGAGCAATATTTAAGGTATTTTGGAACAAGAGCAGTCTGGTCCTACTGGTATTCATATCTAGGTATACCAAAGATTAGGAAAACCTGAACCTTTTGAATTATACATTTTAATGTGCCTAAGGGGGAAAAAAAGCTGGACATAAGCTAAATCCTAAATTAAATTGTGTAATAAACACACCATTGAAAGTGGGCCTTGGAAAAAGTTCTGAATTAAAGAAAAGCTGCATGTGCACGGAATGCAGTGTGATACATTCTCTAAAGCAACATGTTGTAAAATTTTACTGCTTTCTTGTTGTGTTTTATATCTTGTTTTCTCCAGGCTTCGTGGACTCGACCAGAGAAGCAAGAGGTATAGCTTACCTGACCACTAGCCAGTCTTTAGTTTTGAAAGCATTACAGTTTAACTCACCATTGCAGTTTAATAACCAGACATGCTAAACTAATTAGTAATTTAGCTAAAGAATAGGTCGATAGTGGTAGACATTACTTAGCAATAGTATCATTTTAGGATGAGCAAGCAAGCTGTGTTGGGAGTGGATGAACAAATCCATATTATTTCCTAAAACTGGATCTTATTCTCTTGCTGGTGCTGGTAAAATCACATCCAGGTAATTACACCAATAGAAATAAATTGCCCCCAATTCCCAGGCCAGGCATTTTGAAATGGTGAAAGTTTTTTGACTCACATGGTTGATGTGGCTCTGGACCATAAAGTCACAGAGTTAGTGATCTAAAAACCCACTCCTCCCTTTCCTTTCCAGCTCAACTCATCTTGTTGCTCACTTATTTTATAATGATCAGTCTTGGTAAATTATCACATCACGTTTCATCTCAAAAGCAATGCAAATGACATCTCTCGTTGGTTTTCCCAAATTGCTAAACGTATCTCTGTTACTTTTATAGAGCATTAAATTTATGAGATTAGAATGATGTGGTACAAATGGTTTTATGTTTTTTAAAGTCAGTAGCATTTAACCTTTGAAATTTCTCTGACTCATTGCTTCAGTTTGGATAATGTGGGACTTAGTTTGAAAACTGAAGTTAAGTATTAATCTTTAGGCTTTGATTGCCACATCTCAAGACCCTACTTATGATCATGACTATAATTTTTTACCCGATTTATATGAAGTAACATATAGTGAAAATGAAACCAGTGGACTTCAGATGAGATTCAAGGATCTAATCTCTAAGGACTTTTTTAAAGTTGCCTTTGCCTTTTATCCAGATGGGGCTTTGATCGTGTAATGCTATAAATGCAGAACATCATGATCCTATAGATTCTGTATTTTAATTTGGTAAATCTATCCCTTAGTCTTTCAGAAATGATAATTATTCAGAACGTATAACTCAAGTGTTCAGGTCAAGGCTATACATATTTATATGCTGTTTAATATTTAAAAGTTGACTGCCTGTCCCCAGGCACTGATCTTAGTTTCTGCACATGAACAGGCTGCCATTGTCAAATTCAGTTCATTATAAACTTCCTGTGTATAAGACTGTCCTCCCTGTCATTGGGATGACTGTTAAGTGCACAGCCTCACTGAGAGGCTTCCCGCCTGTGGCACAGGAATCACTTAGTGCTGTCACAGGTTGGGTGCTTTATTGTCCAAAAGTCATGGACCCACTGGGATTGGGGAAGAGAGAGAAGGGTTAATTATCAGCCACTCTTAAGCAGCTACAGATCTCATTCTGCTTGGCCTCATACAACTTTCCTTGTCATTCTCATTTAGAGCTGGTTGAGGAGGAGCTGAGATTTATCAGGGAGCATTAAGGAGATGTTAAGAGAATTATTATTGTAAGTGGAAGTAATAGGTTTACTCCCATGAAAGCAGACACCTCACTCTGTTTTTCAGAAGTGTCCTTATCATGAGTGTCTTACTTTGGACGTAATTGACTTTCAAGTGAATGCTGCCCCTAGGGCTCAGAAGTTCCATTCTCTCCTGTTTGTCTCATTTGGAGATGAAGACCATAAGTCCAGATGAGTGCAAAAGAAGGCTCAGGTTATGGCCAGTTTCATTTTGTAAGTTCTAAAAGCATTAGCACTTTTACCTGGAAGGAGGGAGACAAAAACATTTTGATGAGAAGAATAATTATCATTAACCTTCATATTTTTGGGGAAAAAAGGAGTTTTCTTGCCATCAATATCTTTTCATACTTGCCCAGAGCTCATCTCCTCCTTCTGCTGCAGCCTGGGTGGTCAGCATGACTTTTTGTCTGGATGGCTGGTAGGTGGCACACCCTGAAGTTGTGCAGGAGCCATAGTAAAAGCATTTCAGGGGAAGATAGTCTAATGACACTGGAGTCTATCTGTGTATCCTCAAAGGGAGAACTGGGCATCTGGCAGATAATTCCATCATCAAATCTGTAGTGAGCCTACTGCAAAATAAGAATTCTCTTTAGAAGGCTGGTCTGTGGACATCATTAAACAGGAGAAATTTCCACATGGAGAAATTTCCTGAAAGAAACTAGATAGGAATTAAAAAAAAAAAGTATGGCTGTTCACGCAACTGTTTTCTAAGCTTCCCTTCAACCATTTCTAGACTATTCTGAGTAAAGACTTGGAATATCCCCTGCTTTGTTGTCGTTAAGGTCCTGTTCTTGCGTACATTCATTTCTCTGCCTCTTTTGTTACAACATCTCTTCCTTATGGAAATGTTCTCTTGACTTCCAGAAGAGTATTGTTCAATTTCCAAGTTTGTGTGTGGTGGCCCCAGGACAAGTCTGGTCTGTGTCACAAAGAATTTTAGTTCAGTTGCTGGTTGATATCACAGAGATCACCAGAAAGGCCAGGGGTTGTCCTTAAGTTCCCTCTGCCTGCAGTCCTGCTTTGTTTTGGACAAGTAGGAGTGACAAGCAGGTCAGCACAGCCCTTTAGAGATACCTGCAGGGATGGCCCCATGCTCTTGAGGCCACTAGTCTAGACTCACGGGTAAAGACTTGTGTATGATGTATGAAAATAGCCCTGGAGGTAGGGGCGGTTCCAAGATGGCCGAATAAGAACAGCTCCAGTCCACAGCTCCCAGCATGAGCGACGCAGAAGACGGATGATTTCTGCATTTCCAACTGAGGTACCGGGTTCATCTCACTGGGGACTGTCGGACAGTGGGTTCAGGACAGTGGGTGCAGCGCACCGAGCGTGAGCCGAAGCAGGGCGAGGCATCACCTCACCTGGGAAGCACAAGGGGTCAGGGAATTCCCTTTTCTAGCCAAGGAAAGGGGTGACAGACAGCATCTGAAAAATTGGGTCATTCCCACCCTAATACTACACTTTTCCGATGGTCTTAGCAAACGGCACACCAGGAGATTATATCCCGCGCATGGCTCAGAGGGTCCTACGCCCACGGAGCCTCGCTCATTGCTAGCACAGCAGTCTGAGATCAAACTGCAAGGCGGCAGCAAGGCTGGGGGAGGGGCGCCCGCCATTGCTGAGACTTCAGTAGGTAAACAAAGCAGCCAGGAAGCTCGAACTGGGTGGAGCCCACCACAGCTCAAGGAGGCCTGCCTGCCTCTTGTAGACTCCACCTCTGGCAGCAGGGCATAGCCAAACAAAAGGCAGCAGAAACCTCTGCAGACTTAAATGTCCCTGTCTGACAGATTGGAAGACAGCAGTGGTTCTCCCAGCATGCAGCTTGAGATCCGAGAACGGACAGACTGCCTCCTCAAGTGGGTCCCTGACCCCCGAGTAGCCTAACTGGGAGGCACCCCCCAGTAGGGGCAGACTGACACCTCACACGGCCAGGTACCCCTCTGAGACAAAATTTCCAGAGGAACGATCAGACAGCAGCATTTGCTGTTCACCAATATTCGCTGTTCTGCAGCCTCCGCTGCTGATACCCAGGCAAACAGGGTCTGGAGTTGAGCTCTGGCAAACTCCGACAGACCTGCAGCTGAGGGTCCTGACTGTTAGAAGGAAAACTAACAAACAGAAAGAACATCCACACCAAAACCCCATCTGCATGTCACCATCATCAAAGACCAAAGGTAGATAAAACCACAAAGATGGGGAAAAAACAGAACAGAAAAACTGAAAATTCTAAAAATCAGAGAACCTCTTCTTCTCCAAAGGAACGCAGCTCCTCACCAGCAGCGGAACAAAGCTGGATGGAGAATGACTTTGATGAGTTGAGAGAAGAAGGCTTCAGACGATCAAACTTCTCCGAGCTAAAGGAGGAAGTTCGAACCCATGGCAAAGAAGTCAAAAACCTTGAAAAAAGATTAGACAAATGGCTAACTAGAATAACTAATACACAGAAGTCCTTAAAGGACCTGATGGAGCTGAAAACCACGGCACGAGAACTACATGATGAATGCACAAGCCTCACTAACCAATTCGATCAACTGGAAGAAAGGGTATCTTGATGGAAGATCAAATGAATGAAATGAAGTGAGAAGAGAAGTTTAGAGAAAAAAGAATAAAAAGAAACAAACAAACCCTCCAAGAAATATGGGACTATGTGAAAAGACCAAATCTACATCTGATTGGTGTACCTGAAAGTGACGGGGAGAATGGAACCAAGTTGGAAAACACTCTGCAGGAAATTATGCAGGAGAACTTCCCCAATCCAGCAAGGCAGGCTAACATTCAAATTCAGGAAATACAGAGAAGTCCACAAAGATACTCCTTGAGAAGGACAACTCCAAGACACTTAATTGTCAGATTCACCAAAGTGGAAATGAAGGAAAAAATGTTAAGGGCAGCCAGAGACAAAGGTCGGGTTACCCACAAAGGGAAGCCCATCAGACTAATAGCTGATCGCTCGGCAGAAATTCTACAAGCCAGAAGAGAGTGGGGGCCAATATTCAACATTCTTAAAGAAAAGAATTTTCAACACAGAATTTCATATCCAGCCAAACTAAGCCTCATAAGTGAAGGAGAAATAAAATCCTTTACAGACAAGCAAATGCTGAGAGATTTTGTCACCACCAGGCCTGCCCTACAAGAGCTCCTGAAGGAAGCACTAAACATGGAAAGGAACAACTGGTACCAGCCACTGCAAAAACATGCCAAATCGTAAAGACCATCAAGGTTAGGAAGAAACTGCATCAACTAACGAGCAAAATAACCAGCTAACATCTCAATGACAGGATCAAATTCACACATAACAATATAAACCTTAAATGTAAATGGGCTAAATACTCCAATTAAAAGACACAGACTGGCAAGTTGGATAAAGAGTCAAGACCCATCAGTGTGCTGTATTCAGGAAACCCTTCTCACGTGCAGAGACACACAGGCTCAAAATAAAGGGATGGAGGAAGATCTACCAAGCAAATGGAAAACAAAACAAGGCAGGGGTTGCAACCCTAGTCTCTGATAAAACAGACTTTAAACCAACAAAGATCAAAAGAGACAAAGAAGGCCATTACATAATGGTAAAGGGATCAATTCAACAAGAAGAGCTAACTAACCTAAATATATATGCACCCAGTACAGGAGCACCCGGATTCATAAAGGAAGTCCTTAGAGGCCTACGAAGAGGCTTAGACTCCCACACAATAATAATGGGAGACTTTAACACCCACTGTCAACATTAGACAGATCCACAAGACAGAAAGTTAACAAAGATATCTAGGAATTGAACTCAGCCCTGCACCAAGTGGAGCTAATAGACATCTACAGAACTCTCCACCCCAATTCAACAAAATATACATTCTTCTCAGCACCACACCGCACTTGTTCCAAAATTGACCACATAGTTGGAAGTAAAGCACTCCTCAGCAAATGTAAAAGAACAGAAATGATAACAAACTGTCTCTCAGACCACAGTGCGATCAAACTAGAACTCAAGATTAAGAAACTCACTCAAAACCGCTCAACTACATGGAAACTGAACAACCTGCTCCTGAATGACTACTGGGTACATAACGAAATGAAGGCAGAAATAAAGAAGTTCTTTGAAACCAATGAGAACAAAGATACAACATACCAGAATCTCTGGGAGACATTTAAAGCAGTGTGTAGAGGGAAATTTATAGCACTAAATGCCCACAAGAGAAAGCAGGAAAGATCTAAAATTGACACCCTAACACCACAATTAAAAGAACTAGAGAAGCAAGAGCAAACACATTCAAAAGCTAGCAGAAGGCAAGAAATAACTAAGATCAGAGCAGAACTGAAGGAGACAGAGACACAAAAAACCCTTCAAAAAATCAATGAATCCAGGAGCTGGTTTTTTTTAAAAGATCAACAACATTGACAGACCACTAGCAAGACTAATAAAGAAGAAAAGAGAGAAGAATCAAATAGATGCAATAAAAAATGATAAAGGGGATATCACCACTGATCCCACAGAAATACAAACTACCATCAGAGAATACTATAAACACCTCTATGCAAATAAACTAGAAAATCTAGAAGAAATGGATAAATTCCTGGACACATACACCCTCCCAAGACTAAACCAGGAAGAAGTTGAATCTCTGAATAGACCAATAACAGGCTCTGAAATTGAGGCAATAATTAATAGCTTACCAACCAAAAAAAGTCCAGGACCAGACAGATTCACAGCCAAATTCTACCAGAGGTACAAGGAGGAGCTGGTACCATTCCTTCTGAAACTATTCCAATCAATAGAAAAAGAGGGAATCTTCTCTAACTCATTTTATGAGGCCAGCATCATCCTGATACCAAAGCCTGGCAGAGACACAACAGAAAAAGAGAATTTTAGACCAATATCCCTGATGAACATCGATGCAAAAATCATCAATAAAATACTGGCAAACCGAATCCAGCAAACACATCAAAAAGCTTATCCACCATGATCAAGTGGGCTTCATCCCTGGGATGCAAGGCTGGTTCAACATATGCAAATCAATAAACATAATCCAGCATATAAACAGAACCAAAGACAAAAACCACATGATTATCTCAACAGATGCAGAAAAGGCCTTTGATAAAATCCAACAACCCTTCATGCTAAAAACTCTCAATAAATTGGTACTGATGGGACATATCTCAAAATAATGGGAGCTATTTATGACAAACCCACAGCCAATATCATACTGAATGGGCAAAAACTGGAAGCATTCCCTTTGAAAACTGGCATAAGACAGGGATGCCCTCTCTCACTACTCCTATTCAACATAGTGTTGGAAGTTCTGGCCAGGGCAATCAGGCAAGAGAAGGAAATAAAGGTTATTCAAGTAGGAAAAGAGGAAGTCAAATTGTCCCTGTTTGCAGATGACATGATTGTGTATCTAGAAGACCCCATCATCTCAGCCCCAAATCTCCTTAAGCTGATAAGCAACTTCAGCAAAGTCTCAGGATACAAAATCAATGTGCAAAAATCACAAGCATTCTTATACACCAATAACAGACAAACAGAGAGCCAAATCATGAGTGAACTCCCATTCACAATTGCTTCAAAGAGAATAAAATACCTGGGAATCCAACTTACAAGGGATGTGAAGGACCTCTTCAAGGAAAACTACAAACCACTGCTCAAGGAAATAAGAGGATACAAACAAATGGAAGAACATTCCATGCTCATGGGTAGGAAGAATCAATATAGTGAAAATGGCCATACTGCCCAAGGTAATTTATAGATTCAATGCCATCCCCATCAAGCTACCAATGACTTTCTTCACAGAATTGGAAAAAAGCTACTTTAAAGTTCATATGGAACCAAAAAAGAGCCCGCATCACCAAGTCAATCCTAAGCCAAAAGAACAAAGCTGGAGGCATCATGCTACCTGACTTCAAACTATACTACAAGACTACAGTAACCAAAGCAGCATGGTACTGGTACCAAAACAGAGATACAGACCAATGGAACAGAACAGAGCCCTCAGAAATAATGCCACACATCTACAACTATCTGATCTTTGACAAACCTGACAAAAACAAGCAATGGGGAAAGGATTCCCTATTTAATAAATGGTGCTGGGAAAACTGGCTAGCCATATGTAGAAAGCTGAAACTGGACCCCTTCCTTACACCTTATACAAAAATTAATTCAAGATGGATTAAAGACTTAAATGTTAGACCTAAAACCATAAAAACCCTAGAAGAAAACCTAGGCAATACCATTCAGGACATAGGCATGGACAAGGACTTCACGTCTAAAACACCAAAAGCAATGGCAACAAAAGCCAAAATTGACAAATGGGATATAATTAAACTAAAGAGCTTCTGCACAGCCAAAGAAACTACCATCAGAGTGAACAGGCAACCTACAGAATGGGAGAAAATTTTTGCAATCTACTCATCTGACAAAGGGCTAATATCCAGAATCTACAATGAACTCAAACAAATTTACAAGAAAAAATCAAACAACCCCATCAAAAAGTGGGCAAAGGATATGAACGACACTTCTCAAAAGAAGATATTTATGCAGCCAAAAGACACATGAAAAAAGGCTCATCATCACTGGCCATCAGAGAAATGCAAATCAAAACCACAATGCCATACTATCTCATACCAGTTAGAATGGCGATCATTAAAAAGTCAGGAAACAACAGGTGCTGGAGAGGATGTGGAGAAATAGGAACACTTTTACACTGTTGGTGGGACTGTAAACTAGTTCAACCATTGTGGAAGTCAGTGTGGCGATTCCTCAGGGATCTAGAACTAGAAATACCATTTGACCCAGCCATCCCATTACTGGGTATATACCCAAAGGATTACAAATCATTCTGCTATAAAGACACATGCACACGTATGTTTATTACAGCAGTGCTCACAATAGCAAAGACTTGGAACCAACCCAAATGTCCATCAATGACAGACTGGATTAAGAAAATGTGGCACATATACACCATGGAATACTATGCAGCCATATAAAAGGATGAGTTTATGTCCTTTGTAGGGACATGGATGAAGCTGGAAACCATCGTTCTCAGCAAAGTATCCCAAGGACAAAAAACCAAACACTGCATGTTCTCACTCATAGGTGGGAATTGAACAATGAGAACACTTGGACACAGAAACGGGAACATCACACACTGGGGCCTGTTGTGGGGTGGGGGGAGCGGGGAGGGATAGCATTAGCAGATATACCTAATGTAAATGACGAGTTAATGGGTGCAGCACACCAACATGGCACATGTATACGTATGTAACAAACCTGCACGTTGTGCACATGTACCCTAAAACTTAAAGTATAATTAAAAAAAAAAAGAAAAAGAAAAGAAAATAGCCCTGGAATGTATCAGCACTGTCAGCCCTCAAAAATCCAGTATCTCCAACAAACTGGGTGTCACAAGGCTTTCTAGTGAAGTGTTCCACACCTGTTTGTTGTCATCTCTCATTAATGTGTGGCATCTCCTGGGATGCATCTTTCAACCAACCAGCATCCCAGATTTATAGGTCAAAGCAGAGGATCAGAGAACTCATCCCAGGGAGGAATGGCACTTGCAGAAATGGGCAGCCATGACTTTGCTTGACTCTTCTGTCTTCTTGCTAGAGTTGTTTTTTAGCTTCCAGACATGAAATGCATTGGGGCTCAGATGACCGGAATAGGCTAGATCTGTCAGTGATGGTCCAAGGGACTTTTCATTGGTAAATCTGCTGAGACTGCTGAACAAGGCTAGTGATGCCTTGCTTGTGAGCTTCCTAATCTGGCTGCTGTATGACATTGCAATTCTGGGCTTCAGGGCCCCAAACCAGCATATCCAAAGAACCTGAAGCCAATTGTTCTGTCATTCTTTAAAGACCCAACGCATGGGATGGCAGATGCCAGGTGCAGAATATAACCTCCTGTCCATCCCTACAGAACATCATATACTGGAGACAAGAGGGCCCAGCCTACCCAGAACAAGACCCTTTCTCCAGATCACTAACTTTCTTGAGGATCTGAAGTTAAGCCACATGCCTAGACTCTTCCTGGGCCAGCAACCATTTTACTTAGAATGTCAAGGGGAAATCCCCTTGGAAATACTCCAGTACCCATTGCCTAAGGACTATGTGCTTATTCTCTTTTTGACCAATCATTATAATTCCAGAGATTTAGGAAGCCCATTGCTGTATCAAGGACTATAAAATGGTGGTGGCCAAGGTGTCAAGGATCCCAGACCTGCCTAGGACTCTCTGTGCCATTGTCCCTGGAGAGAGAACCCAGTTACTCTCACTTCCAGTGCAGTGGCTCCTGATCTTTGAGTTGTTTGGCTTGTTTTTACATGTGATTATTTCACTTTTAAACATCCAGGAAAGAGGCATCTGCAGAAATAAGGATTTCTTTAATAATTTCTTATGTTGGGCACTTGGAATGTCCTGCCACAGGTACATGCACCATGGAACTGGCAAGTGGGCAGACAGAAAGGACAGGCTGGCAGTGCAGGTTTCCCAGGATCTCATGAGGTAGGGCTGCTGCTGCTGCTGCTGCAATATCTGCTGGCCGGAGGCTTTGCTTCCATTTTAGACATCCCAAACAAAGTCATCTTGGGGGACCTAGCCCCAAACCAATCTTGGTACTTAGATCAGGCTGCCTGACATAACTGAGTCTCATTTTCTGTTTCGGATACTCCCAGGTTCTCATGCTGCTTCCCAGTGCCTCCCCCATTAGATGGTACCTAAAGTAAGAAAGCCATTGACACAGAGAGGAGAGAGGAAGTGAGACGGGTCACAGACAAGTGATGGCCTAGTCTCCCAGCCCCCATCCTGCCATAGCACTGTTGCCCTTCACCCTGCCTTGGGCTCTGACATGCTCCCTTCCCCCCCACCCCCGGCAGACTCTGGATGGGCACATGGTGGTGCGTAGCCATGCCCGTGTGTCGTCGCTGACCCTGAAGAGCATCCAGTACACTGATGCCGGAGAGTACATCTGCACCGCCAGCAACACCATCGGCCAGGACTCCCAGTCCATGTACCTTGAAGTGCAATGTAAGGAATAAATGGGGAAGGACCTGGGGGAGGGAGGGGCAAGGCAGGGTCAGGATGAGAGAGGAAAACATCAGCAAGGACCTATGTGCACCCTGTGTGTTCTGCTTACGTTCCCTGCAGCTGACCCTGGGCTATTTCAGAGCTCTGTTCCCAAGCCACCCCCTACACACCATCTCCAGGCTTCTTACAAGCCTGCTGTGCCCTTGAGTCTTCTTCCCATGCTGTGCACAGGAATTCTAGAATGGCCCTGACCTCTACTATACCAGGCGCTGGCTCTGCTTTGGAGCACACCTGCCTTCCCAGTGCCAGGAGACAGGATATGGGGGCTTCATAATCATGGCAGTCATCCTGACAGTCATTGTTATTTATTGCAGATGCCCCAAAGCTACAGGGCCCTGTGGCTGTGTACACTTGGGAGGGGAACCAGGTGAACATCACCTGCGAGGTATTTGCCTATCCCAGTGCCACGATCTCATGGTTTCGGGATGGCCAGCTGCTGCCAAGCTCCAATTACAGCAATATCAAGATCTACAACACCCCCTCTGCCAGCTATCTGGAGGTGAGTCAGGATGGGGGTGGGACAGAGCAGAGAAAGCACAGTTTGACTCTAGGTGGGCTCCAAAATGCAGCTCAAGTCCTCTCTCCTGCTTCTCTGGCACATCCTGAGCAGGGAAGGCATGGGCTAGAGAAGACACTGAGCCTCTTTTCAGCTCCCCTTCGCCCACTCTACCAGTCCCCTCCCTGAATGTGCCTCTCCCATGAGCCCCTCTGCTATTCTTTTCTCTTGTTTAAGGCTGGGCTGGAGCTAATGATTTATACTTTACTAGTTCTGTTTTTTACTAACTTAATTCAGTAAATAAAGATCTGAGTCTGTGACCATCCCATAGGACACTTGTAACCCAATAGCTTCTTCCTTCTAAAGGTGACCCCAGACTCTGAGAATGATTTTGGGAACTACAACTGTACTGCAGTGAACCGCATTGGGCAGGAGTCCTTGGAATTCATCCTTGTTCAAGCAGGTGAGTGTCCCTTACTCACCTGAGAGCAGCTGCCACAACCCCCCACCTAACCCTGCCAGCCCAATTTGTGTACTTGAGTGATTCCAGGATATTGGGAAGAAGAAAGGGCCAGGGTCAGCAAAGCCAGAGAGTTGGGAAGCTGGGAGCCATTGGATCAGCGCATGGGGCATGTTGGGGGAGAAGCATCTGGTGAGATGGGCCAGGAGGACAGGATAC